>NC_000016.10:51835227-52138257 GCF_000001405.40 Homo sapiens
TTATATTTAACAAATGAGAGCTTTTAACAGGCCTATATGCACACACACCACAAATGTAATCATTTTTTATTATGTATTAAGAAAATAATGACAGATTATCAAAAATAACCATTTATAAGCCTTTACAGATAGTATGGCACAGTCATGAGGCACAAGTGTACTGTCATAAGATGACTGGCTTTTTCCTTCCAGTGTGTTAGCATTTGATATCTCTGTGCCTGTGGGTGTACATTTGAGGATCTTCTTGAATGTGAACCATGGGTGGAGCAAGCGGTGCTCTCGTCCCTACTGTGATAAGCCAGTTCCCAGAAGGCCTCCCTTCCATGGCACCGGGAGAGACTTCTTGCTCTGCTAAACTTCACAGATACTGTTTCAGGAAAATTCTTGTGGTTTAATAGTTCTAACATGCAGCTTCATGGTTAGGTAGAGAGAAATATATTTTCTCAAGCAGCAGTCTGATAGGAATGCCTTAAACACTCCTTGATGGAGTGATAGCCATGACGCAGCAGAAGACCCAATGTCTAATGTTGTGTTGTTTTCAGAAAGATTCCAATATTTAAAGCCTTCATACAGCATTTTATGTGATTTGGTTGTACAGTTGTAAATTGGTAAATCACAGTGATGCCCCCACCCTTCACCTTCTGAGAAAATCACCCTTTGGATTTCAATTTCCTATTGCTGATTGAGGTATCAAATTATCCAGGTAGAGACCAGAGATAATTTTCCCTCTCAAAGATAAACACAACTTGGTGAAATGGCCTACTTAGTGGCTGAGATCAGTTCTCTTTAAAAAGCTAAGAATCTTGAAGTTCCCTATAGAATTCAGACCATTGGTTGTTTTATTGGTTATGATAGTTTGGCTGTGAGTCAAAAAAAGATCTTTTCTCGAACCACCTTAAACAAAAAGAATATTTCTTATCTTGTGTAACAGAAAGTCAAGAGGCAAGTGAGCTACAGTCATAACACTGACTGTCTTTGTTCCGGACTATGTTTTTAAGAACATCTGTCTCCCTCTGGACTGTAGGGCAGGCATGCTAACTGCCCAGTATTAAAAGATGTAGGTTCCCTAGATATAAGTTCAGAATTCTTGGTATATACGCAGGTATCACCTGTTCTGCTTCACATCACCCTGTGGGAATTGGGCTCAGGGACCAGAGGCAAATATGCTAATGCTCATGTTCTTTGCAGTGGCATGAGTAACAAATTCCATTGTCTCTGACCCAGGAGTCTTGTGTCTTCTGGCAGCATCCATAAATTGTGGCAGACTAAGTATTTAGCTTGCAGATGGGATAAAAAATCTCCGACCTTCCTGGAACATGTGTAACCACTTTTCTTTCAGGTGGATTTTGGCATGGACATACTATGGCTTCCATTAGCACAGGGAAACAGGCTTTCTTGTTTAAGGTCTGCAGAAGAGAAAAAAAAATCTCTCCTTAGTTATAGAATATTAGCTCTAGCTTTTGTTTTGATTGAGTCAATATAGGACATGAGCTTATTCCTAGAACAAAATAGTTGCTGGGAAAAATACAAGTGCTCATTGTTTAAACCTGGGTTCCTAAACCAATCACTGACAAAGGAGGTGAATCCAGCTTCTCCTGAATCAGATAGAGTGTGCAGAGATTGGGGGTGGGTATTTTAATAAAATCTGGAGCCTGGTAGAAAGGAGCAGGGGTAACAGATATTGGACAGGTAACCAAGAGTCTCTTACAGAACTGTCAGGACTGAGCTTCCCATTTCCTGCATACCTTTACATCCAAATTGATCTTTCCTTAGGAAATTTGTTAGCATGAGCTCTCTCCTACAACATTGCATGGGGCTCTGCCAGTTGTGCTTTCCAGATGCTCATATTTCAAGCCAATAGTTATGAGTTTAGGCATTAAGGGATCTGGTTCAGATCATAAATGTTATAAAAATCTACCCATATGGATTAAGTGCTGCCACAGTCTATAACTGCTAAACGAGGGTCATGATTTCAGTCTGGTTAATAGACTCTAATACACTAAATGGTTTTATGAAACCCTAGTCCTGGGCATTTATCATAAGTGTGAAATTTTATATGCTTCTATAGAAAACCAGGTAGTTACATGCAATTCTGCTTTCTGCTCATAGAGGAAAGGTAGCATGTAAACTGAATGCTGACTTGGGTGGTCATGCTTCTGGGGGACAGGGCTATACCCCAGAGCCAGCCCTTATGATGGGACCCAGTCTGGAAATTGGGTCCATATTTCCTCTCTGAACCCCCAACAATGACTAGAGTGTACAAGAGTGAGGTTGTCCATAATTAGGTCTCCATGTTGGCCTTTGGAGTGAACAACATGATTCAAGAGGCTCAAGTCACACCTCGAAAGTTTGGCTAGTTAACTCAAAAAGGCATTCCTTCCACAATAGGATTGGACTAGAACTTGAAGTGAGCCTCCATGCTAAGAAATATTCTAGCCATCCCACCTCTTGTCTGTGGGACCTAGAGAACATTACTTCACTTATTTGAGCTTATTCTGTCATTGTGTCTAAGTCGATAATTTTACACGCCCTGCACGTTGCTGTAAGGATTAAATAAGATAGTATATATGAAAGAAAAACATCTCCTAAAATGGTGTCTAGAGCATGTAGAGACACTATAACTATTAACTATCATTCAATTAAACTCAGAAAATATATTGATAAGCAAAGGAGTTTTGTGATTAAAATTGGTATTCTATCTTTTCTTAATTTAGATGTTATAAAATACATACATATTCTCCCTCCCTTCAGAAAAAATGATCTCTTCAAGTTATTTTACAGCTCTAGAAAGGACTTCATCTGTCTTGATATTTGGAAATTTGCTTCTTAATAATAATAAATAAACTGAGCACACACTGTCTGTGGTAGGCAGAAATACCAAAACTATCTACTTCCTAAACCCTGTGAATATGTTACCTTAACACCAAAAGGAACTTTGCAGATGTGATCAAGTTAAGGACCTTGAAATGGAATAAACTAAATTATCCCAGTGGGCCCAATCTAATCTTATATATGCTCTTTAAAATCAGATATCCTTTCCCAGGTGTGGCCAGAGGAAGATGGAACTATGGGGGAATTGTCAGAGCAATGTAATGTTGCTGCTTTGAAGACAGAGGAAGGGTGCATGAGCCAAGGAAGATGAGCAGCCACTAGGAGCTAGAAAAGTCAAGGAAATAGTCTCCCTTCCAGCTGACAGAAAGGAACACAGTCCTGCCAACACCTTATTTTATCCAAGTAGTAGATTTTTAACCTATAGAACTGTGAGATGATAAATTTGAGTTTCTTTAAGCCACTAAGTTTGTGGTCATTTGTTACAGAAGCAGAAGAGAACTAAAACACCATGAGACAGGCACTGTTGTCAATGCTTAACACATTTTAACTCACGCGATCCTCACTAAAGCTCTCTAGAGTAAGACCAATAGAAAAATGAAAGCTTAGAGAGATTAAGTAACTTGTCCGAGGTCCCACAGCTGAAGTCAGAGCCTGGACTCAATCCCAAAGCCTGCCATTTTTATTCCATATTGCTGGAGAAAGCTGCCCTCTCTTTTTCATTATCTAATCCCTCACAAAATTGAGTAGTTAAAACAAATTCAGTGAATAATTAAAAAATTTAAATAAGCCAAATCATGATGTTTTCTCCTTACTATTTTTACTTACCATGAAAATAATTTACTTTTGCTGGAGCTCTTGACAGCGTCCATCTTTCCTTGTGTGTGTGTGTGTGTGTGTGTGTGTGTGTGTGTGTGTGTGTGTGTGTGTGTGTGTGTGTGTTTTATAAGAGACCTACAGCAGCTGTAGTGGAATTTCTGTAGTTATTGTTGGCCACCTATCTTAACGGGACACTTTAATGGAGGAACTCTCACCTCAAAGAGACGGTACAGCTGTTACTGGCGCTTAGAGCCATGTTTCCAGGCGCCTTTCTCAAGACCTGCAAGGGAGGTTTCTGGGTGCCTCTACCTCATTCCTATAACTGCTGGGAGAGTTTAGCAAAATCCTCCCAAGTTCCTAAAGTTCTTAATCATCCCTGTGGACTTTGAGTCTGTTTATTTTATATTATTTTTACTGTCATAGTTTGTTTTTGTTTTTACTTTTTGTTCCTGATGACCCCCTTATGTCAGAAGGATCCTAACCTCCTCCCCAACCAGCCGAAGAGATGCTCTCATTCTGTCTTGGGTCCCACCTTCACTGGGAGGTAATTACCTGTGCTTTAGTCCATTCAGTGAAAATTACTTACTGCTACCTTTTGTTCTCTTCTCAATTTCTTCTTTCTTTTCTCTTTATTTTTTTAAATTTTGGCTTTGATGCTGAGTTAAAACTCATTTCTTTTTAATCTTAACCTGCTTTTTTTCTCCCCCCACATAGATAAGATTTCTAAGGGCAATATGGTAGTGTGCTGAACACGGCCTAGGACAGGGCTGTGCAAAAAGCAGATCAGATCCATACTTTCCTGTTCATTATTTTAGGTAGGGACTGACTATAAAAATTGATCATCATATAGTCACAGAACATTGAAAGAAATTCCACATATAATCTCATCCCAAATCCTCACTTAGTTAAAGATTTAAGGCCCAGAAGGGAGACAGACACAAGCAGGTGCAGGATTCACAGGGGAGTCTCCAGCTCTCATCTAAGGCCCACCCACTCTCCATGGCTAAGAAATCCCACTGGCCAGCCATGCAGTCAGGCTGTCTACATTTCAGATCTTTATCTTTTTACTTACTCTTGAATTCCTGACACACTCCCTCTCCTTCTACTGGTTTTCCAGAATTATGGCTTTTTTCAGAAGCTCCTGCCCAAATACTCCGGCAAGATTCAAGTGGGATTTTGCATATCCTGAGGGGGTTGAGTGTTTCAAAATGTTTGTTTTATAAGATGGAGACTCTACTCTACTTCAGATTGACTTCCTCACCCATCAATCATTTTACTCTGGCAGAAAGTCATGGGAAGAATGTGATTTGGTCAAACCCAGAGGTGATTAAGTCTCTGCACCTCTAGAGTTCATTGGGGGGATTTTGCCATGGCAAATGCTTACTGGATGACTCACTTGTGTTTTGTCTTGCAACCACTTTGACCTTGATGCCACCAGTGAGTAAAGCCATTGCCCACAAAGGACACTGGGCTAAAGGGAAAACATGGAAAAGAAGAGCTAAAAAGGGGAGGAGGAAAGGAAGGTGGAAATAAAGGAAGAGAAAGAGGGGGCCAAGAGGTGGAGAAAGGTGTAGAGAGATGGAAAATGACAGAAAAGAGTCAGAGAAAGAGGGAGAAAAAAAGAAAAAGGAAGGGACGAGACCAAAAAGAAAAGAATATAAAAGATGCTAGAAAGAGGAGAGAGAGAGTTGTAGAACAGCCGAGGGTTTGGAGAAAGAAACAGAGAATGCTGTGGTAAGAGAGGAAGAGAAAGGCAAAACAATCTAATACAGGCAGAGCATCACTAATCCAAAAGTCCAAAATCAGAAATGCTCCAAAATCTGAAACTTTTTGAATGCCTAGATGCTCAAATCAGATTTTGGATTTTCTGATTAGTGATGCTTAACCTGTATGTATTCTGCAAATATTTCAAAATCTGAAAAAAATTAAAATCTGAAGCATTTCTGGTCCCAATTGTTCTAGATAAGGGATACCCAACCTGTGTATCCTTCTCTCAGTGTCTATTCTTAGGACCCCTAATATCCTCCCGATCCAGGGATCACTGGGCAAAGTGCAGTGGAGTGGGGAAATGGAGACAATGTCAGGATAATGCTGGCTAAGTTGGAGTTGGTAAAAAGTTTCCAAGCAAGTCAGATGACATTGCATCTGCAATAAAGGGAGCTGCCTTGTGGCCGTCTGTAATGACAACATTTTAAAAAGCAGTCTAACATTTTTAAAAATGCAAAAAGCAATTTAAATGATCACAAAAATTTCTTGAAAAGCTAGAGGGAACTGCATTGTGTGACATCCACTCAGCAAATCACCATAAAATCCCTATTTTCTCTCCATCTCACCAAATCCCACTTAGCCTGTCAGAACCTCTGGTCTCTTTTCTGTTTCTTCCTAGTGAGTCTAATTCTCTCTGTGCCTCTTGCTTATCTCTTCCCACCTCTCTTTGGCTCCAGTTTCGACTATGTAGATCAATTTGCCTCTCTGAGATCCTTTAAATTATTCTCTGCCCTCTTTGTCCAGGCCCAGATGCACACACCAAAGTACTAGAACCTAACAGGTTGACCTCAACACCTCCTGAAGGCTGGAGAACAGGGAAGTCAGGAGGTCAGGGGATATGCTGAGTGATAGGATGGCTCAGAGGGTCCAGTTGGGGCTTTAATTCTCTCTCCAAGCTACAATGTGAGGGGCTGGTAGAACAATCATAAGCATTGCAAGGGTGTCAATGCTTTGAGCATTTCCATTTTAGATGCTCATATCTTACAATAATAATCTGCAATTTGGAGGCTTTGCTAAATAAACATCCTTCTCTGGGAGGTTTCTCCCCCTGGAGCCCTGACCTTCCAAGCCATGGGTCCCAGCAGAAGGAGCCAAGGTGGCTGGTGGGGTGTCGGGCAGTGGGGATGGGGAAAGTGTAATTGCAGCAGATGGGAGAGTGCAGACCCTCAATCCTCTAAAATGTGCTGAAGACTTGTTGGGGATATGGCCTTCTCAGTAGCTCAGTGTTGCCACCATGTCCCCAGATGGGATATGGAAGGACCCCAAGGATCTGCTTACAACAAGGCCTGTACTGGCTGCCTCCCACCAGTGGTCAATGGAGGGCCTTTCAGAAGTGAGATGAGTGAACATCTGCCACTAAAAAGCCACTGTCTTCCACCCTTCCCCTCCCACCCAGGCATTTGTCTTGTATGTATTAGACAAACAGGGGTGGTAAGGCACGGGAAATGTCAGGTTTCCCGGCTGTTACTTCCTCAAGTACAGCTTCTCCCTGAAGCTCAGGGAAGCAGCGTGGTCAGATGGTGTGCCCCTCAGATGAGGCTTTGTTTCAGAGAGAAGGTGCACTGTATGGTTGAAGTCATGGGATTTAGAGTCAGGCTGACTTGGGTTCTTATGCATTGGATGTGTTACTTAGCTTCTTTGAGCTTTGGAATCCACGTCTCACAAATGAGTTATTACCCAACTTTTAGAGATTTTGCACAGATTAAATAAGATCATGCATATAAAAATTTAGCTAGCTATTATTGTTATGGTCTTTGTTTATTCACATATCAAATATTAATAAGCACCCACTATGGGCCAGGTGGTGTTACTACTACTATAATAGTGTGAGACAGCAGAGCCAGCGCATCTTCCTGTAGAACCTGGCAGTCCCGCAGAAGTCCAGTTGTAGTTACACCCACTTTCCAAATCCTCTTCATGCTCTACCCTCCAAGTACAACCTGTTTATGTTTTTTCCTTTTAAAATTCTTCTTCTTTTCCACCTTGGTTTTCTTTTGTCTTTCTCCTCCTCACCTCTCCTTTATCTCTCCTTTCTTCCCCTCCACTCTTTATACTGCCTCCCCTAAATTTACATGTATTCAATACATGCAAATTGCCTCATTTTGCCTCTTTGTTTCAAATTTCCTCTTTAATCACTTATGCATTTGTTCATCAAATTGAGTCTTTAAATGTAAAAGTTGATGCAGTAATAAGTGGATTATATACAGCCTGTTTTCTAGATACTTGTATATGATTAGAGAACATATAATGAGAACATATCGTATAATGATATATATTACATATATGTCTATATATTGACACTATATAATAACTGATAATAAAGAAATTACTGATAAAAATGAAGCAATAAAAGACTAAAAGTCTTTCAGCAAAACCTAAAAGCTTACAGGGAGTCAACCTAACAGATTTGAGGAGTGATTCCTGCTCCAGACCCCAGCACCTCAACACCCAGGCATTTGTGGAGCACCTATTGTATGCAGGCCCCAGTGCTGTGGGCAGGGTTTTCACCCTTAGGTGCTAGGTGAGCCGACTAACATTGGATGTAAGTAGATGTGATAACAGAATTGCAGAAGGTGAAGAGGAAGAAAGACTGTTCTATAACAACTAGTGAACAGCTAATCAGTTAATCAGAAATATTTGAGGGCAGGTGCGGTGGCTCACGCCTGTAATCCCAGCACTTTGGGAAGCCGAGGCAGGTGGATTGCCTGAGCTCAAGAGTTCGAGACCAGCCTGAGCAATATGGTGAAACCCTGTCTCTACTAAAATACAAAAAATTAGCTGGGCATGGCAGCGTGCGCCTGCAGTCTCAGCTACTTGGGAGGCTGAGGCAGGAGAATTGCTTGAAGCCAGGAGGCGGAGGTTGCCGTGAGCCAAGATCGCACCACTGCACTCCAGCCTGGGTAACAGGGTGAGACTCCGTCTCCAAAAAAAAAAAAAGAAAAAAACATTATTTGAACTGGAAGTTACCATGGAGAACTTCCAGCATTTCCCAAAGTGAGCTCCACAGAGCATTATTAAGGAATCCAGAAAACATTTTTTGTCAAATGCAATTGGGAACCATTAGACTTAGAAAAATTAACAGCTGTTGGTCAAAAGACTTCTCAGAGTCTTGAACCTGCTAAGGTTTCGAAATCTCTAAGAGGTCATGAAGCTGACTGTTTTCTTTAAAATATTTGACTTTTAGATTTTATTCTTAGAAAGACTGTCTTAGACCAGTGCACTGTGGAAGGAACTTGGAGAACTGCTAATCTGATCAAATCCACTGATTTTACAGGTGGAGAAACAGAAACAAATAGAGGAAAAGTGGCTTACTCAAGTTCACACCATCACTTATTTAACTGTAGATCCCTAGAAAGCCCAATTATATTGACTTAGACATTGATCTAGGGCTTGTCTTTGGACCCAAATGACATTTGACCCTCTCACTCTCAAGCAGGCTTTTCCTCCTCTCTCTCCTGCCTCCCACACCCCTAAGCTTCACAATTGTAAATAAATTTACTCAGAATGTTACTAGGAAAGCAGATAGAGTAAAGGCTACAGGAAAGCAGGGATACTTTAAAAGTCTACCCATTCCTCATTCCCTGCTAAAGATTTGATATTATCATCTCACATTGCATGTTGAACCTAACTTCTAGCAAAGATGAACTCCATGCTTGTTTTTTTCAGCCCATGGTACAATTCTGGAGACCCTGGGTGGTGCTTTTTCTACGTCCATTACTCTGCTGCATTGAGGATTGCAGGAGGAGGTAGGGGCATGAAGAGCCTGTGTAAGAATACAAGAGCCAATGAGAAGTGGTAGGGACCTCAAGAGTGTCCCAGAATAGGAAATATGTGTAACCTGTGGGTGACACTACCATAGTACAAATGCAGTTACTACATCCTTGAGTGACACCATAAGGTAGATATTTTACATATATTATATTAAGAATTCCCAAGATGTTAACAAGTGTGGGTGAAACAGCAAACGAATGAATGAGTGTGTGTGTGTGCAAGACATATTCACTCTGATGGCCACCACAAAACTTCACACGGGAGGGGAGCACAGTTTGCTTGTAGTTGGGGTGGGCAGGGAGTGACAGCACATGTCATTGGCTGTTTTTGGACTTTGATTGAGCGGGATCTTTCCGATTTTAACAAGTTTGCCAAAAAGACTTTTTAAACCCAAACCAACCAAAAGTTTATAAGAAAATAGACATACACATGCATTGATTTATGCATTTTTAAAAAGATACATAAACCACCTAAGCCAGCAATACTACTTCTAGGAATGTGTCCTTCAGCTGTATTTACACATATAAAGAGATATGTGAATGAGGATGTTCATTTTTAGCTTTGTATGCAATAAGTAAAAAAACTGAATGTGGCCTAAATTTCTATTTGGTTAAATATTTTATCACCTTATAAAGAATGAGGGAGCTGTTTGATCAGATATGAAAAGATCTCCAAGATCTATCATGAGTTGACATACAATACAAGGTGTAGTATAGTACAGTTTGCATGTGTGTATATATATACGTATATATATATGTACATATATATACGTATATATATACACACACAGAGAGAGAGAAGCATATGCATTTGCTCAAGTGCGTATAGGAAAAAATTAGAAGGATCTAAAAGAATTGATACGCTATGCTATCCTATGCTATGTTATGCTATGCTATGTTATGCTATGCTATGCTGTGCTATGCTACTGGGAGGTGGTGTGGTAGTTGTAGATAAAGGGTCTGGGAAGAGAAGGATAGAGCCCCCGTCTCTGGATACCTCATTGTACAGTCTGAATACATTTTAAACATGTCCATGTATTACTTATCAAAGAGGCCAGATTTTCAACACCAGTAGTGCTTCCAATGTGCCTTAGACTTACATAGACTTAGAAGTCTTCCACTTCTTCCCACTCCTCCGGTTTAAGAACGAAAAGCCACTCACTGGACACATTTTTGGCAACTCTCAAAACTCTAGTTAAACTAGTAGCAGAAATGGAGGCGAGGCCGACTACAGGCTCTCCCATGTGCCGGGTGTGGGGGCCAAAGTACCCTCCATCTCGCAGTTATTTCAGCTGTCCTGCCTGGTTCCGCACGCTCCACTAAGCATGGCGACCATTTGGCCTGGAATAATAGCTGCAGATTCAAGAACTCATGGGGGTGGGGTGAGGGGAAGAAGAAAAAGTAAGCTTTAGAGAGCGATTTTTTTTTTTTTCTGCACTGTAAAAACTCAAATGCCAGGGGGTTGGGGGTGGGCAGAGAGACAAAACAACACCTTTGTCTCAAATCATCAGTGCAGTAAGTTAAGGTTTTCAAGCCTGCACAAACTGTTGGTACATTTTAAGCCTTTACATCCTGGCGTTCAGCGCACATAATATACAAATGAAAAGAATTGGAAGTTTAATTTAGAATTCGGACAAAAGGCCCAGACACATGTGTCTCTATGAGAATGTTTGCGCGGGGGGTGGGGTGGGCCGGGAGTGACAGCACATGTCATTGGCCGGTTGAGTACTGGCTGTTTTTGGACTTTGATGGAGGGGATTCGTTCTGATTTTAACAAGTTTGCCAAGAAGACCTTCAGCTGGGCTGCATATGAGGCTGGGCTGCTATTTTTAATATAAATGTAATGTTTTTAAATCCATCGACGGTGTCCTAAACCAGATTTGGTCGTAAGCAGCTGTGCTGAAATTGTAAAATCTCACCCTTGTGTCTGGTTTCACATCTGGTAACTCACAGCTAACAGTTACAACTCTCCAATAGTAATTAAATGTTTTCTTTAAAAGAAAAAAACACCCACAATCATATATGGCAGAATGCATTATTAAAGGAGTATTTTGATTCACAACAACCACCGCTAGGAAGAATCCAGCGAGAATTTTATAGGTAGTTGGGTACTTTGGGGTACTTTTTCTAAAGGGGTTGATCAAAATAAGTACATGTTACAAAAAGCAAAGGCAGTTTGCAACTGGGTGGATATTGAGTAACATTAAGCGACCATAATTGCTAGTGAGGAAAATGTCTCCTCTTTGATGTCAACCATCTCTTTTCTTTTTTGTTTCAGAAAGGAGGAAACTTCAAAAGCCGTAATTTCAGGACAATAAAGTACTCACATTAATATAGGTAGCAACTTTAACTGTTCCTAAGCTCAGTAAAAAGTCTCAGGGTGAGAATGAGCTAGGAAGGAGAGGGAATTCAAATATTTTTAGATTTTTTTTCATGTACCATTTTAAATATGAATAAATGACATCATGCACGTGGGACCTAAATATAGAATTTACACCAACACATGCCACTAGATGAATACAGTTCATTCCTTATATTTTGAAATGTAATTTTATTTTATATTATTTTAAATTTATTGGTAGGATATATTAAGTGACTGGATTCTCCTAATAGCTTAAAGGTTCTGGAATAACCATAGGCTATAGGCAAGATGTTCCACAAATCAACCACCTTTTCTTTCTCTGCCATTATGTTACTAAGGTGTGATTTCAATAAGCGACAAAATGCAAATTTGACTTTTCCAATGCTTTTGTTTTTTAGGTTAAAGTTTTTCTTTAATAAACTCTTTTACTGAAGCATAACAAACATAGAGAAAAAAAGTTTACAAATTGTAATTATGTATAACTTGATGAATTTTTTTATGTATTTTTTTGTTTGTTTTGTTTTGAGATAGGATCTCATTCTGTCATCCAGGCTGAAGTGTAATGGTACAATCACAGCTCACTACAGCCTCAACATCCTGGGCTCAAGTGATCTTCCTACCTCAGCCTCCCAAGTAGCTGGAACCATAGGCCCAAGCTGCCATGCCTGGCTAATTTTTTTTTTTTTTTTTTGTAGAGACTTGGTCTCCCTATGTTGCCCTAGCTGGCCTTGAACTACTGGTCTCAAGCCATCCTTCTGCCTCAGTCTCCCAAAATGCTAGGATTACAAGTGTGAGCCACTGCACCCAGCTGATGAATTTTTTAAGTTAACTTTTCTTACCCATTTGAAGTATACTACTCAGTGATTTTTAGTGGATTTTCTAAGTTGTGCAATCATCATCCTAATCCAGTTTTAGAATGCAATGATTTTAAATAATAATAATCATGCCTAAGAGGTGGAGATAGGAGAAAATACAAGAAAACTTCTACAATACAGTGAGCTTGGCGACTAGGCCTAATTTGTGACACTGAGTGTCTTAGTCCTTGACACTTTTATGGAAGACCTGAAGACCCTGCAGATTCCTTAGAGACCACTGGCATCTCATTACATGCCCTGAAAACATCCCTGTAGTAACCAACTCCTGTCTGCCTTCGTGTGGTCTCTATGCTTTTCCTTTGGTGTAAGTATTATTACTATTATTTTGAGACATAGTCTTACTCGGTTGCCCCGGCTGGAGTGTAGTGGCACAGTCTCAGCTCACTGCAACCTCCGCCTCCCAGGTTCAGGCGATTCTCCTGCACCTCCTGAATAGCTTGGACTACAGGCACGTGCCAGCACACCCGGCTAAATTTTTTATTTTTAGTGGAGATGGGGTTTCACCATGTCTGCCAGGCTAGTCTCGAACTCCTGACCTCAGGTGACCCGCCCACCTCAGCCTCCCAAAGTGCTGGGATTAGCTGGGATTACAAGTGTGATGGGTCTAAGTATTATAATAAGAAGGCTTTTGTATATAATACCAACAACCTAGGAAGAAACTTAAGCCAGAACAAGACTGGTGAGCACAGATCTCAGAAGTCTGACTCTCAACACAAATAACTGAGGGGATGTAAATTACTTCAGAATGAAATTAGCAGGGCTGGCCAGTCTGAACACAAACAAGTGCCACGGGAATCAACCAGGACTTGGAAAAAACCCCATCCCATTCGTCGGGAGGAGCAGAGTACCAGTCTGCTGAGCAGAGGAGCAGTTGTCCTTGAAGAAGCAGCAGCTTCTTCACACCTCCTCCTTTCCTGAATCCTGCTGCTGCTTCTCACCAAAGTGGGGTGGGGGGTGTGCGGCCTCCAGGATGAATGAGGGTGGTGGGGGGATGCAGAGGGGGAGGGGAAAGGCTGAAACAATAAAATGCGCTGCCTTGAGCTATAAGAAAGCTCTGTGCATGAAGGCAAGTTCGCTCTTCTTGCCCCAGGACAGGACGTGCTGGGAGAGTCAAGACACTGAATTATGTATCTGCTCACAGAATGTAGACTTAGAATGGTGTTTGCTAACACAGTGCACTGTCACACTGCCCTGGAAGCTAGGGACACACTCGGGGTATTTTTACGCCTCATGTAGGAGCCACTGTAGTCTCTGTAAAGGAGACCTTTAGAGTGTGGTGCTGATGGGAAAGCCCTGAAAGGTGGTCTGAGACCAGATATGGGTCTGATCCAAGTCACCTGAGTCATCAAGCAGCCCACACATCACCTGGCTTGGGATAGAATGAAAATGAAACCTCGGCTGGGTACAGTGGCTCACGCCTGTAATCCCAGCACTTTGGGAGGCCAAGGTGGGTGGATCACCTGAGGTCAGGAGTTCGATACCAGCCTGGCCAACATGGTGAAACCCCCGTCTCTACTAAAAATACAAAAATTAGCTGGGCTTGGTGACGTGTGCCTGCCTGAGACAGGATAATCACTTGAACCCAGGAGGCAGAGGTTGCAGTGAGCTGAGATCATGCCACTGCACCCTAGCCTGAGTGAGAGAGGAAGACTTCATTTCCAAAAAAAAAAAAAAAAAAGACAAAAGTAAAAGAAACCTCCTTGTTGGTGCATTGGATATAGCGGACAAGGCACTGTCAAGAGCCCTGGTATGTGGCATGAGATCTGGTATGACCCATGAGGTCAACTATTTTCTCTCTCTTAGGCTTCCTTCAACTCATCCAGTAACGCAGATTTTTATCTGGACATTCTGTAGCCCTACAAGTCTGTAAAAACCCCAGAAATCCAGCCAGTGGTCAGCTACTAAAACAATCCTCTCTCCATTTCGGGCGATTGAAATATCAGAGACCCATCTGTCCTTCCAAAAAGAAAATACACACAGAGCCTGGGCCAGCAGCAAGTGGTGTCTGGTTTATAATTCTTTTTTGAGATGTTCTGCCCACAACTTAGTTCCAACAATGACCAAGAAAAGGATAGTAGCTCTCCTATTGAGGAGAAAGGCCCTCACCCTTTTTTCACAGATATTTAACTATGGTTCCATTCAGACCCAGCTGTCCTTTGAACCCTGCAATACAAAGACAATTGCCATGGAGTGGTCATTTAATTCTTTCTCTCTCTCTTCCTGATGGCAAACATTAACTGCTGGCCACAACAGACCACCTGCAATGTGTTAGTCATTAAAAAGGTCACCGTTACTAAACATTTTAAACTGTGAATAGCTTCAGATTAAATTAGGTGTCAAAAAAGTCATTTCCTCTCTGTGATAAACTCAAACACCTGCAGTAGGGCTCAAGTTTACCAGAGACATAAAGGGTCTCTCCCACTCACAGGCCATTTGGGGATAAAAACCACAAAGCCCTATTTTTGTCAGTTATCTCTCTGCCTCTTGTAATAGGATTTCACAAGGTTGGTGATTGTGTGCACAGCATCTTGGGACATGTTATGATTGGATAGACAGGAATCAAAACCTTCAAGACCTTCATTTTTTGTTGGTCTCACTGAAGCTTCTTCAACATGTCAATATGAATTTATGAATTTCATTACATACTTTTTTTTCCTTTTTGTTTCCTCCTGTGTGTTTATCTCATTTTAATCCATTGGAGTATTCGGTCTCTAGCAGCCTATAGCAATGACCTTGAATTACTTGTCATTTCCAATTGGGTCTAAGAGAAGTAAAGCATATGAGGAGATGGCCGGCCTTTGGAGAGACATGTGTCAGCATATAGGTCGAAGATGGTCCCTTCCAGCAGCCTCTGAAAGTAGGTATCACTATCTCCATTTCAACAGATGATGACACTTGGGCTTTGAGAGGTGAAGCCACTGGCCTGCAGGAGCCTCACTGCTTCTCAGTGGAAGGTTCCAGGATGGCTGCCCCTCTGCCACTCCCAGGGCTGGGGCTACCAACGTCTCTGACCAGCATTAGCTTCCCAACTGCTTGCTCCGCTTCCACACAAGCCTCCTCAATCCATTTCCCACATAGCAATCAGAATGTGAGGTTGAAGCCTTTAAGTTGAATGATGTCTCCCCGCCTAGAACCTTCCCATGGATTTTCACTGCAGTTTATTAAATAGAGTGAAGACGCTTCTCTCCAAGCTGACCTGTGACCTCCTCTGGACCACTCAGTACAACTTTTCTCTTCCTTTCCCGCATTCCAGCCGCCCTCTGGGCTCTCCCTCTGTGCCTATGCACAACAGCCTGTTCCTTCTGCTTCAGTTGTTCTCCCCACAGGTGTGTGCCTGACCTTCACCTTCTACTTCCCCTTCAGGTATCACCTGAAACATCCCACAGGCTGCCCCTTCCTTACCGTCTGATAGGGATATCCCTCTGGCTCTTTCCCTCACATCATCCTTTTTATGGTCTCTGTACCTCTCATCACCATCTGAGATGTCTGGCTTGTTGTTGGTTTTCCTCCACCAGATTATACCTCCCCTTGGGGTAGTAACTGTCTTGTTCTCTGCTGTATCCACAATGCCTGCACAGTGCCTTGCTTAAGGTGAGTGCTTACTGAATGAAAGAATACATGAACCCATGAATCATGGAGTTGAACTCAGGTTTTGCTGCCTCCAAGGCGTATATTATTTTTGCTGCGTAACAGTGGTTACTGTTAAGCTAGACAGTGATGCTTGGCACACAAACAGGAACCACTAATGGCTTGAAAGATCGCTTTCTAACTCTAACCTTTCCTTTTGCCTCAACCTGGATTATCATTAATTTAAAAATGTACAGGATTCTCTCTCTTCAGATTTAAAATAACTCTAAACATTGCAGTTTACATTCTTGGAAGAAGCTTGAGCATAGCCTCTTTCATATTCAATCCTTACACTTTGCTTGCCTGTCCCATTTTCTTTCCCTCCCCTGTGTCGTTTGTGCAAAGCTCCATTTTCCCCTAATAGACTACAGACTCCTTTGAGGACATCACGATCCAGTACAGTGTTTCCTACCTAGTTAGTATTCATCAGCCTTTGTTTAGTAAAATTAAATACTTCACATTTAACCTCTTTAATCAAGAGAGACTGGTTTTCTTATTACTCCAGCTTCTCTTTTCTGTGTTTCTTTATAATTCTCTATGCTATATATGTAGATCTGCTGTAGGGCCACAGTGGACACTCAATATGTTTCTTGCAATTAAAATAGGGCTATCTCTTAATATAAATGGTAAAAGAAAAATCTGGGGAACTCCAGGAGAGGTGTGTGAAACTCTACATTCGATGACAGTCCTCAGACATGGACATCTCCATGCCCAATTAGGGCGTGGTAGGCGCCTGTAATCCCAGCTACTCGGGGGGCCGAGACAGGAGAATCACTTGAACCTGGGAGGCAGAGGTTGGGGTGAGCCGAGATCGCACCACTGCACTTCAGCCTGGGTGACAGAGTGAGACTCTGTCTCAAAAAAAAAAGAAAAAAAAAGTCACATACACTCCATAAAAGTAACTGCAAATTACCAAAAAGAAATAAGGATATGAGGTGATATTTAAAGACAATTTAAACCAAAAAAAAAATTTTGTAGTAGCTTTAGTCGAAATTTCATTTGTCTGGAAACAACCTGAATTTCCATTAATTCAAAATTGGCTGAATAAACTGTGGTACAACTCTGCTACGGAATATTATACAGTTCTTATAAAGAATAATCTAGCACTTCACTTACTGACCCTAAAGGATTTTCATGGTGTATTTGTTAAATGCAAGAGAAAAAGTTATGGAGAATACAGTGTGCTCTATATAAGCCTATTTGTATAAAAGCAAATATGTTTATAAGCATTTATTTATATAAGCATGGAGAAATACATGAAAGGATACACACCAGGCTGTTAAAATCTGTCATCATAGTGGGGTGGGAATAGGAGGGTTGTGATGGAAGGTAGTCATTAACTTTTCGTTTATACTTACTTACATTGATTCATTCTTTGCAATGAGAGCCTTGCTTTTGAATAAAGTAGATTAAAAACTAAAGACGAAAATAAAGTGTGAAAATTTCCTCTAGAATAGGGCACATATTCCAGCTGGACAATAATCTTTAGTGTCTTCAGTGACTAGTGAGTTAACTTTCTTCTCTTGCTCTGGGTCCCCTGGTGAGCTCATCTCTTGCTCACAAATCCAGTTATCAAGAATAAATGGCAGACTGCTGGGAATTGACCCTAAGGAAACAATCCAAGAAGAGAACTCAGAGAAAGCTCCCTCCTTGGGGACATGCATCACATTGCTATTTTGTAAGACTATAATATTGGATACAACATAAATGTCCTACAATAGAAGAAGAGCTAAATAAGTTATGATACGTTCACTTGGAAATATTAGGAGCCATGAAATGGAAGCATTGACACATTACAAAACCCCAAAAAATGCTTACATTACAATATTAATAGAAAAGCACAGTATGTAAAATTAAATTATATGACTACAATGATGTGAAAATGATCAGAAAAAGACAAGATATAAAGAGGCACACCCAATACACTAAAGCATCTTACAGTGATACTTAGAAGCAGGTCCCAAAACCTCATAAACTCAGGTTATTACAGGAATATTAAGCAGTCACTCTGGGGAACCACTCCTAATTGTATCAATCGCTGGGGGGATGTCAGTCTTAGAATTATACATCTAACTTAAAATCATTTACAGTACAGTACTTTGGCCAATACTTTCAAATAGCCCGGGAGCAGCAGCATCAGTTTTCTGTTTTTTTTTTTTTTTTTTCTCTTGCCAATTGCACTCTAAGAGAGAGTTGCACATATCTTGAGAGGTAAGAAAGAAAATGGGATGCTTTTGTTTATTTTGTAAACTTAGTCAGCGTCTTGTGAGATCTCAGGGGAAATGATTTTTATTCATTCTAAATATCATGAGATGTTCAAGATCCCAAGGAAAAAAATACTTAAGGTCAACAAAAAGAGGTTGGCCTGTAAAAAATGGTAGACAAAGCACTGGAAAAGGAGCTGGGAGGTCTTGTATTCACTCATTCATCCACTCATTCATTCATGTCTATTGTGTGCAACCCCCTGTGTTGAGCTTGGGAACATACAATTGTTAAAGCAATCTGGCTCCTACTATCAGACAGCTGAAGCTGCGATCAGAAGCCAAGGACATTCTTGAGTAATTATAACATAGTGTTTTAAGAATGGTGATAAAAATGATATTATGGAGTGTGAAGGAAGAAATATCTGATCCTCTTTGAGACAGTAGGTTTGACTTCAAGACAAGGGGAGCCCTAGAATAACTGGGTTGCACAGTGCTGGCTATTAAAAGGCAAGATAATGTGGTGGTTCAGAACATGATTTTGGTGGCAGGCTCCAGTTCCATTCCACTCCACCAGGAAGTGTGTGACTTTGTTGAGAAAGCTACTTAACTTCTATAGGGGGATTTCCTTGACTGGAAAAAAGATAACAACATCACACACTGCATAAGACAAGTATTATGGTTCCAGGAGAAGTTGGCCATGCAGGCTTTAGCATAGTGCATGGCACATAACTCAGGCTAAATAAGTTAAACATAACTTTTTGGCCTCAGTTATCTTGAGCAGAAGAAGGTGGTTCTGCTGCGGAATATAATTCATTCGCTACTTCAGGCACTGGATTTTGATCTGCAAGGTGTACAGCTAGGTTCTTAAGCATTTCGACCTGTTACTATTAATCATTTGCCTTGGAAACATTTCCGGAGTTGGTATCCCAAGTGAATTCTGTCAGTGGGCTGTGCGTGTGTGAACAGAAGGGATCTTAGTTGTGTAGGAGCCACTCTGCACTTCCCTGGTGTGATACAAATTATAGGGAGGTTGTGGGACTTCCTCTTGCTCCCATGGGCTCCTCCAGCGAGGGCTTCTTGACAGCATTGTGGTTTGAGTTGTCATCACAACTAACCACTCATTTTTCAATTGAAGCCCTGTGTCACTCTGCACATCCCTGCAGAGCTGTGGGAAAGATGCCTGCAGAGAAGTAACAGGCAGGAAGACATGCCGCCCTAGGGGAATGAAGAGGACATCCAAGCTGGGGTGAGGGGCTGGGCATGGAGGCGCTGGAACAATGCTGGCCCTAGTAAAGCCAAGCACCTAATACACAAAACTAAAATGTGTTCTTTGCTTTCCAGAACAGCATGAAGTTGCTTTGGGTACTTGCATAGTCTGGGATGGGGCTAGATTCCAAAGCAATGGCTGATTTCCTGGAGTCACTGCAGTGTTATCCCTGATCAGCAGGGCCCCACATGCTCATTTCATTAATGAAGGCCTGTCTTCACTGAGCTCCAAATTTCTTATATGAATTACTGTTTTAATCAAATACCATTATCATGTCCGTTTCATAGATTTAAAAAAATCTGAGACACACAGAGACTGAGGGCTTTATCCAAATTTGCACAGCTAGCAGGAGGTGGATCTAGGGTTCAGATCCTGGCAGTGACAGTGCTTAATCTCTCTGCTATGCTGCTGCCTCTCAATTATAACATTTCAAAAATGAGTACTGGATCAATGTGACACTTAAAGGGATCACATTGCCAGCTAAGGTCTTAAATGGAAGACTGAAGGCCTGGATAAAAACAGAGAAGTTTCCTGGAGGGTCCTACTTAAACTCTAAATAAACCTTAGCTACATAGCATGAATTAGTTTCATCACATCAGCTCCTTACTTTGCAAAGGAGAGTTAGGATGAATGAAGGTGAGGGATTTTGTTGTTTTGCTCTTGAGAGAAAGAGGCCATAGAGAGCTGATACCTGGGATTCTGGAGAATGGGTGAAAGCACAGAGAACCAAGACATAGGTGCTTGGAGTGGAATTACGGGGTGAGGGGGTAGAGAAAAAAGGAAACAAAGGACTCAAAAAGCCTCAGTATGTCTCCAACACGATGTGTTTAGGGCTGGTTCTGCTGATTCAAAAGGTTTGTTCTCTACTCTTTTTGTTCAGAGGAGATTGCCTGGACCTCCTTAATTTGGATATACTCAAATTCTACAGTTCAGCAGAACTGTGCCTGAGAGCTCAAAGTGGTGTTTGGTTAAGCCTAGGCCTCAGAGAATATCAAAGCCAAAGCCATCCTCAGGAGCACTGGGTCTTGCCCAAGCTGATGGGGATTTACTGATCACCTAAGTGGCAGCACCTGTTCTAGATAACAAGTGGCATCAGGACACTGCTACGTGGTGTACTGGGTGGTGCTAGACAAGGAGAAATTGAGTCACCAGTCCCCCAGGAATAACAGCTGCTTGAAGTACTGGCATCAAGCTCCTCTTGCTGGGCCATTTTAGTTTTGAACAGATATCTACCTTACAAAATAGAGATTGGGTCTTGCTAAGTTACCCAGGCTGGTCTCAAACACCTGGCCTCAAATGATCCTCCTGCCTCAGCCTCCCAAAGTGCTGGGATTACAGGTGTGCACCACTATACCTAGCCAGATAATCCTTGGGTGAAATGAAGATATACCTGAAAGAGAGAAGTGAAGAGGTATTGAGTGAGGGATAGGGAGATTAGAAAAGGAAGAGGAGGCCCTTCCTTTTCTTAGAAAAAGTGAGGAGGCCCTTCCTTTTCTTAGAAAAGGTGAGGAGGCCCAAGGGTGAGGAGGAGAGAGAAACTTGGCTGGAAGGTAAACAAAAGAGGCAACCAGAGACAATTTCCTGTGGTTGAGGAAGTCTGAAGATCTGGAATGTCCACAGTCAGCTTTAGGTTTTTATTCGATTTTTCTGGAAGACTATCTTCTCTCCCAACATCTTCCTCTTTTTTTCTCTCTCTTTGGTAAAATGTGCTACATTCAATTGCATTGTGTGAATGGCATTTGGGGGACATTGAGAAAGTGGAGCTGAGTTGCTTGTTTGGGATTACAAAAAGCAAAGACTTAAGAACTAGCTGCAAGAGGAAGACATAACAGAGACTGACACCAAGCAGGTGCGGGAACTCAGAGTCAGGCCTGACCAAGCAAGGTCCCAAGACCAAATCCCTGGAGCAGTGGAACTTTAGCACACCAGAATGCTTGGAAGGCTTGCTGGAACACCATTACTGGGTCCGGGATGGGGCCGGAGAATTTACCTTTCTGACAGGTCCTCAGGAGAGGTGGATGTTGCTGGTTCAACCTGGAAGAACACTTGATATGGTTTGGCTGTGACCCCACCCAAATATCATCTTGAATTGTAGCTTCCATAATTCCCACATGTCATGGGAGGGACCCAGTGGGAGGTAACTGAATCATGGGGGTGGGTCTTTCCCGTGCTGTTCTCATGACAGTGAGTAAGTCTTATGAGATCTGATGGTTTTATAAATGGGAGTTCCCCTGCACAAGCTCTCTTGCCTGCCACCATGTAAGACATGACATTGCTTCTTCTTTGCCTTCCACCAGGAGGCCTCCCCAGCCATGCAGAACTGTGAGTCCGTTAAACATCTTTCCTTTATAAATTGCCCAGTCTCAGGTATGTCTTTATTAGCAGTGTGAGAACAGACTAATAGAACACTGGAGACCTTTGGAGAAATGCCAAGTGTCCTACTAAATGTGGATGAGGAAATTACTTGATTTTGTCTCCAAGGAAAGGATAATTTCTACGTTATACAAGGGGTGACATACAAAGAGCCACCAGCAAGTCTCCAACAAAGTACTTTGGAATTTGGAAGGAGAAGAGAATGCAAATAATTCCATTGCACGTAGTGCTAACTAGATACTGCCAGGCTCCCTGTGGGGTTAAGAAGTGTGACAACTTCTCATAGCTTATTGTAAAGGAATCTAATTAGGGGCCAGGAAACCTAAGTTTGGATCCTGGCTCAAACTCTTACCATCTGTGTGGCCTTGAGGGGCAATTCATTAACCTCTCTGACCCTGTTTTCTCTAGTTTACACTGGGGGACTTTTCACTGATGATTGCTACTACCACCATGCTAGCTTCCTGGTCCACATGTGGGTCCAAGATTCTGTCCCTGATTCTCTGTAGCATACCTGAGAATAGGCTAGGTGTCTTTGGGTTTCTGGAGATAAAAATTCGAGGGATATTTGCATGCAGAAGGTTTCTTGGGGAGTCCTCTAGTGAAAAACACCTGTAAGAGAATGAGGAAAGCCCAGGTGGGCAGAAGAAGTTGGACTGTGATGCAGTTGCAACAGAGGTCTCAGACTAACCTATTAGGAGCTCCAGAGCAAGGATGGTCCTTTCCAGTTGTCCCAGTTGGAGGCAAGGGAGCTGTGTCTTCATACCCTCAAATCTATGCTGGGTATAGCATTGTCCCTGAGGAGAGGGTTTAAGCTTGGGAAGGAAAATCTCTTCCACAGGGTAATGTCATAGCTGTAAGCTGTCATTAGTCAACACTCCCTATAGTGAGGGAAATGAGTGTCTCAGTTCCTAAGTAGGAGGCAGTACTCACTACACAAATTGCAGGGCACTCTGTTAAAAAGTATGGAGAATTTCAAGATGATGACAGCAATGCAAAATTGCAGGGCACACAAATTGCAGGGCACTCTGTTAAAAAGTATGGAGAATTTCAAGATGATGACAGCAATGCAGTAAACCAAGCATGGA
This sequence comes from Homo sapiens, assembly GCF_000001405.40. NCBI lineage: Eukaryota > Metazoa > Chordata > Mammalia > Primates > Hominidae > Homo > Homo sapiens. Next base: position 51,858,206 of record NC_000016.10, read on the forward strand.
ACCTTCTAAGCACCGGGCCCTGTGCATCACTCATTAAGCTGGTGCTGATTGTGGACCGGAGTGGTATCTTGCAGCGTCCACTTGGGTGTTGTAAAAAAGAAATAAGAGAGAAACCACAAACAGGCTAACTGGCTTACAAAATGCACCTCCTCTTCAGCTTGGGGTCCCTTAACAGGTAACTTCAACATAGCTTTTGTGGCAAAGGCTTGTCTTTTAGCCATCTCCAAGACACTGTAGAATCCTCAATGCAGACACATAAACCAAGAGACATTCTTTGGACATGTGACACCAAAGCCGCTGGGTTTTGATTCTCAGCATCATGCCTTCCTCTTACCTGGGGGATACACAGTGGGAATGCCCATTTCTTTCTGGAGAAGTCTTACTCGCTTATGGTATGTGGCCTTACCCAACAGGCAGTGACCAAATAATCATCTTTCCCCCTATGTGGGTGGAGCAGCTGACATCCCTTCCAGAGGTACACAGGGAAGGGACAGGGGACGTGCGTCTCCATCAGCCTCCTCTCTCTTCCTCCACACCTAGACTCCCAGCCTGCCCAGGTGAGGCCTTCTCCTGCCTCCATTGCTCACTTATTTCTCAACCTCAGAGTCATGCAAGTCCCTTGAAATCAGTGAAAATAAATGTTTTGTTTGATTATTTTTTCACCAGCCAAACCCTATGGTTTCTGGACCCTGTCTTTCAGTTCTTTCAAATAAAACTTGAAGCGAAGAATAATCCCCTCTGCACAGTCTATCAGAGTTTCATTTTCTCTCCCTTTTAAAAATGTGTTCTAAACCTGATTTGGGGGGCCCCCAGAGCCTATTAAACTTGCTCAATAAGATGCAGTGTTTGCCACTCGCTCTCACACAAGCCTTCTATTCCTACTCACAGCCCCACTTGCTTTCCTAACTTCTTTCCCTCTTTATTCTAGTTTCAGAATGTTGGTGAGTTGGTTGGATTTCCTTTTTATTTTCTTTTACCTATTCAGTGACTTGAAGTGTTTTATATTTCACACTAGGCCATGGGCAAGAGACAGCCTTCCTTGGATGTCCTTTTCTTGCTCCGAAATGCATCTTTTTTGGGTTCATGAGAGGCAAGATCAAGGTTCAGCTCTTTCACACACCTTCTAGCCCCACTCCAAAAATATGAAAATGAAAAAAATTCTAGCCACAAAAAATGGATATCATTAGCCCTCTGCTAGAGTCACCAATTATGGTCTGTAAAGAAAAATAACTGATTATATAAACTTACAAAGTATTTATGCAAGCATCCTTTTAAGTGCTATGTGTGTGTACATGTATGTATCTATGTGTATGAGATATATGCACAAATATATATATATACTCAGTGATTATATATGATGTAACCTATAGTAGTTATAATATATAATCACTAATACAATATAGTGATATATATGTATGTAACATACATCATATGTAATCACTTAGGAGATAGATATGTAAATGATTATGCATATATTTATTCATTTACTCTTTATAACAACTTTACAAGGTAGCTATTTTAATTTCACATATATATAGTACACTATTATATACATGTTATAATATATATACACATACATTATCTGTAAAATCACTTAGAAGATATTTATATATAAAAATGTATATTTTGATTTAATCTTTCTGAAAGCCCTATGAGGTAGCTATCATAATTATTCCTGTGGCTCAGATGAGAAAACTGAGACATAGAGTGAAGTCCTGTAACCTGTCAACTCAATTAGCTGGTGAGAGGCAGTCTGGCTCCAGAATATGCACATCTAGCCCCACCATCTACTGCCTCTTAGTGCAGATAGAAAGTATCAGTCCACAAGGACTCTGATGAACATAAACTAGACATAATCTCTGGGCAGGAAAATATGATTATACTTTTTATAAAGTATAACATGATGATACCTTCATGTACATTTTGTTAAGTGTGTAATATGCATATACTTTTGTAGACTTTTGAGTGCACTGTAGCCTGCTTTGAGAAAAACGTGGATAAACAGAAGGAGATAGCCACCTTGAAAACAGACAAGGATGCCCAGAAAGCCAGAAGCTTTCTGTGTGTCTCTGGCTCTCACTAGGCAGGATGCTGATTCAGAGCATCACAGACATTCAGACTCTGCTCTCGCTTCTCCATCACAGAGGCCTCGGCATGGCTTGGATAACATATTCCTTATTGTGCCCAGATTAATTGTTCACCATGCTTCCCAGGAATTCTGATACTGGGCAGAGAACTCTAAAAATGGCATCTGATCCTTTTGGTGCCTAGGATAAGATATCCTCCACTGTATACCAAGAGATTGTGGAGGAAGGTTAACAGAAAATTATCTTTCATTAGTTCAACTGACATGAAATGCATACAGATGTTACATGTGTTTCTCGATCCTTGAAGTGAAGATTGTTATGTCTTCTATCCACACTCTCATCCAGGCAGAACCCTTAATCACAATTGCTGAGACTTTCTGGGAACTTCATGGCTATATGTGCCTGCCACCTGTTCTTCCTTGTATCTTCCTCTAGTCTAGACCATGTTATCTCAGGACGAATTCCAGCCTCTTCATAAATTCCACAAACTTCCAGGTCATGAGAATAGTAGACTTAATGGAATTTTGGCAGGTAGGTGAGAAGGTATTTCTATCACAACAAACCATACTTTGTATTGAATATTAGACATTTTCATTCTTGAAATTTCTAACTGGCTCATATCCCATATTTTTCACTGATGACTTCACAACATCCGCCAGCTCCCAAGCCTCTGTGCTCCCTTCTCAGAAGCCTAAGCAGAACCCTCTTCTTAAGTACAAACCAGCTGCCCTGGAAACACATATATTTACTTTTTCTACTTTATTTTAGTTACTAAGGTTTTCATTGTTGTTGTTGTTGTTTATACAAGGTCTCTGTCACCCAGGCTGGAGTGCAGTGGCACAATCATGGCTTACTGCAGCCTCAACCTCCTGGGCTCAAGCAGTCCTCCCACCTTAACCTCCTGAGTAGCTGGGACTACAGGCACATACCAATATGCCCGACTAATTTATTCTTTGTAGAGACACTATGTTACCAGGCTGCTCTCAAACTCCTGGCCTCAAGTAGTCCTCCTGCCTCAGCCTCCCAAAGTGTTGGGATTATAAACATGAGCCGCTGCACCTGGCCAGATTGCTTTTTAACAAATAAATTCAATTCTCTCCCACAAAAGAACTACAGTTCCAACAACTTAAGGGCATGTAAGTCTAACCTGTTGTAGAGATACTATATTTAAAGCAACTCATTGAGGCAGAGTGATATATTTAAAATACTAAATCTTCAGGTCTTAATAAACCTTCAGTAGTGTCCAGAAGAACCTGGAATAAAATTATATTTCTTCCTTCGGCACACAGGTTTGTATATGTGCCTCTCCTGCCTATGTCTTCAACCTCATTGGATTCCATTCTCTTCCCCTCTGGCCCCATTTCCCTCCCCCCTCCCTTTTTTTTTTCTTCTTCCTCATGAGACCTTCACTGGTCCCATTTCGAATCCTCACACATCATGGGCTCTCTCCATCTCAGGATTCTGCATCTGCTGTTCTCTGCCTAGAGCATTCTTTTCCAGGCTTTCCCCAGGGTGGATTCCTTCTAATCCTTCAAGTCTCAGCCCCATGCCATGTCTCTAGAGAGATGGTCTCTGATTTCATCAATCAAGTTAGCTTCACCCCCTCTCACCTGCAGTTATTCTGTCTCCCATCACCTGTTCTTCCTAAACTGAAATTACATTTTTATCTGTTTGTCCACTTGCTTTTATCACCTGTCTTCCTCAATTAGAATGTAAACGCTTTGAGAACAGGAGACCTGTCTGTCTTGGTCACCACTCTGCAGCCTGCCCATAAAATAGTACCTCGCAGAGTGGACTGCTGATGTATGTTTAACTGAATAATTGAGTGAACAGAATAAATGTGTAACCAGGAAGTGTTTGTTTCTTTCTTTCATATCTGTGCATTTATGGGGATATGTACAAGCCCATAAATACAAACACACATCTTATTCTTTCACACCAGTCATACATATCTCCTAATCCAACCACCTCAACAATCCTATGAGCAAGTATTATTGCTGTTGTTATTTTACAGTTAAGAAAATTGAGCAAGTAACTTATCTGTTAAGTTACTAAACCACCAGGTCATATAGTTAATTAAGGCTTGCATGTGCACACACACACACACACACACACACACACACACACCATCTGTGTCTGCCTGCTTTGCACATATTAAACTGATAGATTAAGTGAACCAACATAACTTAGTTTAGTTTTATTTTTAAATTGAAGTAGTCTGGGTGCAGTGGCTCACGTCTGTAATCCCAGCACTTTGGGAGGCTGAGGTGGGCGGATTGCTTGAGGTCAGGAGTTTTGAGACTAGCTTGACCAACATAGCGAAAACCTGTCTCTACTAAAACTACAAAAATTAACTGGGACGGGTGGTGCACACGTGTAACACCTGTAGTCCCAGCTACTTGGGAGGCTGAGGCAGGAGAATCGCTTGAAGCCGGGAGGCAGAGATGCAGTGAGCCAAGATCGCAAAACTGCACTCCAGCCTGGGTGACAGAGCGAGACTCTGTCTCAAAAGAAAAAATGAAGTAAATTTATATATACTGGTGCATTTTAAAGCCACATCATCACCACTCAGATGTAGTCAGAGAATATCTTGGCATCCCAGAAGGCTCCAGACTGCATGCCCCTTCTCCCAAAAGGTGATGGCTATTTTCGATCTCTACATCCACACAAGTTTTGCCTTCTGCTTGCATTTTCCGTGAATGGAACATATCCTTTTTGTTTGTTTGGCTTATTTTTTTTCTACATTATATATGGAGATTCACTCTGTAGTAGTTCAGTATTGTCATTGTTGTGTAGCATTCCATTATATGAATATACCACATTTTATCCATTCAACTGTTGATTTGATATGCATTATTTTTACTTTGGGGTTTCTATGCCAACTATTGCTATGAAGTCCTTTTTTTAATATAAGCCCTCGGTGAGCACATACAGTCAATACTATTGCATACATATGTAGAAGTGGAATTGCTGAGTCACAAGTAAAGCTTATGTTTGGCTGTAGTGGATATAGTTATGGTTTTCAAAGTTACAGTTTTGGCCAGCAGCATGTGAGATTCCTGCGTCTTCTTTGCATCCTAATAATGTAGGCATCTCAGGGGCTTTAGATATTAAGACTAGCTAGTGTATCATAGACTTTCCACTCTAAGAACACAAAGGCCCAGAGCAGCAGCTCTGGCTTAGAGTGTAGTGGTGATTTCCCGCTGGCTCCCTCCCATCACTGTGGCTTTTAGATAGCTAGGCAAGCCCAGAGGAGATGGAAAACAATTGCAGAAGGCTGCATCCACGTCAGGAGGGTGAAACCCCCATTATTATGAACAACATTAACCTTCCCTCTTCTGGGCAGAAATTGCTCCCTCTGTCAGGGGATGCCATGTTTAAAGAACCCTGTGGTCTCAAAACAACTTTGAATGTTCCAAAGAGCAAAAAAACCCATTCATCTGCTCTGCAGAACCACAACTATATTATTTGGGCTGCTGACTTGTCACCTAAATCTTCAACTTGATTTGCAAGAAGTGTACCATACCAAAGACCGGTCTCTTCCTTTTTCTGCTTTCCATATACAAGAAGAGATTATTTCAAGTCAGTTGGGAGCTTACCTCTTCACACTTCACTGTAATTTGTAATTAGCAACATGATAGGCCTGGCTTTTCCTTGTAATTTTCCAAGAAACTCCACTTTCACTCAAGGAGGGAGAACAGATACTCAGTGTAAGTTTATTTGGGTAGGTGAGATGCTCACTTTTCAGCAAAGAAATTCATGTTGGAGCTACATGTTTTACTCACTTGGAGCCTCATTCTAGTAAGAAGACTTGAAACCTCAATAAAGATGATAACCTCTGGTTACTCTGTGCTAGCCATCCGTGCTGTTTGCCAAATCTTTCCCTTCTTTTCTCTCCTGGGCATACGGTACCCCTGTGCTTCCTAGTGCCTTGTGTGGATGGAGCTGTGGCATTAATTCTGGCCTATGAGTTGGAGTAGAAATGGCATGGGCCACATCTGGACTGGAGCTTTCATTTTCTATCCCAGACCCTTCAGAACTCATTGTGGATGACAACAGCTGCTTTCATCATGGAGACTTCTCTGACCACGTGGGACGGAGCTTTAGTTGTTTTCCGTCCCTGAGGTTTTTGTATGATTTGTCATAGCAGCATAGCCTAGTCTATCAGGTTGATACACACTCTCTCTCATTCACCCTTGTGTAAATAAATCCTGGCCTGATTCATTTTGATCTCTAAGAAACTAGAGACTCCAAGATAGAGTTTCATTAAAACAAAAAGTTCTAATGTGGAATGAAAACTGTATCATTCTGAATATTGTATTTAGTTTGCCATTTATTATTTAATATTTAAACTATAAACAGTACATATTTGGTAAATAGGCAACCATGTCAATAACAAGAAGGAAGTGTGAGGAAGAGCTAATAGGAGATGAAAGGAACACTATTTTATCTGAAGATGTTCACAGTGAACTGCTGACACAGGGATTTCATGGCGGACTGAACAAGCAGAAGTGGGAAGCATTTAGGAAGGATAGGATCAGTTATTCAGAATAGCCCTAAATGATGATTTCCTCTCCACTCACTCACATGTAAACTTTCCATTAAGGGGGAAAGTGGGAGGGGAGGAGGGTAGGGTGGGGAAGAATGAGTTTCCCTAAATGATCCTTTATACTAAGATGTCTAGGGGAACACAGTTTTGAGCATAGAAGAAAAGAGATGAAACCACCCATGTAATAGGCTTGTTTTATTTTAAATCACCTTTGAGAGCTGAAGAGGTCAGGGATTAAGTGATTCCTCTTGGGGTAAACTCTATTTCTACTTTTCTCACTGTTGTAATCTTAGTGCTGAATGTAATACTTGGAATATAGGAGGAGCTTGATAAGGTTGTAAAATGAATGGCTGGGTGGGAAAAAAGTTGACATTGAAATACCCTCACTGCAAGCTGAAAGTCATGTTTTTTTTCTTTCTTGTTCCAAAACTTTGCAGAAAAATCTCCCATGACCGTTCCATACATTGATCTAGAAACAGTGAGCTCCTGAGTTTGTGGCATGCTCACCTCCATAGATAGCTATTATTATAGCATCTGTTTCCTAGGTATAGTGAAGTGCCAACTCCATGTACCAAGGGATGCTAGTGTGGGTGCCCACTGATTGATGAAACCGAAATCCAGCCTTCTACTTCGACACACACCCACAACATAAGAGGAAAGACCAGCTGAAGTCCAGGCTCGGGCTATCAGGATTATAGTCCCAGCTGTGTTGCTGTGTCTTTCCTTTCTAGAGTCCCTTTGTTTCCACCTCTGTAAAATGAGATTAGAATACTTTAAAAAGTGTGTACTAAGAATCACCAGGGCCTTTTTAAATAGGCAGATTACAAATTGGCACACCCAGAGTTTCTGATCCCCGAGCTCGGGGTGGGGTCAAGGAATCTATTTTTTAACAGACCTCCCAGGTCATATAGGGCCATGGCTGATTTCTGACAACACACTTTAATATCATCAAAATGGAGAATCTTTAAGTTGAAAGTCTGATGGCCAATATTTCCATCAAATTAACCGCATAAATATCTCATTCTCTCCCAGAAGGTATTTTTAGGTGTTGGATAAATGAGTCAATCCCTGTTAATATGAGATTACTTTTGAGTAATGGAACATTGTAGCCCATATAATTAATGCGTCCTCCTTCCTCTTGTCAACTCTGCATGAAGGCCCTAGGAGGGCCCTGCGTCAGCATTTCACACAGGCATCTTCAGATGAAGCAGGGTTCCTTTCATCTCCTTTTTTGGGCCTCTTTATATCTGCTTACCACCAACTTAAAAAGGCTGGTGTGGGGGTTTCATTAAGACAATTTCTTAAAATTGTTTAAAGATACATCCCTGAATTCCTTTGGTGGTTTTTTTTTTTTTTTTCCTCAAAAGCAATGTTTCCTGGGCTCTTATTAAGCTCTGTACTCAAACACTCAGGCGCTTCCAAAAGAAAGAAATCGTATGTACGACTAAGTGAGCCCTCCATTTTGCCCAGGAATAACAGGGTAGATTTGGCACATGCTAAATCCTTGCCAAAAATTGAATAAATCCTAAAGGCTGACATAAGGCTTCATTTTCAGGAAAGACAGGAAAGCTTTGTAATAGAAGACATGATTTTCTTCTCTAGACCAACAATGCATGGGCTTTAGAGGATTCAAAGTCCCTAAATCCTTTCCTCCTAACTTTTCCCCGAGAGCCAATATCAGAGTTGCCTCACTTCCCAGGTTATCTCAAGTGATTTGTCATCCCAGGTATCTTGCTCAGGGAAATCTGGGGTTAACCATGTGGAGGCTGTAGATTTCAATCCTAGAATTCTAATTCCCTGCCTGAGGCTCAGGATGGGAACTGCAGGCATGATGCCCACCTCAAGGCCCGCCCGGAACAGAAGCGCTGAGCATGCAAGATATGCAGCGTGAGGTCATGCCCCAGTGACATCCGAAATGGACCCTTTTGGAAAATGTCATGAAATTCATGACCAACTGTTATCAGCCACAAGGAGAGAAGAGGCTGAAAACCAAGAGTTTGCATCCTATTTGGATATGGTTATGTTCTAGGTGACTCATTGACAGCTATCCTCATCGTCTTCTTTTCTAACTCAGTTTTACTTTCCTCAATTCAAATATTGGTATTTTGCAGCTGCTTCTACTGTAACAATGACTATAGTTCAATTATGTCCCTGCATATGTCAGGTATAGTACGGTCTAATTTAATCTTATTACACATCACCATATTGCAATTATACATGCTATCCAAGTGTTAACACATATTTAAACCTGCTATTCCTTTGTCACTGATTTACAAAGAGGTACCTGAAAAGAAGCAGATGTCATAATTACACGCTTATTCAGCTCATTTTAAACAAAGTCTCAAAGTAAATTACAGATGAGCCAGGCATGTCTTGAAATTAATGTAGTGATAGGACACTAATGCCACGATTCATTACGGTTTGTCAATGTGCCGTACTTCTGGAATGTGCGATAAAATTATATTAATACTCTGTGCTAATGAGATTAATGAATATGAACATGCAGGAGAAGAATAGGGTTCTTTGTTCAACTATTGAAAAAATAACATATAGGTAATTAAAAAGAATTAATCAAACCATGTACAGCCTCATTTATATTAAATTAATTTGTCTGGTTTCATTTCTAATAATTAATCACTTTTTGCAAATTACAAAGCACTTCAGGCGGACGGAAGCACTACTGTAGGAGTAGTGATTCAGAATATTTAGAATGATCAAGGTGGTCCCTGTGGGTTCATATTAATTAAGGTTTAACAGTTTGGAAAATTGTAGCAATATTTTATGATTCATGTAATTAAACTCTGTAACAAAATGTCACAACTGCTAGTTACTTCTGCGCCTGTGATTTATATCTTCCCCCTTTCGGAAAGGAAGCGGCAGAAATGAAGTCTTAAATGTGCCGACACTGTGGATGGGAAAACAAGCTGGTGGGTTCAATGCAAACTGAAGCACTTCACCGAGGGTGCGGTGCAACCTTCTACTCTCCAAATTCACCATGTGCTTATGCAAATTAGAGGGAGTCATATGATCTGACATTTGATGGAAGTCTGGGTGGGTGGGGTGTGGGGGGTCTTTTCTGGCACATTTGCTTATTAGATAAAAACAAAGAGGCAAGAGCCATGAGCTTCTTTCCAAATGTAAGGGGTTGTATTTGAAATTCAAATTCTCATTGAGGGAGGCTCCTGAGTTTCCAGAGCCCACAACCCCAGAAAGAAAGGTACCTGTTAGTTCAGGCATAAAACTGACTGGATTATGCGATCAGGGTACTTCCTAGAAATCATTTCCCCTAGTCCCTGGTATCCTAGAAGAAAGACTGAAATGGCTCTCCTGGGAAGCACCTCCTGAGGAATATGGTGTAGGAAAGCCACCCGCGTGCTTTCTGGCTGGGATGGCTCTCTTCCTTGGCTGCTGGAGGCACTGGAGAGAGGTCTGATAAGGATGGCTGTATGGATCAGTGGGTCTTATTCCTCATTCTGCAGCAGAAGCAACTGGGATGTTTTTTCTCCTAATATTGTGCTGGCTTCTCTGCCTTTCTCTTTCCGGTCTGTACCCAAGGCTGCTAAACCCTGGTGGCTGGCTCTCCCTGCTCTCTTTCCAGATGGATTATGGCTGGATTCTGCCATGGGGAGCTTGTACAGTCAGACATGGAAAGCCAGGAATGGGAAAGAGGTCAGGTGGTTCTCTCCCACACCTCACTGCCTTGGTGCTATGTCTCACCTCGAGGCTGAGTCCCTTGAGATGAGGCAGCCCACCTCCAGGGCTCCAGCCTTCTCTGACTCCAGTGACACTATTCCCACTCCTGCCTCCTTCTGTGCGCTGGTGCTTCTCATCGTTTCTAGCTCCTGGGTGCCTCATCATCTCTTGTTTGGTCCCTTAAGCATACTCTCCTCTGTAAACAAGCACTTTATAAAACTTTCTTTATTTGAAATATCTGATAGTGAATTCATGCCTGGGATCCACCCTCAAAGATTCTGACTCAGTTGGCCTGGGGTGGGGCCCTAACAACTGTATCTTTTTTTTTTGTTTGTTTTTTTTAAATAAGTCCTGGTGATTCATTTTGTGTGGTGGTGTGGTGGAAAATCCATACATCAGATTCTGGGAAGAGCTGGGTCTCCAAAAATAAGTTAATGCTAACATGGTACTTATTATGGGCCAGTTTCTAAGATCTTTTAAATACACTGATGTATTCCATCCTCAAAACAACTCTAATAAATAAATAGGTGCTATTATTATTCTCATTTACAGAGAGAAGTAGTTGAGGCAGAGAAAGGACAAGTAACTTGCCAAGGTCACAGAGCTGATAAGTAGAGAAGCTAAGTTTCAATGCATAGTCTGAGCTCTCAACCACCACTCTGCTAAAATCACATGAGTCTTGGCAATTTATTTTAAGGAATGATTTGGAAATGGAGAGAACCTTTTTGTTTATTCACACTTACATTCAATTATGTATTTATTCATTCATTCCAAAACATTTGAATGAATGACTATTATGTTCCAGGCATCAAGGAAGGTATCCCTCTAACCATAAGGGCTAGTAAAGTAAACAAATAAACAAATCTGTAAGTGGAAAAAAACCAAAATTTCACATGATGAATTGAATACATTGTGTTGAGGGACCCCTGGAGAATAAAAAACATGTTCCAACCAGAAACATGAAGAAGGATTTGCGGTGAAGGAGACATTAGAGATGGGCTACAAAAGAAATAGTATCATCATTAGACAGTGTGGCATGTGGCTAGATACACCCATAATACACTCTCACCTGAGGATAAGATGGTTAATACAGCAGAGGCTGGAGGGAAGGAGTGATGTGATGGTATTAAGAGTAATTTATTCCAATTGCTTGAATTTTGGATTTTGTCCCTTAAATGCAGAAGAACCAAAATTGTTTTTAAGTAAGAGAATGATATGAGTGTACTGGGGCTTACAGACATTGCTTCACTAATGTTGCAGGAAATAAACAGGAAGAAGGCACATTGACACGCGGTGCCATCCTTTAAGAGACTTGAAATTCAGGTGAGAGATGATGAGCTTAGAATAAAAGCCTCCACAGCATGGAGGAAGAAGGTGGCTGTTCCTGAGGAATTTTAAATTCATTGATTTTTCTGCACTCCGATCCAGTGCACGGGGTCTGACTATTAGACATAATGTGTGTGGTCTGGTAATGATGCCATGTGGAGCTGCCCGGTTCTACCAGGCCATTCGGGAAGTTCTGGTCCCTCTCAGTCCACACTCAAATTGGATTAACTTGGAAATGAGAAAGGCCATGCTTTTTTATGCCTGTGAGCAGATGCTAGGAATTTGGGGGCTCCCATGGGAAAGAAACATAGATCCCCAATCAGCAGCCATGGTGTTACATGTCTGTAAATAGCACTAATTGGGAACGTTTTATTTTGTTTTGTTTGCTTTATAGAATGTACCACCCCATTGTTTCACTCAAGTATGAAATCCATCCATGGCTCCTTTGTAGGCAACAACTTTGTTCTGACTGTAATACTAATGGGATGGGGCGCAAAGCCTGCTCATAGACAAATGATGATAAAGTGAAATCTTTAAGAAATCATCAAAAAAATGAGTCAGGGCCATCTGAGCTGTCTCTCCAAAGTGACAAGGCTAAAGAAGCTGCCAAGACACCAGCCCGAGGCACTGAAGCACATTTATGATTTAATTCCCATTTTGACATCAATCAACACATTAATAACTTCAGCCAAAGAAAGTAACATCCTGGGTGTGCTTTTACAGTGACATGCCTGCATCTAGGAAGCACATTTCTGATTGCCAATTAAACCCCAAACAAGCTCAACCTCTCCCACTCATCTCACCCCATAACCTTGCATCATATTTCAAATAGCACTGTGGGGCCCACTGTCATAACCTTAGTTTGGTATTTCCCTTAAAAACTGACACCAATTTTACTAATCTGAATCTGGTCTTATGGAATTATAAAATCTGTTAGTTGGAAATGGGGGACTTAGGGATCATAGAGTCCACCCCCCTACCTGAGACAGGATTTCCTCCAGTTCCTCCTGACAACTTGTTGTCTGCTTCAGATCAATAACTCTGGTACTGAGAAGTCCCTACATCCCAAAAAAGCTATGTGGTTTTCCAGGGAACCTGTGGATTTTAAGTCAGAATCCTAGCTCTACCCCAGATAAACCTGTCCCTCTGTTCATGTGTGTGCAAGTGAATATTCAATAATCCTCATCTGAAAGCAATTTTGCTCCCTAGGGTAAACTTGACAAAGACTGGGGCTATTTTTAGTTGTCACAATGGTGGTCAGGTGGCATTGCTATTGGCATCTAGTGGGAAGAGGCCAGGGATGCTGCTGCTAAACATCCTACAATGCAGAAGGCAGCCCCCCACAACAAAGGGATTATCTGGCCCAATATGTCAATAGTAATGAGATTGAGAAACCCTATTCTATACATGCAGAGAAAAATATACAAACACACCCACATACTTAGTGCAGTGTCAGGCACATTTCCTTTTATTCTATTTGTGAGAAAACGTATGATTCTTTTGAACCCAAATCTGTTTTCATTCAATCTTAGATCTACCCCATGGAAAAATATAGATTTACAAATATATGAAGACATCTTCCAAAGTTACAATCTCCAAACCAAGCTTCCCCCCATTCCTTTCCACATTCCCTTGTAGGTGAAGGTTTCCAATATACTCATCATGATTTTTATGTAAAATTACAAAATAACAATAGCTATTTAGAGAATATTAACTAAAATGGGGGGCCAGTAGGATGAGGAAATTTGTTGGGAAAACACTGGTTTATCTCAGAAAATCCAAGGGATCACCAAAACAACCCGGTCTTTGGGAGAAAGACAAGATTAAAAACTCTAATCTAGATGAGGATTAAGGTTTGTTTTTATGAATCATCCAAACCTCAAGGCCTAACACAGTGGCTGAAAAGTTGTAAGAACTCAATAATTATGTGTTGGAAGGAGAAGAGAAGGAAGGAGGGAAGGAAGGAAGGAAGGAAGGAAGGAAGGAAGGAAGGAAGGAAGGAAGGAAGGAAGGAAGGAAGGAGGGAGGGAGGCAGGCAGGGAGGGAGGGAGGGAGGCAGGGAGGGAGGGAGGGAAGGAAGGAAGGAAAGAAGGCAGGCAGGCAGGCAAGTTAATGGACAAGCTTTAAGAAGGAAATTCTCATTAAAAAATAATTAAGAGCAATAGCCAACCTCCAGGAATGTTCTTTGTCCCTTTTAGGAGCCTCTGCTCTATGGCAAACAAGAAAACTGTCAGCAAAAATAAGCACCCTGCACATGTGTGAAGCACTGACTCCTACCCTTTAAAGATCTCCTTGCTTTCTTTGATTTCTGTTTGTGATGCTAAATTTCTTGCTGCCTCTTTAAGCTTACAACATGTTTTGGGGCTTTGCAACATGCAACTCTGTTATTAGAGATTCTGTTGAATTATTCAGGGCTAAATCAAGATGCGAAGACACCTTTTTTGAGACAGAAAATTGGCAAACACTCTCTAAGATGCCTTACAGCCAAAAAAAAAAAAAAAACTACAAATTCTGCTGCAGCTGTTGTATTTATCATAAAATAGGTAATGATAAAAAAAATTGTTACCTGCATAAGAATGACATGTATTCCTCAAGAGGTTCTTTTGTCTCCAGTGTCAGTATCAGCTTTTGTTAGCCATAGTCCCACAAGAGATGTACCTAATCTGAGACCAAAAGGGTTAATTCTATCCCTTGTAGCTTCTGAAACACAAATAGGATAATGCACCATCAATATTAGAAATCAACATTAAGTGAAAAGATTCCCCCTTCCTTTGACTTTCATTATAGGGCCAAGAATATTGAAAACCACATTGACTCAAGGGATTGTGTCAAAATACACTTGATACACATCAAAAAGAATTGCATCAGCAAGGCTGAAAAAAAATCAATTGGCTTCCTTTCCAAAATGCTGACCCAAAAGCTCAAGCCTTCTGCAAAATGCAGTGAAGTTTCCTAGAAAGCTTCTGAATGCAGTCTAGGTGTGCCACTGTGCAGCAATTCTTTGAAAAATAAAAAAGAGCATCCTAGTGGTGTTCAGTATCCAAGGTGCATCTCATTCATCAATAAACTATGAAAGCAGGAAGAAGAAGATGATCAAGCAGATAGAAGAAAGCCACGAAACTAAGAGTTATTGACTCCCCAAGGCATGGTGCCTGGATGACAAGAGTCCAGGAATCTTGGAAATTTAAGCCAAGGCTCTGATTTCTAAATGCTGATGTAATTCAGTGTCTGAGAAGGAATCAAAGTGAGTATGTTTCCAGAATGTCATCAGTGTACCTTCACTTCAGTCAAAAGTAGGTAGATTATCACTTTCCTTCTTTCCTGAAAAATTATCCTTTGGACTAAAAGCTCCTTCAAGGAAGTTTCTACCTAGTTTTCCATTTCACCAGCTCCTATATCAAGTCACTCCTGCTATGGTAGGAATGATTTTGTTGCCCAAAAACTCATGTATTGAAATCCTAACCCCCAAGTTGATCATATTAGGAGGTGGGACCTTTAAGGGGTGATTAGTTTATGAGAGCTTCACCCTCATGGAGAGATTAGTGCTCTTGTATTTTAAAAAAAAAGACTTCAGAGAATTTCCTTGTCCCTTGTGCCATGTGAAGACACCTCAAGAGGAAGGCTGGCTGTGAATGAGGAAGCAGACCCTCACCAGACACCAAATAAGCAGGTGCCTAGATCTTGGACTTCCCAGTCTCTAGAACTGTGAGAAGTAAATTCCTGTTGTTATGAGCCACCTAGCCCATGGTATTCCATTATAGCAGCCTGAATAGACTAAGACCCCCCCTGCCCCCTTGATAGACACATTTGAATTGTGTGCTTGAGTTCTGAGAATTAAGTATCATGTGAACAGTTTATCAACCAGCTAATGTCCACTAGCAATCAGGCTGTTTGTAGATTTCCCCTATTTCTAACCCTTAACGGAGGCCTCAATTAAAGGCTTCACTGATGATTGAGGTCTTTATTTGAGCTGTTACCTGGTGTTTCTTAAGCTGGTGAAAGATACTCTGCTGTTGTGGTCATGATTACCTTTATCCTCTAAAGTACAAACACACAAATACACCCCCACGTATCACTTTTCATTTATTAATGTATCCTAACATGTAGAATGCCTGATATCAAGGCAGTAGTTCTGTCAACAATTCAGAGTAACTGAATTCATGACTAAATGGTTCTGTGTTCCCTTGCCTGCATGCGGAAAGAAACAAAACCTCTTGCAATAAGAAGTTTCTACAAAGTCTCACAAATCATCACTAAAGAAATTACTCATGTAACCAAATACCACCTGTTCCCCAAAACCTTCAGAAATAAAATTAAAAAAAAAAAAAGAAACCTTAAAATTTCCAAAAAAAAAAAAAAAAAAGAACTAAGTCAAGACCTGCCGCCACACTTACCTCCCACCTAAATTTGCTGCATTGGTTTTCTAGACTCAGTAAACAACTCAGCCATTATAAATCATTTTTAAAACAATGTTGGGGCAACATTGCCAGCTAAGTGCCACGTGTTCCTCCTGTAATCTTGGAGAGCATTGCTAAATGTTCAGATATACAGACTTTGAGGTGATAACTTAGTAAATCTAATAGTAGTTGCACTTATTTTCTCTTTTAGACTATACCAGTATTTAATGAGCACAAAGTTTTAGTCTACAGCCCTGTTACTCTGTTCCTAATTATAATTGAGCTCATTACTGCATTTCTATTACATGCTGGGTTGCATGTAACAGAAAAGCCTATTATATCAGCTTAAACCATAAGCAGTTTATTTCCTTATGCAACAAAAAGTTCAGAGGAAGGCAGTCCAGAGCTGATATGAAGAATTGACAATATTTTCAGAGACCCAGGCTCCTTCTACCTTCTTGCTTCCATTTTTAGCACGTGGCTTTTATCCTCATGTTTACATTCTAGCTGCTGTGCTTCCAGGAATTGTAGCAGCATTCCAGGTGAAAAGAAAATAAAAGGACCAAGAAGCAAAGAGGCAAAAGGGGCCTCTTTTTTCACTTGGGAATGATTTCTGGTCTTCAAGAATTTCTGCCTATGTCTCCTTGGCCAGAATCTGTCACATGGCCACCTGTCACTGAAAGAAAAGCAGAATTGACTTTTTTTTTTTTAATCTGAGACTTTGTCACCCAGAATGAAATTGGGATTCTTGTAGGAAAGAAACAGAGATGGATGCTGCATAACTAGCATCGTTTGCTACAATATTTCATGTGTGTGATTTGTTTACTGATTAATATTCCCTACAATTAGCTTCATGAGGAATAGGACCATGCCCGTCTTATCATTGTGTTCTCTGTGTCTTAATTTAAAAGGAAGAAGAAAGGAAAAAAAGAAGAAAGGAAGGAGGAGAGAGAAGGAAGAAGGGCGGAACGCATAGAGAAAAGGGGAAAGGAATGAAGAAAGGAAGAGGAGAACTAAAGAAAGAGCAAAATTAACTCAGAAGACGGAATTAATGGTTAAATCAGTGGTGGTCATACTATCGACCAAACCCTGCCTAGCCACCTGATTTTGTATGTAAAGTCTTATTGCAACACAGTGGTGCCTATTCATTTGCATATGGCCCATGGCTGCTTTTGCATGGAGTGGTTATCACAAAGACTGTACGACCCACAAAGCTTAAATAAAATATTTACTATCTGGCCTTTACAGAAAATGTTTGCAGATGCTTGGACTCAATGATTGATGGTTCCTTAGAAGATAGGTCTTACACAAATGTTATTTGAAAATGAATAAATAACATGGCAGCATGGATAAGGAAGCACCCTGTGACCTGATCGCCTTCCCTCGCTCACTTTTCCCGTCCCTCCTCCCTTTCTCTCCTTCACCCTGGACCTAGTGGGACCTCTGCACCCAGGCTAAGTGACTTAGAGGCAAGCAGAGGGGCTTGCAACACAGACACCAGACATTCTGGATTTTCTGATTTAAATTATCCATCCATTATGCCCTATGGAGTCTCCTACCTGTCCGGGCCTCTGGGGATTTTGCCATTTGGCACAGAAAATAAGATGGCTAAGTGTCTCAACACTTATGGTTCTCAGCCAATACTGAGTGACGAAACAAATGCTATGGAGAGAGGGCAGCAGGAGAATCTGCACAGTGAGCAGCCGGCTCGGCCTGTCTGCATTCGCTGCCTTGCTTAGCCACTCAGAGTGAATGGGAGGCTGCCTGGAGCTAGCACTGCTGCTGTGTCTTTTCCGGCCCCTCGAAGGGCAGCCTTCTCTAGGCAGGCTAGAGCTCTCAGCAACTTATAGGCCCCCAGGGAGGTTCTGTATGGCTTGGGGGTAGGAGTGTCGCTAAGGTCCAGGCTTCCTTCTTCCCACCAAACTGAGGGACACGGGGTGCATTGGGCACCGGGGCATTTTAATGACCTCTCCCCTCCTGCAGAGCTTTACAGGGCCGCGGCCCCGCCTTCATGAGAACACTCCCACACACTGGGTCCCAGCCTCGGCCCCTTGCCTTCCTTTGCGTGTCCTCCAAAAGAAGACCAGATATTTATTTCCCCTTCTCAATTCCTTTACATTCAGATCATTTTCAATTTGGAAACAGATGGCAACGAGAAATGTGGGCATGGCCCCCAAGCAAACCTAAAAGCCTGATTTGCCCGTCCCGTTCCGTGTGACCAGACCCCCAGCTTCCCTCCCTAGAGGGCAAAGGCCAGGCTGAACAAAATGCCAAACCAGCTTTTTACAAATAAACCTGTGACCAAACTGCAGCCATAAAACTTTGAAAACCACTCTGATTGAGACATTTGGACTAATTACCAGGGAGCAGCAGCTACGGGCCCTCTCCTAATGCTGTTTATTACATTCTCTCATTACAGAGACTCCCTGGGGTTGGTTTCTGAAATAAAGATTTAATTTGAGGGTAAATCAGAACAACAAAAAATGTAGCTCATTGTAAACAATAGTATCCCCAGCCCAGCTGACTCCATCAATATAAAAACAGAAGTCCTCCTCATCCTCTCCGTACTGTAAACATGTTAAATGCTATTTATTGTGACTACATGTGTGTGGCCCGGCATAAGTGACATGGGGAGCATTTTCGTGACTGAGAGACATAAACATCAAATACTGCCTCCATCATTCTTCCAGTTTTAAAGTTATAAAATCTAAATATTAATTTTAATAGAAAGGTTAGGAAATTGGAAACTGCAGTACCCACCGAAGTCATCAGAACACAATGCAGCTTGCAGAGGAAGCAGCAGCATTCCAGGGAGATTAAGGAGGCAGGTGGGGTCCAGACGTGGTCCATGAAATATGACATGTGTCATAAACAGAGGCTTAGGTCCCATGGCTCCCTACCAACCCCAAGCCTTGCCCAGCCAATGTTTTGTAACTCAAGTCATGATATACGTGGATATAGAGAGAAAGGGAGAGAAGAAACAGTCAAACTGCCACCCCTAAGAGAGTCCATTTGACCATCTGTTATCTGGAGTCTGGAAAAGGTGCAGTTTGTTTGTCATTAACCACTATCTCCAAATGCCATGGCTAACCAGGGTAGGACTGTTGGAGGAATATTCATGTTTGGGCTGCTCATGCGCAGAGAGTTCTAGTTCTAGATGAAACCAGAAAGCGGACAACACAGCCCTCCAAGGTCTGATTCCTATGGGCCTCTTCATTTGGGAATTAGGATGCCTTTCCTCACTGTGCTCTCACATCGAGCTGCAAAGGGCTGCGAATCTGGCAGAAGCCACTCATGTGAAAGTCATTGTCACTATGGAACAAATAGCCTGGCATAAGGTTGGAGGCAGATAACTCCTGTTCTAGCCCCCACCATATAGCTAACTCTAGACTTGACCTTCAGCAAGCTGCTCACACTTTGCTCAACTTCCTTATCTACCTTCCTGATGCACGGGTCCAAGAATGAATGACCACTCAGTACGCTCAGTGCACATTAGGGCAGTGGTTCTCAATTGGGAGTAATATTTCCCACTCCAGAATATTTGGCAATGTCTGGAGACACTTTGGATTGTCACATCTTTGGGCAGTCTGCTGGCATCTAGAGGGTAGACGTCAGGGATGTTGCTAAACATCCTACAATGCACAGAACAGCCTCCCACAACGAAGTTATTAGTCATTAAGTTATTCAACAATTAACGACCTGCCATATGCAAGCAACTGCCTTTGATATTTTTATTCTAAATAAGCACTTATTTCAGTTATTATGGTGTTCCCTAAACACAGACATAAGTTCTGAAGTTCAAGAACTTGCTCCCCTATGTGAAATACAAGAGAGAAGATTCAGTGTTGCACCATCTTCTACTCTTGAGCTAAAGTTACCTAATTTAAACCTGGTTGAGATAGTTTAGATAATTTAGAACAGTATAAACCTTTTAAGACTTAATAATGTTTGTATTCAAGGAAAACATAAAGTAAACTGGTTTGAACAGTAGCCCACAAAAACAGAAGCAGGAATCTGTTTCTAGATTTTTCAGATCTTTAAAAGTCTCCTAAGAAATGGCCTGGACCCAGAGCCTGCCCAGAGTGGGGACATTCCTCCTGTTTGTTGAGTTGAGTTGGACACCATCATGCTACTCTGGCAAGACCATGCACCTTGCCTGCTATGACATGGTTGTTCATTTTCTGTATAGAACAAAACCAATGTGAGATAAATGCAGGAGCATGGGACCCAGCATCGGGTTGGTACTTGATAAATATTTCTGAGTAAATAAGTGGATGGGAAACTGGATGAAGTACAAATGAATCAAGACAGTTGTTTTCTCTCTGGGCCTCATTTTCTTCACTTATAAAGTAGAAAGATGCTAACACCTGTTCTGTAGATCCTAATGATGCTTGTGAGGAATAAATTATGTAATTCTTGGAATGTCATGTTGAAGAATGGGAATAAAATAGTCCTCGTAATAAAATAGAC
The DNA here is from genome assembly GCF_000001405.40 of Homo sapiens. NCBI lineage: Eukaryota > Metazoa > Chordata > Mammalia > Primates > Hominidae > Homo > Homo sapiens. Next base: position 51,878,728 of record NC_000016.10, read on the forward strand.
TCCATTTTCACTACACCCCATTGCTGGTCATCCCCTAACCAAACCTTCCTTCAGGAAGGCAGAAAGCAACAGCTCTGTCTATCTAAGGAGGATTCCAATTCCCAGTCACCACAAGGGCTTCCTACAACTGAGGAAAGAGAAAAGGAGAACAGAGTTACTGAGCTCCAAATAGATAGAAGTTCAACTCTCACCAAGTGCCTAATCTACAGAATGAAAGAAAGGCTGAGCTATCCCATGCTGCTTGTAGCCAAATGATTATCTTCCCAGTAAATGTCAAAAAGAAAAGGCAGTTTACTGGCCCTGTACTCAATTCCTCACCAATGTAGAATGACTTCATGCAAATTTCACATGGGCTCAGATGACCGGGACCTCACTAGCTCTCACCCTATCCCCCAACACCATAATTGCCACCCCCAGAATGTCCATAAAGATTTCCACAATAAATAGCTGTGTAGAATAACTTTTCTTCTGTGTTCATATAAAAATAAAAAATGCTAGATTAAACAAAGTTAGACAGATTTTTTTTAACTTACAGGACTTTTCAGAGCCTTTAATGCCCTTTGGACATATCCATTGGCTATAGTGTGTAGATTTCAAAATTTACTTGAAGACAGAATCTTATGTTCTCAGTTTACCTAGAGAAAATTATGTTTCAAAGAGCATAGCTTTGGAAACTCTGGGCAAAACTGTTTCTATTCTGACAAAGGGCCCTCCTACGTTTCTTCTAAAAGAACCAAACTGCACACTCCAAGTGAGGTCTCTTGTACATGTTCTTCTTTTAATCCTAGACTCAGTTTCTTAGGCCAGATGCCTCAGTTTGTGGATGTCCACTTTGAAAAATCAACTCCTCCTGACAATCAGTTGGCTACAAGCAGCATGGGATGGCTCAGCCTTCCTTTCATGTGTAGATGAGGTGCTTGGTAAGACATGAACTTGTGTTTATTTGAAGCTCAGTAATTCTGTCCACCCCCTTTCTTTGCTCCACATTGTCAGAAGCCCCTGCAGTGACCGGGGATAGGGATCCTCCTTAGGTAAGCAGAGTTGTTGCTCCTGACTTATTGAAGGGTGCAGGTTGGTTTGATTTGGAATTGACGAGCAACTGGGTGGTAGTAATCAACTGCTCTTATAAGTCAAGCTAGGTGGACACCATTTATGGGCTGCACATTGTATACCTCTACCAATCCTTCCTGAGGGAACTACAGTTTATATATATGACAAACTGGCAGTTGACCCCACAAGACAGCATCTGTGAGAGCACTCAACTTAGTATCACCACCTGGGAATGACAGAGCATCTCTGAACAGAGAAGAGAATTGAAACTATCAGGGAAGACTTCTGGAAGGTTAGTGGAAATGAACCCAGACCTTTACTACCTTGGGGAAGCAGAAAGTGTCTGGACTCAAAGTTTCAAGCAGATAAAGAAAAAAACCTATTTAGCAGTGCCTCAGATCAGGTTCCCTAAAAAGAAAGCATAAACTACAGATTCGAATGCATTAATTGCAATGTAGAATATCCTCCTTTTAAAGCAAGGGGTCTTTTGAACTCTCCGTGAGTCAATCAGTGGTCATGGGCCCTCCCTTCAAGTGAAGGGGTAACCTATGGGCAAGAAGTTCAGCAGCTAAGGCCAGATGCACTGGCCAGGTAAAGGGAATTTAGGTGGGAACCCACCAGCATATGAAAAGCAAAAATGAAAATGTATAAATGAGCATAAGATTTTCATGGAATGATAAGAAAGCAGTCCGAATATACGACAATATGTGAATTGCAGTGTCGAATCAGGCCCAAACAGGGTGAAGGGAAGGATGCATGGACACATTTCAGAAGCCTTTTGAGAAAGGCAACACATGCCTGAAGGTAGAGCCCCCCCATCCTGATATAATATATCTAGAATGTGAACTACTCAGTGATTTGATTGTTTTTTTTTTCCTATATCCGATGTTATTGCTGCCATCCATCTACATTTTACAGAGAACACGAGCTGAACCCTTCTCGTGTGTGGAGGCTTCAGATAAAAAGATACATGTGCAATTCGCTTTTCCATTTCTTGCATTTTATGTTGGCCTTTGGTATGATTTTCCTCTAAAACTCTTCTTTTGGATAAACTAAATGATGGTTCTCAGGGTTATAGGGAATAAGACAGATATGGGATATGTTCATGTCTAATATTTGCAGGCTGCAAGAGGAAATGAGTCATTTGAATAACATAAGCAACGATAACTCAGCTGAATATGACTAAGATGTTAAAAATAAGGTGTGTTTACAAGGGAATAAACTTCCTGATTGCACTGCTGCTCTCCAGAGAGATGGGAACGGAGCAGGCAAAGGTCCTGGGCATACCATAAATTGCACTCTATTTTTCACTGGTCAAGTGTGGTCATAGTGAATTGCTCCTGATGGCCTCTCGTGTCTCTCCCAGGTCTACCGGTAAAAATTTGAAGAACACATCACTTCGGGGAATGCTTTTGAGACTTTACATGATAGCCCCATCACTGGGGCTCTTTGCCTTTGTTTTTCTACGGATTCCTAAAGTAATCTTTAGGAGCTATCCTTTCTTGAGGAAAAGATCTCATTTATATTCATTATCATTTAATTCTCCTTTCTCTGCCCTTCCCCAGTTTCTTTATTGAATCTCAGGACCCTATAATTCTGTACTCATCAGATCTTGAAAATTGATTAATGCAAATCTGTAAAAGTATTTTGAGCTCAAGTGTTAATGTCTTAAAATGGCTAAACATTTCTGCTATTCAGAAGATAATGATAACTAATCGAGTGCCTTTTTCTTTTGAACTTCATGACTATTATACATTATATGGGCCAAGACATTGGAAGAAATATTTTTGGTTAATAAAAAAAAAGCCTGTCCATCTAGAACTTAACTTCTTTCATATGGTCTATTGTTTCTTGCCATGCATTCTCATGCCCTGCTACATACACCCTTATAACACAGAGGTTGGTAAGATAAAAACAACTTTTCTGAGACCAACTTGCGACCATAGCCCTCAATGTGACTTGTGCTCTGTAAATTAGATTTGGGAGATTTGGAAGGTAGAAAGTAGGCAGAATTTTTTTTTTTTTTTTTTTTTTTTCCAGCAAGACTGGCTGACAAACAACCTACAATGGCTATGTGTGTCTGTAGTTGCCTGATTGCAGATTCCAGTGTCTGGGGACCACATTTGTGGGTATGAGACAGCTGCAGGAACTGGCGGTAGACGCAGTCTCCTATCGGGTGATGTTGAAGCCAAAATATTAATGGCATTTGCTGTATGCACATTATAGTTCAACAAAAGTTTAAACTAGAAAAAAAAAACATATCAATCCCTCAACTTCTGAACCATCCATTTTTTTCAATAATTTTGAAAGTATTTAATTCCTTTTGTTAAAGGCCTTTTTGATTATAATTCCTAGAGTATTTTCTGTTTCCTATGCAGATTCCTGACTGTATAATAATTTTCTCCTTTACCTCTAAGGTCATACATAAAAGACACATTTTAATTTGGTTCAGCAAGTTTTCTGACAATGAAATGGACTATAATGATGGCTAGTGAGATTGGTATCAAGAAGATAGTGCAGAAGAAATTGCACAAATTGTATGAAGGGGATGTTATTAAAATAATTTGAACACCAGGCATTAGCTTAGGTTCGGTAATTCTTAAAGTTCTGTTCAACTGGAAATTTTCTGATTTTACTAATTCCCCTTGAAAGTACCCTCTGTGAGATGTTGCAAAAGTCAGACAATCTGCCCCTGGAAAGAACTCCCAGTCCTCACCAGACATCAGAAAACAAAAAGCACATGCATTCACTTTCCACCATTTTTCTGCTGGTCCTGAATTTGAGAAAAACACCAAAAACATAAGAGTATTGTAAATAAGGAAGAGGTGTTCTACCTTCAAACAGCAGAGGCACAGAAGGCAAGAATTTCCCCCACCACCAAGAAGTAGGTCCGCCAAGAATTAGGCAGAATCTAGAAGCACCTCCCAGAGCATAAAGGCATGTAACAGGATTAAAGGACCAAGGATAGGAAGATTTCTCATCCCATTTTTGCTCTCTTTCATTGGTTCAGAATTCCAAGGACTGCACCAATCAGAAAACTGTTCTCTTTACTTACATTAGTATTTCTAGTTGCAACAGCTGGAGTTGTGGAACTCCTTCATCAGCTCTTATGAATGACTCTCCTTTGATCTCTATTCATAGGTTACAACTTCTGGAGAATACCTGGATATAAAAGGAGATGGAAGACTGGAATTAATATATTGAACCCAGGCAGTAGCCACAATGAAGAGAAGATAGGACAATCTGTGATAGTAACAGTTCACAAATCCCATATACTCAAAACATCACAGTGCTTTGAGTAGCATCATAGTGCATCATAGGTAGTGAAGGCAGAAAAAAGTCCCAGGTAGACAAAGCCATGACATAGCACCAGCTTTAAACCCAGAAGAGAATTCAACAAACACCCATATGGAAAGAAACCTAGAGAAAATTCAGACACTTTGCTCTCATACTCTGGATTCAGATAGATTTCTTCTGAGTTAAAAACAGCTGTATCTTTTTTTTTCTTTTTTCTTTTTTCTTTTTTTTTTTTTTTTTTTGCATTCACTATATGTCAGGCACAGAGGTAAGAGCTTTCTATGTATCATCTCATTTAATACTAAAAGCATTCCCATTATATGTATAAATATTCCTGTTTTACAATGATAAAACTTAAACTAGAAGGGTATAGTTAGCTAGCTCAAAGACACATAAAAAATAATTGGGAGAGCTAGGATTTAAACACAGACTGCCAAATATTAGAGACTTGACTTTGAATAACTCTGCTCTGTTGTGATTGAACCCATGGGAAAATTAAAAGTCTGTGAAATAGGCCGGGTGCAGTGGCTCATGCCTGTAATCCTGGTTGGGAGGCCAAGGCGGGCAGATTGCCTGAGCTCAGGAGTTTGAGACCAGCCTGGGCAACATGGTGAAACCCCGTCTCTACTAAAATACAAAAAATTTAGCCGGGCATGGTGATGGGCACCTGTAGTCCCAGCTACTCGGGAGGCTGAGGCAGGAGAACTGCTTGAACATGGGAGACAGATGTTACAGTGAGCCGAGATCGCTCCACTGCACTCCAGCCTGGATGACAGAGCAAGACTCCATCTCAAGAAAAAAAAAAAAAAAAAAAAAAAAGAGAGAGAGAGAGAGAAAATAAAGCCTTGCTATTCTGAGACCTGAAAAGGAAAACAGAATTGTAAAGATTATCCATATTGCAGAGTGTATCCGCATTTCATTCTTTTTTGTGGCTGAATTATACGACAAGATTACATTTTGTTTAACCATTCATCATTTGGTGGCCATTTGGGTTCTTTCCATCTAAAATGAAAGTAATTCTTGAGAAAGCGTTACCACTTATCACTGAAACAACTCTACTTTAATTCAACAATTTCCTTTGGTAGACACTCTCTCTAAGACAAGGTTAACCATGTATGTAAATAAAGTATCTTAAAAGTATTCAAAAATAAGTGTGATTGTTTTAGAATGATAGGTGACATAACTTTTCTATTTTGATGTATTTTCAAAGTTTAGAAAAGAAGATGCTCTACATTAAAGTTTATGTTGAAAGTAAAAGACATATTTTCATATATACTGTCAGTTGTGCTATAATACTTGTTTTGAGAACACAAATTTTTTTTCTAGTGTGATTTATCTAATAGGTAATAATTTGAACATAATGCAGATTTTGTGTTTGTTAATGCATAATGCCTTCTGCAAGAAACACTAGTTGAACACAGAAAACTGTACCCAACTTATCTGAGCCACAGACAAATACCCAAAACACACACACACACATACCTCAAACATCTACCAGCTCCCTCAGCTCAGCTGTGTTATGAGCTACACCTATCACATCTGGTGTTTGAAGTTTCCATCAGGTAGCCCTCCTTCTATTACTTCCTAGAAACTTGCAAGCTACAATTCTTCCATATCCATTTCTATAAGTAAAATATAGTTCTTTTTCAAGGTAAAATGTCATGCTCATTGTAGTATGTATGTATTTCTTAACCCCTTAACACATGTAAAACTGTTCTGCTGTTTTTACTAGACTCCTATGGTGTTTATTATTTTTCAAATATGCCGCTGATATTTTAGAGTGTTGTAACTGTGCCCCTCTTTTCCCCATCAGACCTGCTGTTTTTGCTGTGTGATTTTGTAGAGTGCAGTGATCTTTAGGGGTTATCTGTTGAATCATAGCAGGCCTGACTGTACATAAATAATGCAATAGAGGACATAGGAAACCAGTATCCTGGGGAGGCAATTAGAGCTTAGCAATATGAGAGAAATGAGGTTTTCACTGTATTTTCTTTTGTAACGTGTTTTTTAAAAAAATGGATTTCAGAAAAAAAAAAAAAAAAAACACTAACCAAGCACTGTGACAAAAGAACCCAGATTTAACACTTTCTTTTTTATGGAAACCTAACTCTGATGAACACCTGAAATACAACAAGGTAGGGAATCGGAAGAGGTAGACCAGTTTAAATTGAAATGATCATTCATCCGGTTCTCAGTTAAGGGTCTGTCTTTCCAGTTAGATATGAAATAAAGAACTTAATCGAATTCTCAGCACATACAAAATGCTTAATCAAAGTTGGATGCATGAATGAAAAATGAAATATGTGGACAGATGGGCGGATGGATGATATTTAGGGAAGGAGGGCCTTTATAAAGATTTCTAGTGGTCTGGGTCCAAATCTCACATGAACACCAGCACTTCAGACCCAAACGAGTTAGAGGTATGAGTGAAAACTAGCCAGGAGTCACTGGTAAAACCTCACAGTTTTTCTTTCATTATGTACCGAGGCGTTCTAATTATTGTTGCTATCTCTTGTGCTGTAAAATATTTTATCGGTTGCGCCACTTTGCAGCATTTTGTCTCAAGCTCTTAACTGTCATAAATGCACCCAACTGTCTGCCAATGTGGAATAATAAATAATTATTATGTGAGTGACTGATTTACTTTGAAAAAACATGAAAGGCCTCTAAACCTGGAGTTTCCTGCCCCCCATAATGTGCATGAAAGAAATGAGCATCAGTAATCACTGTCAACAGTCTCTTGTAACTAAGAATTGAACCATTTATCTGTCCAGCATGTGTAAATTATCATCATTGTCTATTCCACAGGAAAGCCTAACGGCAATTTATGTTATAAAATTAATAAGATATGAGGGTTTAATAGAAATCACTTCTTGTTGCTCTTCTTGGGAACACCAGCCTCTGGCGTCAGCAGGAATCATCTGCCCTACAAATTCAGGCATACCATCCAGCTGTTGACTCTCTTATTTATATATTTTCCTCTTACCTCCTCTAAGTGAACTAAGAGCAAAGAGCTTGCTTATTATTTTCATGAGATGACCTTTCCCTACATGTTTCAAGGATACTTTCCATTGTGACCAACACAGATAATGCCAGGGAGCAAATGAGTTCTGAGCACTGAATAATTGTGAATGCTCTGACATCCTCTGAAAATATTATCAGAGCTCCAAGTTGCTACGTATCCATCATGTCTTCTCTGGGAGTTTTTTTTTTTTTTCTCCTTAAACTAAACTGATCTTAACTTTAACTGAAATGCTCAAGAGCCTTTGGAGTCTGCCAATTTTCTCAGTTACCTTGACCTTGAAGATATGTAGTCTCCTTTGGATACCCTCAAAGAAAGGGCTTTGGGAAGGCAATGCATATGTGTTTACAATAGCTGAAGGATGAGATGTGAATTATTCTTTTTGTCCTTTGGGGTGAGCCTTCATGATTTCACATCCTGAGAACACAGTGTCCTTCTATGCAGAAGAGAAAAATGACTATTTATTGCCTAATGGAAAAGACTTTTTACTTTCTGTCTTACTTAGGTTCCTGTAATAAGTTCAGCCATGTCAGCTGGGGTCCATGGGGGTAGATGTGAACTTAAGCTGTAGGATATAATTTAGGGGACTGAGGAAGTTGGCGTGCCTACTGGAAGAATGAAAAGCCACACTCTTGACCTGAGATGTTACGTGTTCAAACCAAAAACATCCTGTAGGTTCAGGAAATTCAAAGATGTCTGAGATACAGTTCTTACCCTTGAGAAACTCAGGCTAATAAATGACATGAATATGTATACAGGTAATTGTTTTTCTGATACAGCACTTCTTTTGAGAGTTTCTTTTTGTCACTATATTTAAAAATGCTCATATATGCAAAGAGTGGTTGCAAAGATAATCTTTGTATCATTGTTTATTGGACATAGAGTAGAAACAACCAATAGTCCCTTATCATGGACTGGCAAATGCGTTAATATTATGGCATATCATGTACTTAGAAGACTATAATTCACTTAAAAAAATGAGGTTACCTGTATATACCAGGTACAGACTTCCATCCCCAGTCAAAGGCTGTCTTCTTAATGAGGCCTTCCCTCACCAGTAGATTTAAAATTGCAACTCCATCTCCCAACATTTTCTATCTTCTGATGCTACATTATTTTCCTGCATAGCACTAAATGCCAGCTGTCATAATACATATTATATTATCTAACATGATACATAATATATACATAATTTTGTTTTATATTATTTTAATTTGTCAATGAAAACTTGCCAATCAAAATAGTCAATTTGTCAATCAAAACAACACAGAAAATAAATCAGTGAGGGTTGCAATTGTGTCTGTTCAAAGCTGCATCGCTAGAGGTTGAACTGTGCTGGTGTGTAGTAGGCATTTGATAAATATTTTGATATGAATAAGTAAATATATTGATGTGGAATACTCTTCACTACATATTTTCAAAATACAATCTTTTAAGATATATTTCAAGTAACAAAAAAGCAAGGTGAAGAAGTGTGTGTAGTGTCTTCATTTGTGTGCAAAGTGTTACACATGCTTCAGAGAGGGCCTTCAGGAGACACAAGAAACTGAGACAAGTTGTCTCCTCTAGGGGAAAGTACCAGGGACACAGGGTTAAGAGTGAGGGCAGATACTTATGTTTTACTGCCTACACTTTCAGAAGCTCTGATGTTTTTGTTTACTATGTCCACATTTTACCTATTAAAATTGGTTTTAGAGTCATGATTAAAGCTATCAGATGATAGCAGTATAATTAACTTCAAAAGAAGGAAGAACAGGGCAGTAAGGACCCACGAAGAGCTTGATTAATTTTTCCTTACAGAGTCAAAAGCATTGCCCAGAGTTCTGGGGCACTGGTAAATATTTTCAGGTATTAAAAAAATGTATTAATAGAATGGACACCTTAGTCAGAAGGAGTTACTTGGGGAGACAGAGGCACAAAAGAGAAATACATGTTTGAGGAAGGTTTTCATTGTAGACTCAAGAGAGCATTCCAAGAGAAACGCTAATGGGACAAATGCATCATCCTTTATTCTCTCCAAAGAATAGTTGCCCTGGAATCAAATATTGTGTCACTAAATAAAGAGTTGGGTTGAAAATGAATCAAGTAGGGGAAAAAAAGATCATCATACTAAGATGTGGGAGTCATGTGGATGATTGGGTACAGAAGAAACAGCCTGGGGCTTTCATTGCATCACCTTTGTCCAAGTTGCAAGTACTAAGAAGAATTATATGCTTGGTTGTTTCCTTGCAGTCACTCTGTGCCCCTCCAGAGGTCTGGCATGGTTGTATATTGGGCAAGGTTTAGGGAATGATACCTGGAATATTCATTTAGAGTAGAGTTTCTAACCTAGATGCCTGCAGGGGCCAAGGTGGTGACAACTGTGATGGAAAATAGCTGAAAATACTGATCACTTCCCCCAAAGTACATGCTTTCTCTACTTTCCTCAAAGTACATGTTTTCTTCCATTTTCCCTGAAACAGACAGAACTCTTTGTCTGTCTTTCACTTTTCACTTTTTTGGAGACATTATCATAGATAAATATTTCTTTCCTTTGAAAAAGCCATGAGTACCTATGCCACAGATAAACATTCTTGACTGTCTTCTACTACGGTTTACTGATGGCACCTACCCACTCTGTGAGACAGTAGCCTCTATTCAACTGTAGTTTGTAAACAGGCAGGATTTCTGAGTCACTGATGTCAGATCTTCTGACTTATGAGGAGAAACTGAAAATTCAAAGTGTTTATTTAAAAGCTGTTACATTAAAAAATATTGGTGACCAAATGAGGTTTATCACAGAATTGAAAATCTGGCTTAATCCTCAATAATCAATCATGTAATTTATCACAGTATATGATCATATCAATACATGCAGAAAAAGAGAATTTTACAAAGTTCAGCATTCATTCATAACAAAACCTTTCAGAAAACTAGGAATAGAAGGAAATGTAATAAAGGGTATCTGCAAAAAACAGTACACCCAGCACATCATACTGAATGTTTTCTCCATAAGATCAGGAAATAGTCAAGGATGTCAACTCTTGCCACTCCTATTCAATTTTGTACTAGATGTCCTAGCAAATTCAATAAGTCTAGAAAAAGAAATAGAAGGCATTTGGAATAGAAAGAAAAATACAACTATCCCTATTCATAAATAATATAATTCTCTACATAGAAAACCACAAGGAGACTACAACAAAGATCCTAGAACAAATAAGTGAGTTCAATAAGGTTGTAGAATAAAGGATCAATACATAGAAATCAATTTTATTTTTATGTATGAACAATGAACAAACAATTCTAAATAAAATAATTAAAACAGTACCATTTACAATAGCTCTCAAAAGGAAATTGTACATATGAATACAACAAAATATGTCTAGGATCCGTGTGCTAAAAATTGCATAATGCTGATAAATGAGATCAAAGAAGACCTATAAGAAACAGAAAGACACTGTGTCCATGGAGCGAAAGAGTCAATATAGTTAAGATATTGTAAAGATGTCAATTTTTCCCCAAGTTGATTCATAGATTTAATGCAACCCCAATCAAAATCCCAGCAAGATTTCTTGTACATACACACTAACTGATTCTAAAACTTGTATGGAAAGATTAAGAAATTCAAATGGCCAAAACAATTTTGAAAAATTGAACAAAGTTGGAAACTCACACTAGTAAATTATAAGATGTACTGTAAAGCTACAGTAGTCAAGACAGTGTGCCATTGATGAAAAGGTAGACAGATACGCCAATGGGATGGAATAGAAAACCCAGAAGTGGAAGCACACAAACATCATCAAGTGATTTTTGAATTTTTGATAATAATTTAATGGAGAAAGGGCAGTCTTTTCAACAAGTAGTGCCAAGAAAAGCCTTTCAACATCCATACACACACCAAAAAAAAAAGAAAAAAAGAAGCTTGATTCACACCCGACACTAGATAAAAACATTAACTCAAAATGGATCACAGACTCAAATATAAAACAAATTACTATAGAACACTTAGAAGGAAACAGAACTAAATCTTCATGACATTGGGTTAGGGAAAGATTTCTTAGATATGACATCAAAAGCACAAAAAAATGTTACAAGGAAAAATAATGAACTTTATGAGAATTAAGCACTTTTGTGCTGTGACAAAAACAAGAGAATAAAGGGATAAACCACACACTGGGAGAAATTATTTGTAAAGCAAATATGTGACAAATGACATGTACCAAGAATATACAAAGAATCTCCCACACAACAATAAGAAAATAACAACCCAATTTTAAAAACAGGCAAAATATTTGAGCAAATCGTTCACTAGAAAAGATATATGGGCTGGGCGTGGTGGCTCACGCCTGTAATCCCAGCACTTTGGGAGGCCGAGGCAGGCGGATCATGAGGTCAGGAGATCGAGACCATCCTGGCTAACACAGTGAAACCCTGTCTCTACTAAAAATATAAAAAATTAGCCAGGCGTGGTGGCGGGCACCTGTAGTCCCAGCTACCGGGAGGCTGAGGCAGGAGAATGGCATGAACCCGGGAGGCGGAGCTTGCAGTGAGTGGAGATCACACCACTGCACTCCAGCCTGGGCGACAGAGCAAGACCCTTGTTTCAAAAAAAAAAAAGAAAAGAAATATGACGCCAGATAAACACATGAAAATATGCTCAATATCATTTGTCATAGGGAAATTCAAACTGAAATCACAATGAAATGCTACTGCACACCTATTAGAATGATTGAAATAAAAAATCCTGACAATATCGAGTGTCAGTAAGGATGCAGAGACAGGAATTCTTGTGCATTGCTGGTGAGAGTACAAAATGGCATAATCTCTTTGAAAAAAATACACTTGTAATTTCTGAAAATGTTAAACGTTAAACATACACTTACTATATGATCCAGCTATCCTACTTCTAGATATTTATGTTGGACAAATGAAAACTTAAATGTTCATACAAAACCTGTACTCAAATTTTATAACAGCATTATTCATAATTATTGTTTTAGTCCATTTTGTGCTTCCATAATAGAATATCTGAGACTGGGTAATTTATAAATGACATCAATTTATTTTCTCAGTTCTGAAGTCTGGGAAGTCCATGATCAAGGCTCTGGCAGATTCAGTGCCCGGTAAAGCTTTGTTTTTAGCTTCCAAGATGGTGCCCTGTTGCTCTGTTATCGCATGACAGAAGGTGGAAGGGCAAAAAAGATGCTGCCTGAAGTCTCCTTTAGAAGACCATAAATCCCTTTCATACAAGTAGGAGTCCTCATGTCCAAATTGCCTTTTAAAGTTCTCCCTTCTTATACTATTACATTGGCACCACCTGAATTTTGGAAAGGACACATGAAACAATAGCAGTTATCACAAACCAGGAACAGCTCAAATACCCTTCAGTGGGTGAGTGAATAAACAAACTATGGTACTTCCATGGTGCATCCATGCAATGGAATATTGTTGAGCAACAAAGAGGAGCAAATTGCTGGTAACACACAACATGATGAATCTCAGATGCATTATGCTAAGTAAAAGAACTGAATCTCAAAATGTAATTAATAATATCATTTTATTTGTATGGTATCTTGAAAAAGGCAAAACTATAGAAAGAGAGCACATCAGTGATTGTCAAAGGTTTGAAGTTGTGGTGGAGGGGGGCACTTGAATATCAAGGGGAAACACAAAGGAATTTTTGGAATGTGGAATTTCTTCTGTATCTCACTTTCATTGGTTACAAGAATCTATGCATGTGCCAAAGTTCTATGAGTTCTGTGAGTTCATGGTACTGCATGTAAATTAAAAACATCAACAAATTAATTTTTAAAATTAAGTAGAAAAAGGGTGAATTAAGTTAAGTGAAACAAAACAGATACTTTGGAGATCAAATAAAATCTATCTGCAGTCTGAATCCTACCCATGTACCTTCAGTTTGCAGCTCCTGACCTGAACAAATAGCCTGTTAAAAACAGTGTTCTTACGATATCATTTGACTCAGTTTCTTAAAATGAGGCCCAGACAGGGAAAGAAAATTTCGAAAGCCACACAGCTATTCTTTTCAGTGAAGTCAGGTTGCCTCACTCCTGCTTCTCTATGACACGTGCTTTGATGCAAGTTGAATATAGAGTTGCTTCCTATTACTCTCAAGTAAGATCCTAAAATATAATCTAATTCTCAAACACAGATTTTTAAGCAAGAAAAGCAGGGGTGAGAAACTACCCTCATGATTAAAAAGGGCAAACTCCTTAAAGCTCAACTTTACAAGAAGGATATTAAAAATTAGGACCTCAACAAACTATTCTAGTAAAAGTATGGGGATAACAGGCACAGAACAATTTAACTGTTGAAATAATTCTGTCAAAGAAATTAGCAGCATTACAGGGAAGGCCGTGGGCCCTGACAGGTCCCCAGCAGACACTCATCTGCGCAGGGCTGCTATTGATTTTGAAACAATCTCGCACATGATAAATGAGAATGTGCTTAGGAGACGATTCGGTCACGAGAGCCCCCAGATCAATCAGCTTGTCAACAGGCAGACGAAATTCAATTTTTATTCTTAGTAAACTCTTATTTGGTGGCAGACCATCGTTTCTGTAGAAATTGCTTCACAAAGGCCGAGGGGCAGGCATGAGAACATAAAAAAAGATCATCTTTTCAAACCATGTTCAAAGTGAAGATGTGGGACTTATGACTGGGAGTGAGAAAATGTGATTTGGGGACAGTGATGACCAGAGCCCACCTTCTTTGCTCACTGGGACCAGTTAGAACCAGCTCTCCATGTCCCACACACACAGTGCACTTTCCTCTCTGTGAGCTGACCCAACCGCCTTAGAAGGAAACTCATTTAAAATGGGACTCCAAGCTTTGTGGAAGAAACTCAGTGACCCCACAACAAAGCTGAAAGGGACTTCTATTCAATTAGCTTAAACCGTATGTTTAAATCATATGAAATTGCCCCTTCAGTACGTTAAAAAAAGGTTAAATATTAGCAGTTTAATATGGTTGAACCACATAACTCCTCTCTTTTCTTATCTTTCACTGCCATGATATTAGACATTTTCAGGCACCTTTTCTTTTTATAACCACTTCAAAATCACCCAAGAAATTAACTTCAGGGCTGTGACAAGGGCCTAGGATTCTTGACTCTCAGACTAAAGTTCTTTCCACCGTTTGGTGCTGCCTGTTCTCCAAAGACAGAGATATTCCTCTATTTGACTGTCAGCCCTTGAGTTAACCTTCACTTGCCAGGCACTGACAATACAGTGTGAGCCGTGGCCCCATGTTGCTCTTATAGTCTGGTAGGCTACACAGATGTTAAGTGAACAGAAGCATTACTCAGTTAATTACAAGTGCACAAAGTGCTACAGGATAGATGTTCAGGAAGAGCTCTGTGCAAAGAGCAGATTACAGGGGACCTAATTTAACAAGGGAGATAAGCTAAAGGGGTCTTATTGGGAGTTGCTCCCAAATTTAGACCTGATGGATGGATGGGAGTCAGAGGCAAAGATGAAGTGAGGGAGGTAGACCAGTAGTATCTAGAGAGATCATTCCAGAGAAAATTGTGTGTACAAAAGGGGTGGGAGGTGACACAGATTGAGGGGCATAGAAAAGAAGGCCCAGATGCCTAGAAATAAGAAAACAAGGAGGGAAGCACTATAGGATAATGTGGATGAGGAAGGCAGGCCTAGATCACATGTGGTCCTGTAAATCTGCTACACCCACAGGTCTCTTTTTTTGAAAATGTAAAGGACTTTGGGCAAGGACTTTCCTGAGCTTTCTACCTCATTCAGATACACAGAACCAGAAGAACAGTGGGAAGGAGAGTGGAGGTCTTAGTACATTTGTGCTGCTATAACAAAATACCGCAGACTGGGTAATTTATAAAGTATAGCAACTTACTTTTCATTGTTCTGGAGGCTGAGAAGTCCAAGATCAAGGTGCCAGCAAGATTAGTGTCTGATGAGAAACCTTCTTCATTTCCAAGAGGGCGCCTTGTAGTTGCATTCTCCAGAGTGAATAAATGTCTTCACATGGCTAAAGAGTGGAAGACCAAAAAGGCGCTAAGGTGGTTTCTTTCAGCCCTTTTATAGGCACTAACCTATTCATAAGGGCCTTATTCTCATGATTTAATCGCTTCCCAGAGGGTCCCAGCTCTTAATACCACCACAAAGGGGATTAAGTTTCAATACATGCATTTGGGAGGATATTGAGACCATAGCAGTGGTATTTACTATTGCCAGGCCTACTTAAGATACAATTCAGAGCAGATAGTCCATCAAGAGTGTTTCTGATGTTTTTCTGCTTCAACAATTAATGTTCAACTACCCAGAGCCAGTTTGTTCCTAGACAGGAAGCCCCTAAACAACTTCCAGGCCCCTGCCTGCACTTCAGTCTTGTTGTGTCCAGTTCTCCCCTTTAAAGGCTCATGATGACCCAGTGGTTCCAGCAGATACACCCAAACCTCCATCATGCTGCCATGAACCACTCCATTTAACCCAGGATTCCAGGCCCACTGTATCTAACTGTTCAGAATGTATATAGCTTTGAAGAGGTTTGTCAAATGTTTTCTTCACCAATCCCATGTGACAATAGAACATGCTGAGAACATAACTCCTATGCAGAACCAACACAGGGCTCAATCTTCATTCAGAACATCAAGAAACTTGATGTCAATGACTGAATGAACAGGGTTATATAGTATCCATTATTACACTTGGGGAAAATAGATGAAACTCTACATTATTGAATTTACAGAAATTAGCCACTAGCAAAACAACATCACTTGCGGGACTTCCTTTAGACCCATTAAATGAGAAGGCAGAGAAATTTCATCAAAAAAAGAAACAAAACAAAACAAAACAAAACTATGCTACCAGTGTGTAAAAGATGAAGGTCCCTACATTGAAGCAGATTGGAAGTATCTTCCTGACAAGAGCTAAAATTCAGTCTTGCTTTCCCAAAGCCATTTAATATTTTTCTTTCGCCAATAGTATGGTACCTACGTTTTTGGGGCTCCTTTTATTTGTTCTGTAAGCTACACCTAAATGTCTTCTTTTCTTATTGTTCCATGATATACCATTCTTTCCAATAAAGTCAGATCTTAATCTTCTTATACAAAAAAGAATAAATTACAACTATACTGGTTAGGTCTATTTAAAGGAAGAACAATGGAGAAACAACTTGGTAACTGGACAATTTGATAAATATACAAATCTAAACTCATCTCTCTTTTTTAATATCACCCATTTTGTGAGAAGCTGTTAAGACCAAAACATACGGATGATGGTTTTAACCATGCAAAGAAGCTTGTAATATTACCCTTAGTCCTGGGATGCATACTTTAAAATGTCTCCACTCTGACCACAGTGCCACTATTTTCTTCAGGCCAAAATACCACTAGGATCAAGGCATTTTCCTACCCAGAGCCCTGTCTTTCCTCTGGGTCACACTCCACCATGTTCCCAAGGCCGTGATAATCCCTGATTGGTCAGTCCTGGCATACTTTTTGGGTTCTGCTATTTCTTCTGGGGTCTGCTCTGCTGAGAGTGAATGGTACCACGCAGTGTGCCCACCCCTAGACCTGAGAGGAAGTCAAGGAGTGGCCTCTTGAAAAGGGAAAAACAGAGATTAAGAATGCAAGCCACAAGCACACCAACATGGCACATGTATACATATGTAACAAACCTGCACGTTGTGCACATGTACCCTAAAACTTAAAGTATAATAATAATAAAATAAAATAAAAAAATAAAAAGAAGTCAGATTACTCTTCTGGGAAGGCCACATGGAGACACCTGAGACTATCAGCCCCATGGGAAAAGGCAACATTTTAGTGACTTTTTCTCCTGATATTGTGAGATGTTATGAACCCAATACATCACTCTGCTTCCCCCACGGAGTTATTTTTGTATGATTTTATTCAGTGCTCTGAAGCTAATAAATCAGTCTTAAAAACAAAACAAAACAAAAAAACAACAAAAAAAGAAATACAACTAATAAATATATTGTGTCTTGCCTGTTAAAAAAAAAAAAAAAGAATGCAAGCCACATTGTTGGCCATGGAAAGGAAGGTACCTAGACTGAATGCAAGGCCGGAGGCTCTCGGGAAAGAGCCACATTCCATGGTGCAACTCTAAGGAATTGTGATGTATATTTTTCAAGGATAGGACATTTAATAGGTTGCTACCTTGATTTGCAATTTAAATATTTAAACATATGGTCTATAGGCCTCCTTTGCCTTGCAAATGTTACAGATGAGCCTGTAGCATTCCTGTTAGTGATATCATCTTTAAACACCTACACATGATGGCAAGGCTAACTCTAAATGCCAATAATCACCAAGCAAGAGTGATGCATAAGTGTTTTGTCTGGCTTCAGAACTTTGTATTCAAAATTCCACATATAATTATGTTTGAATAAATCATCCAAGTATGCATGATATGATACATATACAAAAATGTATACATACATACATCTAGTCATGATTTGCTTATAGCTGGTATGTTTTCTGAGAAATGCATCATTAGGTGATTGATTTTTTCATTGTGTGAACATCACAGAGTGGATGCACTTACATTAACCTAGATGGTATAGCCTTCTAGATACTTAATGCTCTGTGGTGTAGCCTATTGCTCTTAGGGTACAAACCTGTACAGCATGTGACTGTACTGAATACTGTGGCAATTGTAACACAGTGGTAAGCATTTGTGTATCTAAACATATCCAAGCATAAAAATAGTAAAGTAAAAATACTGTATGAAAGATTAAAAAATGGCACACATGTGCCGGGCACTTACCATGAATGAAGCTTGCAGGACTGGAAGTTGCTCTGGGTGAGTCAGTGAGTGAGTGGTAAGTGAATGTGAAGGCCTAGGACACTACTATGCACTACTATAGACTTTATAAACGCTGTACACTTAGGCTACACTAAGTTTATAAAAAATATTTTTTCTTCAATGATAAGTTAACCTTAGCTTACTGAAAGACCACTGTCATATATACAGTACATCCTTGACTGAAATGTCATTATGTGACACACGACTGTGCAGATATATATATATATATATATATATACACAAACATATATACACTCACATGGTTAATATATATATACTTTCATGATTACATAATCTTGACAACCCACCCATACATTCTAAATTATGCTTGCCTCAGGAAAGAGGTAGATTACCTGTGATTCTTGAAGTATGTGAGTTTGGAGTGTTAGAGATCTGAGAAGCAGATACTACACATCACCATCAAAGTTCTGCAGGTGGAGATGATTAGAGATGGCTCCAATAATTATGTGTATTTTGATTTCATAAAACACTGCATAGAATGAAATAGCATGTGTAGGATGCCAGCAACAATGTATAGAGACACCTGCAGGTATACAAGAAACTTCTAACCCCAGAGGTGCCTGGGAAGAAAGATAACTTGCCTTTTAAGCTTCACAACAAGCCTCCAACAGAGTTCAGTTCTTTCACTTAAAATCTTCCAGAACCCTCCCCATTTCATGCCCTTCCTCAAATAATATTGGAAAGAAAGAGAATGGATGGCACAAAGATTGAAAACCACAGGAAACTTGGAACAAACCAAGAGCTTTGAGGAAATAATGCATTTTGTATTATTTTGTATTCCAGCTCAATAGGAAGTGGATGAAGTATCTCATTTCAGGGATGTGTTTTAACATGAAAAATGACCCGTATTCTTTATCCATTAAACTATTAGTATATCCTAGCATTGTGGGTCTTAATAACATTTCCTTAAATAACTGTGAAAGCCTATTAGTTTTATTTCTTCCAGAAAAAACTGAAAGGAGGAAAACATAACATATTGGACACACAGGGATCAAGCTAATTAAATTGTAAATGCCAATAATGATATCTGACATTTCTTTTCAACGATAACCAATTATTGTAAGCATTCTCCCAATAGCTATTAAATCTATCCCTACAAACCTCATTTTTTCACATTTGGAATATCTAACACAGATCATTCGTCCTAGCCACTTCCATTAGTCTATGTACAAATATGTATGTAGGGGGGTGGTATGGCTTATGTTTGGCCTAATTGGAGTATCACATTCCATGTTGAAAGCAATATTAAGTTACATTTAGGAAACAGGAATATTATATGTTAAAAACCAGAAAAAAGCTACACATCTGGTATATTTTAGTTGTGGGATATGTAATATCTCTATCCCTCCCAAATTCTGTCTACTGGAAACCAAAATGAACAACTTGAGGATGTGTTTTCTTTCAGTTGAAACTTGAGGCCCAAACAGAAAGGTTGGTGAATGGATTGAAAATGGATGTGAAAAATCAATAGCAATGGAACAAGGAGATTAGAGCCTACAAAATAAATGACTATTTCTAAAGGGATCAAATCTTGGGATATATGGGGCTTGGAGGCAGTTTACACTGAAAACAGCCCAACAGAAGAGCCCATGGAGTGACTCCAGGATGCTGGAAAGTGAATCAACCTTAAGCCATGGTCAGAATACAGGATCCAACAGCTCTGTATCAGAAGTAGGGGATGGCTTCCTTCTGGGCCTCGATGCTTCTTCTAGACTCTCCCAATCTTATTTGGTAGCACATACAGTCACCTATTAGAGGAAGATTTTCCCTGGTGGGAGGAAATATGTAGCTATCTACTGGATTGTGTGCAAAGCCCAAAATAATTTAGGCGAGGGCCTTTCTACTGATCTGGAATATTTCAGCATGGTACTCAAGGAGGGGAAAGACACAAGGAAGCAACATTTAATGATTCTAAAAATATCTCCTCTAATCTTGACATATTTGTTAATCAAGAGAGCCTTGTGGAAAGCAACCATTATTATTTCTATCTTGCAAAAGAGGAAATTGAGGCTTGGAGATGACTCTGAAATCTCTCCAGGAAAATATAGTGAGCCAATGGTAGACATAACATTTCCATTCAGATCCCTGCTCACCCTGAGACTCATTTCCTGCCAGTCTTCCCCTTGATGACAGTGCTGTAGTCACACACTCCTTCCTGTGCCTCCAAGCTGCCAAGGTCCTTCCTGCTGCAGAATCTTCTTACCCAGTGTTCCCTCTGCCTGGAGGGATGGCCTCTTTATATGCTTCCAGTTTCTTTCACATTAGAGTCCTTCCCTGTTTATCTTTGCTAAAGTGATCTCCCCTCCTGTCTCCCCACAGCCCAGCTGCTCTACACCACATTACCTAGTCTACTTCCCTTCTCGGCAATTCTCTCTGACATTTTCTTCTTTGTGTCTGTGCTTACTAGTCAATTGTCTATCAGCTGACCTCTCACTGAGGGCATAGTCTTTGTCTTCCTCTATCTTGTTAGTATCCCCAGAGCCTGGCACAGTGCCTGGTACACTGTGGGTATTCACATTTATTGAATAAATGTATGAATAAATGAATGCATGAGAGAGGTTTCTAGCTCAGGTGTATCTAAATCTAAAACCTGAGTTCAATCTCCTCCACCAAGCTGTCTCCTTTGACAAAAGCACGGCAGCTTTGAGGTTAGTGACGCAGGTAGAGCAGTTGCTGAGGCACTGCTCATGAAGGTGGATGGAAGGTTGTTAGCACTTTTTCCTTAGCCCAGGATTTCTGTGAGTGGCAAGTGACCAAAACAGTCCACTCTGAAACACAAGGGGGAATTGAGATTAATGAAAACATGCTACTTAGACTCAAAAATCCTCCAAGATAGAAGAAAAGGGAAAATTTCAAAAAATGAATAAAAATACAAGAGAGGCTACCCTTCCCTTTTCTCCATTTGGATCAGCCAAATAATAGCTGATATTGTTTGTTTCAGTTTACTGAGCCACTCTTACATGCTACACGCAATGTGCTATGTGCATGGGTTATCTCATGCACATGACCACTCACAACTGCACATTGCAACTGCTACTAATATCATCCTCATGCCGTCTTAAAAAAAAAAAAAAAAAAACTGGAGCTCAAAGATGTTAATCAATTTGCCCAAAGTCACATTATTTCTGAATAGCTTTGCTGAGACTTTCATACAGGTTTGGTGACTCCAGTGCCTATGATAGTCTGAAGTATTGGAAATAATTTAAATCCATTCTGGTGAGGAAAAGGGAACGAAAGAGGAGCAGGAGAAGATATTCCAGATTAGAGACCACTGTGGACAACTTCCCCAGTCTACCAAGATCCTAACGGTGTAAATACTGCTGCATCTAGAATATACTTCTAAGCAGTGCCCAGAACCCATAGTGCAGAAGTTGTTTACACAAAAAAGAGAAGAGAGGCAAATATTAAATATATTCAGTGATCTCATTCTTAACTTTTCCCTTCCCTCTACCAGGGTATCTCAGCGAAGCTTTCTGTAAATCTTTGGCCATCAACCAATAACTTTGGTTTTGGCCATTAAAAATAATTCTTCAATGACTCATGAAAAATGAAGAAGCAGCCCCCAAACTGCATGGATTTCCAGCTCTTGAGTCTATTTGAACAGAGACACAATGACATCTATGTTTATTGTCTTCCATGGCTTAGTTGGCCAAATGTGCCTGTAGGAATGGTCTTCCCAGAAGCCCAGGGTGTCTGGCACCATGGCCAATCCTTGTGTAATCCCTATGCCTCCTAGAAGTCTTCCCGAAAATGTATATTTATCTCACTCATGCTCCACTTCATAACCCTGTGGCCCTACCAGGTGCAGGAACATAACTCATAAGAAATATTAACATTGGCTGTTTATCATGGAGCTTGCAAAACAGAAAAGCAATAAAAGTGCAGGCATGCTCACTCAATTACCATTGAAATAGATATCACAAAAATTATTCAGTGTCAGAAATCTAATTTTGTATGATATTTCTATATATTTCCATTGCTAATTTTTCTTCCCTCCAGTATTAGTGAATTAATATGCTTCAAATGCCCCTCAAGCTACCCTAGAAAAAATACTACTTATTTAGTTGAGCTACCCAAATCCATTAGACAAATTTCCTTTACAGCAAAGCATTGATGAATGAAATGTCTCATGCTAATGTAAGAATAATCAATTTAGAATGCTTATGACAATTAACAAAGCTGAAGATATGCCTTGAAGGCTCCATGCTTTGTCAGCCCTGATTTGGATTAAACTTGTGCTAATGGGATCATTTTTCTTCCAAAAGGTATTCTTTTTAGGCAGACCTATCAATTAATATGAATTATGCATGTATAAAAGTACTAATGTCATTAATTAGACAAATTAATTTTTATGATGCAGTGGATAGACTAACACTAGATTATATGTGATAACTTCCCCCACGGCACCCACCGATTTGAAATAAATGAATAGTTTATATTTGTGTGCTTTCCATAGACTCAATCGGGATTAATCAGGCTCGTCTCTGGGCGGGAGATGGTTGAGATGCTGCATATTCTTGATGGTCTTCTCAGCCAGGGGGGTCATTTCAGAGACAATAGAGCCCAAATTGCAACAGAGAGAAACTTTAGAATAATGCTACGCAGGGTCATGGGGGAAGTTAGTAAATTGTAAGCATTTGTGCTGGCAAGCTTTAATTGACTCTTTTCCCCAAATTTACATGCTGTTGTCCAAGTAGACTAAAAAATACAAATAAATATCAGAAAAAAAAGAGTAGGGGGGAAAAAGCATTTTGCAATTGTTGCATTGACAGACATAACTCATTAATGTTGGTCAAATTTGATTGGCACAATATTTATCTTCTAACTGGGTCTAATTTGTAATTTTTTAATCCAGTACGAGCTAGGTTAATTTTCAAATTCATGGAAACATTGACTTTTTTTCAAGCCTAATAAGTTACCTAAAGTGTAAGAGGATGAGGACCATGTGTTAAACTACCTGGTTAAGCTAACTGTTATGTTTTCAATGTTTGTGTCTCTCCACAAGTCATGTGGAAACTTAATCCCAAATGCAATAGGATTAAGAGGTAGGGATGTTTGCAGTTGATTAGATCATAAGGAATTCTCCTTTGTAAATGGGTTTCATGGCCTTATAAATGAGGCTTCACATAGCATTCATAATTTTTGCCCTTCCATCTGCTGCCATGTGAGAACACAGAAACAAGGCATCATCTTGGAAGCAGAAGCGAGCCTTCACCAGACACCAGATATGCTGCACCTTGATCTTGGATTTCCCAGCCTCTAGAACTATGAGAAATGAACTTGTGTGGCTTAAAAAATTACTGTTTACAATATTTTGTTATAGTAGTCTGAATAAACTAAGATATTAGTCATCACCTTTCTCATCCATTTTGCAATAAGGCTTATGATTCCAACAAAATGACCACCATGAGGAAAGTAAGCCCACAATGCTTTTACCCCTTTTATTGCTTTTTACTCTTCAATTCTTTTTTCATGGAAACTTGATACATGAACCTTAGGTTTTCCAACAGGGATAATTGATGACTTTAACAACATATCCTAAAGTCAAACCAATGTATCCCATCACAGCAAGGCTGGTAGGAGTTACAGCAAGCTGAAATAACCTAGGTAATGTCCAAAAGTCAGGCAGGAGAGGTCAAAAGTGATCTCTTGCCCAAGGTTCATACAGCTTCTGCCTGGATCATGGTAAATGCTCAATCAATGTGAGTTAGAAAAAAATAAGTAGAGGTATTCACTTAGCTAAGAATTTGACATGGGTTCACAAAACATATATCACAGAGACACTGAAAACATTTACTCTGTATTCTCAGCATTCTTCGTTGCATTCCACGATGGTATGGCATGGTCATAAAAAGCAAACTCTTTGAGGACAGAGAGTCCTGGATTCAAATCATAGGGTTTTCCACATTCTGGCTAAGTAACACTGGGGGTTCCATGTTGCCTTCCTCACTGAGAAGCCATAAAGCTTCAGTGAGATGGTGGTATCTGCATCTTTACTGCTTGCAGCAAGGCATGAAAGATAATAGGGACTTCTTAGACTAAATGTTGCCTTTGTCCATAATTAAATACCTCCCTGGGCAAATATACTGATGAGTAGTAGAATGGACTTAAGCCTCACAAGGAGATAGGGCATGGTATCACATTC
Organism: Homo sapiens; assembly: GCF_000001405.40. Taxonomy (NCBI): domain Eukaryota; kingdom Metazoa; phylum Chordata; class Mammalia; order Primates; family Hominidae; genus Homo; species Homo sapiens. The sequence goes on from NC_000016.10 coordinate 51,903,062, forward strand.
TCCATTCAGTTCTGACTATAAGTTCATCTTTTTACAGTAAGAGGTAGGTAGGGGAGGAGATAATGGAGTGAGTAAATTAATGGATTTAAATCTCACTCCTACCATGTACCAGCAGTGTAACCTCAGGTAACCTCTCGAAGCTTTCTTTTTTGGTCTTTAAGATAAACATAATGATAGGGTAAATCTTAAATAATAGGATTAAATAAATTAAAACTCTCAAAGTGCTTAAAACAAGAACTAGCACATAGTTTGCAAGCAATTGATAAATACGAATAAAATTTATTTGACATCTATTGTGTTCTAAATAATTTAAAGATACGACCTAATTTAAGCTACACTACCTTCTTGAGAGGTTACTGTGAATAACCCCATTTTACAGATGAGAAGATTGAGGCTTAGAGTGATCATCTTGCTCAAGGTCACCCAACTAATAAGTGAAAGAGGAAGGATTTGAACATGGGTTGCCTGAGAATTTATTTAATCAGACTGGGGAGTGCTGTGAGAATAAAGTCTAGAAGTTAGAAAGAGGAACCTCTTCATTTTGAGAAACCTATGACTCATGGAAAAGAGAGAGGGTGCTGGCCATGAAGGTAGAATACTAGGTGGGTTGGGTGACAGTGATAGCTACTCTGGCCAACAGTTAGGCACACCTACTTGGAGTAGCTATTATTAATGGGGCAGATACTAGTATCTTCATTTTATTGATTTGGTTAACTGGTTTATCTTAGAAAATAAAGTTGGCACACAAATACTAGTCTGTCTTATTTCTCAGCCTGTATTATAAACCTCTACACTATAAGGTTTAAAGATTTCTGAATACACAATGATGTAGCAATTGGGAATGCCTCATCTTCCAGTCACCTGTCTCTTCCCCTTATTCTTGTCTTGTTATCTGTGATCACTAAGACTCTACAAGCACCCCTCACTAGTTTCCGGAGGAGGAGAAAAGTTTATAGAAGCCAATCCTATAGCTGTGAAAGGAAGCAATCTAGTCTAGACCAGCAAAGTGATGGTGGGTTATGACCAAGGAGAGTTTCATTTTATAATATCTATCAAAAAGATTTTCTTTCTGGGGTGTCATGCAATGATCTAAATCAGATTTACAAACCTCTGTATAATCTATGATGTCAAACACATCTTTTAGCAGGTTGAGTTTCTAGAGCAGGTAACTGTATTTATCAGTCTAGTTATGGTCCTCATTCAGAGATGGATGGTCATGTTACTCAAGACAGGCCAATGATACTACATCCTGGGCTTTTGTTGAAATGGAAAGTATGAGCTATAAGGCTGATGTAAGCTTGGAGCTTTGAGAGGACCAGCATTTTAAGGGGTTCAGCCTGAGAATGAAGCCAGTACATGGGAAAGCAGAACCAAGAGATGGGGCAAGAGATATTGAATCCTAATGGCGTCATGTGAACACTGGGATATATCCTTCTCTGAAGCCAGATAACCTAAACTTTTCAGTTATGTGAACAAAAATCTCCATATTTGTTTACATTTGTTTGTCAAGTTTTTGTTACTTGCATCTGAGAGATCAGAATAATACAGAAAAGAAAATAATAAAATCCAACAATATCAATGATTTCTAATAGGAGAGTCTGATATTCACTCAAATTCACTAATTCCCTAAAACATTCCTAGAGACTTGTCATTTGAATGAAGCTACCTAAAATTACGGTGGGAGGTTTTTTTTTTTCCTTTTTTTTTTTTGACAGTTACATTTCAGCACATGAAATTCTCGGCTACCAGATTACTTTAGACACAAGTTTATAAAAGTGCCTATTTTATAAATATTTCTTGAAGTCCTTTTTGGTTGTTGTTACAAAGGAGATTGCATAACTTGTTAATTAAGTGTGAACGAGGGTTTCCTGGGAGAGTGAAATGACCACTGATCTATATGGTTCAGTCACAGTGGACTTAATATTCAAAGGAAATGGTCATTTAGAACCAGCATTCACTTGTTCATCTACATTTCTTTCTTCCTTGGTATCTACAATTTAGTCACCAGCCAAATCTTCAATAGTCTCCATTTTTATTCTGAATATAAAAAGTTTCCCATGATGCTTAATATTGAGCAAACTTGTTCTATTGATTACTTGAGCGAATCATTGATAAGATCAGCAATTTTCCCTTTAGTCATTCACTATATCTTGTGTAAACAAGTGAGTATTGAGTGGTGCATTTGCTCCTCTCCTCACCATCCTGAGGGCATTGCCAATGGCATGAAGACATGGGACCAGTTCTAAAGCCGTGGAAGATTGGGGCCAGAAAGGCCCTGTAGATGCAATGTTTTCCCAAAACATTTTCCATTCTCTGATCATTTTTGTTTTCCTGAAAACTTCAAAAATAAGGCTGTGGTTAAGATTGTAGTCTTTGGAATTTGACTACCTGATGCATATCATTGCTTTATCACTTCTTAGCTGCAGGCAAGTTACTTAATCCTCGATTTATCTGTACAAAGGAGATAGTGCCGAGTCAGCAAGTTCATTTGACAAAATTATTGAATATCAACTATCGACTGACAAATGAAACCAGGCACCTTTCCAGGTGCTTTGAGACACAAAGAGCAAAATAGACGAAATTCTCTGTTTTCATGAAGCATATATATATATATATATATATATATATATATATATATATTTTAGAGACAGGGTCTCACTCTGTCACCCAGGCTAGAGTGCAGTGGTAGAATCATAGCTCACTGCAACATCGACCTTCTGGGCCTAAGTTCTCCTCCCGCCTCAGCCTCCTGAGTATCTGGAACTACAGGTGTGCACCACCACGCTTGACTAATATTTGATTTGATTTGATTTTTTTGTAAAGATGAGGTATCACTTTGTTGCCCAGTCTGGTCTCAAACTCCTGGGCTCAAGTGATCTTTTTCCCACCTTAGCCTCCCAAATTGCTGGGATTACAGGCATGAGCCACCATGCTCGGCCATGAAGCCAATATTCAAGTCTGTCTTGGCATGATGTTGGGGGAGATTCAATGAGATAATGCCAGTAAAATGCTTAGTACTGCACCTGGCAAATAGTAAATGCTCAAGAATAATGCTAGCTTATGTCGTCAAAAAATGCAGCTAGTATTAGCATTTGCTAAAGTATTATTGTTGCATCACTGATATTATGGGGACATGATTGTCCCACCTGATTCTGCCTACTCCCAAATCCAAGACTACATCTTTTAAGAAGAGGGCCCAAACCTAAATGTTAGACGTTTTTACCAGGGTCTCTTTGTGCCCCTTGAAGACTTAATGATGGGGCCCCTCCCTTTATTGACTCACCAGAGTGAAAGCTTATTTCCCCCAAAATATCCCCCTGGTCATTTACACTCTGAAAAAGGAGCAGTTTACTACAAGATGAATACAATAACAGAATTGTATTCTCTTGTTTTATAAGGGAAGAGTTACATTAACTCAACAGTGCTTGGCCTCCTTGTTGGCTATAGGGAATCATAGGGCTTTGAGGACACCACGTGAGGCTCAGCTTTCACTGTCTTTTTTCTCTGAGACAGCACTTGCCAGCTAGACATTCTCTGTGCAAAATCCAGGGGTCTCTATACTGTACAAGTTGGTAACATGGCAAGTCAACTAAGGTTCTTTGGTTGCAAGCATTAGAAACCAACTCCAACATATATAAAGCAAAAAGGAAAATAATTGGTAGAATACGGGGTAGTTGCCACAAGCCATGGAAAAGTTAACACACTGTGGTAAATACTACAATTATCCCAGCAGGGATCAGTGCAGCATGATCTAATGAATTGTCTCTTCCAGGCATTCCCTCAAATGGAAGTTTTTCTTTTGTTAGTGGTTTGTTCCTTCAATGTCAGTTATGGCGGATTCATCCCCTACAACAACCCCAAATGCAGTATATAATCTATTTCCTTTAGCACCATCTTCTAATGATCATGGTTGGGTGTCTCGATGACTAGACAAAAAATATGAATAGTTTCATCTGTGACTTAGTATGTGCTCATCTGAAGAGAAAATATTGGTAGAGTTTTTAAAAACTGCAGCATGCATCAGTTTGGTCAAAACATTAAGACATGAACCAGCAGATGTTTTTGGAATTAAGACTCACATGGTCCTGATGGTGGAGGGCAAAACCCAATCCTTGTGCTACTTCTGTCTGCTCTTCAGAGAGCAATAGGTTCTCAATGCTCCACATAGGGAGCTATTTTTCCTACAAGTTGTGGAAACTCAAAACTCCAGGGACTTAAATTGCTAACCTTTACCCAGACCCAAAGTTTTTTTTTTCTTTTTAATAAACTTTATAACTGAAGAATAACAGAGAGAAAAGTACATAAATCATACATGTGCAGCTCAATAAATTTTCACAGTGAACACACACCTGTGTGTCCACTACCCAGATCAATACATAAAATATAACCTGCACCGCTACAGTTCTGTTTACATCTCCTTCAATTGAAACCCGCCTCTTCCCTAAGACAATCTGTTTCTTGACTCCTTATAACATAGATTAACTTTATCTATCTTCAATTTGTGTAAAGGATGTTGAAATCAAATAAAATATGGTGATGAATCTTAAGTTTCAAACATTTTACTCAGGAAGCAAGAATTGCAATTAGGGGTATACACACAGGCTGGGCGGACTTCAATAGTTCTGAAAAACAAAAAGAAGGTTGGAGGTTCAATAGTTCTGAAAAACAAAAAGAAGAAATGTTATGTATTATTTGTCCAGGAAGTTCATTGGCAATAGTAAGGTTTTGGGGAGCTGCTAAGTTCTAATTGGTAACTGAGGGCAGTGAGTAAAACTAGTCTTTAGTCACAGCAGGCTGTTTCAGTAGCTTTTAGATAAAACTAGTTTCAGGTTACAACAGGCAGTTTCAGCAGCCAGGCCTATAGCTGGACTTCATCTCAATGTAATGAGTACCCATTGTTCTACATATTCATCAACATTTAGTATTTTTAGACTTTTAAATTTTAGCTATGCTTGTGTATGTAGATATATCTCATTATAGTTTAAATTTACATTTTTCTAATGAGTTTAGTTTTTTAAATATGTTTCTTGGCCGTTTGGATTTCCTCTTTTGTTAAGTGCTTGTTCAAACCTTCTTATATCTTATGCCATTGGGTTGTCTGTCTTGCTATTGCTTTGTAGAATTTATTAGATATGTGGATTGCAATATGTCCTCCAACTCTTTATTTGCCTTTGTACTCTCTTAATTTTAAAAGTGCAGTTTATCCATCATTTTCCTTTAAGTTTGGTGCTTTTAAATCTGCTTTTAAGAGATCATTGCATACTCCTAGTTCATACAAATATTCTGTCATCTTCCAGAAAGTTATTGTTTTACAGTTTATATTTTGATCTGCAACCTACCTGCAACTCATCCTTTCTTCTGGTGTGAAATGGAAACCAAGATTCACTTCTTTTTCTATACAGATATCCAACTAGCCTAGCAGTACTTATTGAAAAGCCCCCCTTTCCCCACTGCACTGTAGTATCACATTTGTACATCAATATGGGTCTGGGGTTTTGTGGGGTTTCTATCCTGTGTAGTTTTTTGTGTATCTATTAATGAACAGAAACTGTATTATCTTAGTCACTATAGCTCTATATAAGTCTTGATATTTGAAAATGTAAATCATCTAGTTTTAGTTTTCATGAAGCCAATTTCACTATTCTTCACCCTTTGCCTTTCCATATAAATTTTGAATCAGCTTGTCAATCTTCCCAAAAGGAAACTCTTAGGATTTTTAAAATTTAGATTGCATTGAATCTATGAAACAATATGGGAGAGTTTACATCTTCATATAATGAATTTTTAAATCCATAAATGTGATACAGCTTTTCTCTTAAGTTTTTAGAAATTATCACAATAATGTTTTGTAGTGCTTCTGTAATAGCTTATAAATCCTTGTTTAGACTTATTTTTAAATATATAACATTTTAAAAGGGTTTTGAATGGTAACTTTAAAAAATTTGTTTCTTAGTTGATAGCTAAATTTATTTAATTTTTATAGTTGATCTTTAATGTCCGTCTGATACTTTATGTATATATAAAACCATGCCTGGTACAAATAATAATAGTTTTATTTATATCTTTCCAATGTTTATACCTTTATTTCCTTTTCTTGATTTATTTCACTGATCAGGTCCTCTGTTGAAATAGACATGGTGAAACAAGCATTCTTGCCTCCTTTTCAATTTCAGAGAGAAAGCTTTCTGTGTTTCACCATTGGTATGATATTTTCTGCATGTATTCTACAGATACTTTTTGTAAGATGAAGGAAATTTCTTTCCTCCTAATTTCAACCTTTTCCTATAAATGGGTGTTTAATTTTATCAAACAATTTTCTGTGTATCAACTGAGATGACATGATTTCTCTTATTTTTTTACTGCTTCACATTCTATTTCAATTATTTTATATTGTTAAACCCAGCCTGAATTCTCAAATAAAGTTATTTTGTTATGATGTAAAATACTGTTTCATATCATTGACATGAATTTACTAATGTTTAAATAATTTTTATCTATATTTATGAGATAGATTAATCTGTATTTCTCCCTTTTCTAATATCCTTTTACATTTTAGTATCATAAGTTGAGAATGTTTCTTCTTTTTCTGTTCTCTGGAAGAGTCTGTGTAAGATGGTGTTATTTCTTTCTTAACTGATACAATTCAGTTCTTAAGCAATATGGGCCTAGCATTTGTTTTTGTGTGTGTGTGTTGGTGGCGGGGGGGGGGGGTTCTTGCTTATAGGTTATTAATTAATTAATTATGCATGTGATTTTTTAGCAGATACATGGCTATTCATATATTTTACTTAGTTGTATTCAATTGTGTTTTTCTATTTGCTGATTATGTCTAAATTGTTTTATGTATTAGCTTAAATTTATTATATTTAAAATTGCCAGAGTAACTCCTTATTATCTGTTCATTCCTGAGATCAGTAATTTGTAGTATGTGTGCATATGTATGTGTGTGTTGTGAGTCTCCAAGACAATGCTCAGACTTCATGATTCAATAGAAGGACTCACAGTATTCAGCAAAGCTGTACTCATGGTTATGGTTTATTGTAGTGAAAGTGCACACACTAAAATCATCAAAAGGATTTGCTGAAGTCCAAAAGAAATGAGGTGCAATCTTCCAGGTGTTGTCTCCTTGAGGAGTCAGCAGATGCATTTAATTCTCCCAGCAATGATGTGTGATAATACATGCAAAGTGCTATCAACTAGGGAAACTCACCTGAGCCTTGAGACCCAGAGTTTTTACTGGTGGTCAGTCATGTAGCTATGAAACAGTTGCGTGACTGACTTCAGCTACTTGATCATATTCTAGTCTCCCAGTTCAAGACCAGGCATTCACCATAAATTATGTTTCTAGCATAAACTATGTGATTAAACTGGTATGATGTGGCCCAAGGCCTCAGACATATAAAAATACTCTTGTCAGGCAGAATATTCCATGGGCTCAGTGTTCATCTTCCAGGAGCCAGGCAAGGGCCAGTCTTGAACACAGATTTTTCTTAGGAATGTGCTGGATTTGCTGATTTTCTTATGAATGTGCCAAGTTCTGCTGATTTTTTTTTTTTGCATACTTTCTTTTATTGATCATCTTCATTCTTGCCAGGTTTTATCTATTGTATTAATCTTTTAAAGAAACTCCTTTTTAGCTTTGTTGATCTTTATTTTATTTTATTAATTTCTGCCATAGTTTTATTATTTATATTCTTCTTATTTGGGGTTTAATTTCCTCCTTTTCTAAGTTCTTGAGATAAATATATTAATTTTCAATCTATCTAAATTTTAATAAATGCCTTTGGGGATACTAATCTCTCACTTAAGCATGGCTTTAGATGCATCCTAAAATATTTAATATGTTGTGCTTTCATTAAGTTCAAAATATTTTCTAATTCCCATTCAGATGTTTATTTTAATGCGTGTGTTATATATAACTGTGCTGCTTAAAATCCAAATATTTGAGGATTTTTTTATATTTTTAAAACAATATTAAAGCTAATTGTGCTATGATTGGAGAATATACTGTAGATAATATCAATCCGTTGAAATTCATTGACATTTCTTTTACGACCTAAAAATATGTTGGTACATATTCCATGTCTACTTAAACAAGAAAGTGCATTCTTCAATTGTTGGGTATAGTGTTGGGTAATGTCTATTAAGTGAAATAAGTTAATAATATAGTGACAGTCTCCTATGTTCTACATACAAATTTGAGTAAATAAACATTTAAATTTATTTTATATTCCTGATTATTGTTTCATTTAACATAAATTCTCCTCTTTATGACTTACTTTTGCTCAAAATATACTTTTTCTGATGTTAGCCTATCTGCATCAACTTAATTTGGTTAATTTTAGAATGGTATGTTTTTAGTGGTAGACACTTTTACCCTATTTGTAAACCTATAGCTAAGTTTTGTTTCTTGTAAGAAGAATATCATTATGCTTTGAATTTTTATACAATCTCTCAATCTTTTTCTTGTAATGGGAACATTTAATCTGAATAAATTTAATTACTGACATATGTGTTTATATCTACCATCTTACTTTTTGTTTTTTATTAGTCTCATAGATTTTATGTTCCTTCTTCTGTTCTTTGTTACTTCTTTTGTGATAAATACAGTATTTTGAACAATTTCATTTTTCACTCCATTAATTGTTGGTTGTATATAATTCTTTTCATGGTTAAACTAGATATTCCAACATGAATTCTTGTTATAGAATAATAAAAATTAGTATTTTTACCAACAAATTTCTGCTAAATGCAAATAACTTAGAAAAATTTAATTGTATTTGATCTCATCACTTCTATATAATAACAATACACTGTTAACCTATATTTTAAACCCCATAAGGTATTGTTTTGCGTAGATAATATTTAGATTGACCCACATATATATATCTTTTTTGTTTCTTAGGCTTTCCTTCATTTTTATGTTCCTATCTGACTGAATAATCTAGCAGCTCCCCCAATCCTGACCGCCACCTTATTTCTTTTAGGACAAATCCTCTGCTGACAAATTATTTCATATTGTGTTTGTGTTGAAATACTTTTTTTAACCTTCATTTTTGGAGGATATTTTCACTTGATATAGAATTCTAAGTTGAGAGGGTTTTTTTTTAGCACTTTAAAACATGCCTTTTTGATGTTTTTCCATCGTTTTTGTTGAAAATGTTCTGTCAGTCTTGTTGTTTATCTCCAGGTAAAGTGTCTTTCGTCATCCCTACTTCTTTTCCATGACTATCTGATTTTTCGTTTCTCTTTGTTTTTGTTTTTTAGAAGTTTTTTATTGTGTGCCTAGGTACGTAGTTTTAAAAAAAAATTCCTATTTTTTACTTACCTCGTTTGGGCTTATAGAACTTAAGTAATTTGTAGCATAATGACTTCTAAAATTCTTGATTACTATCTATTTAATATTTTTGTTGCTTAATTCTTTCTCTCCTATTCATTAACACTCCAGTTACATTATGTTAAACTTTGTATGTGTTCCCCATTTTTCTTCCTTTCTGTGCTTCAGTCAATATTTTCTATTGACTTGTTTTCTATTTGACTAATTCTTTTCCTAACATGTTTTATTTTCCATTTAACCTGTCTGTTGAGGTCTTAATTTCAATTATTTTTCAGTAATATAATTTCTATTTGATTATTTTTATACTTTCAATTCTCTAATGATATTCTTCATCTTGTTATCTAATTGACTGAACTTATTAATCACAATAATCTTAGTCTGCATCTGCATATACCTATGTCTGGATTGCCTACACTTCTGTTTTATTTCCATTTTTTTTTCCTCTTGACCTTTCTTTATTTAGTTCTGTGTCTTTGTAGTCTGGCAATATTTTATTGAGTTGCAGTTACTGTGTAAGGAATCTGTGGTGGCTCTAGGTGATAGTGTCTATATCTAAAGATGTTCTATTTTGCCTGTCAGGCAGTTAGAGGAGGGATAAATCATCTTAGTTCAGTCTAGAATGAAGCATATGTAAAACTGAGTCTACTTCTGAATTTCCCTTACTCCCAAGACATGGCTATTCAGTGGTGCCCCTAGAAAGCCAGAAATAGTTGCCACAAACCCTTCTTTCCTTGGCAGGCCCTAGGCTACAGTTTTTTTTTTTTTTTTCTTCCCAGCACCATGAGACTGTCAAAAGCTCTCAGCAGTGTCTCAGCCTCTGGGCTGCTGCTTATGAATTGCCAAATGACTTACCTGAAAAAGTTATGTGTAATGCTGAACTGATCTCTCTATGCTTCTCTTGTCTGTAGGATTTTCCCCTCTCAAAGCCTGGCTACCATTCAAGCTCCAAATTCCAATTTTCATCTCCCCAAGCCAAAACTCCTCAGTTTCTTCTTGTAGCTGATATATTTTACTTAGTTTTATATTCTCCCACCCTTTGCTGCTTATGAGCCAGCCTCAAGTAGAAAAGTGCTACAGACTTTCAGGTTTAACACAATGCATTTCTTCTTTCTGCAAGAACATGGTTCTTTAAATTTTGATTGCCACAGCTCTCCAATGTCTTCAGATGGATTTCTAAAATTTTATCCAGCTTTTCTAATTTTTCCAGTGGGAGGATTGATGTGATACAAGCTGTTCTGAAAGGAAGGTGGTTGTAATAATAATCATATACCATAAAAACTTGTAATCTTATTGCAGGTATTACAAACTCAAATTTCTACAGAGATTAGGCAAGTAAAATAAATGAGAGAAGTATGCCTGGTAAGGACTGTCAAAGTGCAAATCACATGATCTGTCTAAAAAGGGAAGTGCTATGTGTTACCCACCTTGGGCTTACCAGTGAAAACCAGCAACACAGATGTGTGTATAATCTTTAGACTATATGTAGCCGTAAGATGACAGCTGCCATTCTTTTTATTTTTTAAAGTCTATTGTTTCCTACACCACATTTTGCTATATTCAAATACTATATTTAGAATTAAATATTTAGTAAGCATCAAAGATAGGAATTTCAATGGAAATTTGAAGAAAAGAAAGATCGCTTTCAGCTGGGTGATCTGGAGAGAAAGAGGAACTGGTTACACTTTCATAGAGCATCCCTAAGGAATGAACTGGGCAGAGATAGAGGGCCAGGAGATAGCAGGTTGCTTTAGGGAATTAGGAGTGAAAGAAAGTAAAACGCATTTCTCCACTTCAGGAGGGTGATAAACAAGTCTGGGTTTAGTCTTGTGCTCCAGAGTAAGTCACCTGAAGACTGATCCTTAAAAATGAAACACCAGTGTCTTTAACGGAGAAAGTGAGAGACCCACCAAAGCCTTCTGCTATCGGGTCAATTTTTCAGCCTCATAAGCAAGCTCTTGTGTATGTAATTACAACTAATATATGGGAGGAACAGACAGGGATGAACAGATGTTGGAACCAAATGAGGATATAGAGAACACAACAGTGTGGTATAAAAACCTGAGTTTATATGGTGCAGCTGGCTGCATTGCATGTTTTTTTATTATTATTTATTTACAAGGTGTGGCATCTGGCCTTCTATTGTCAAACCTCAATTTTTCTTGCAGTTAATTCTGTCCTAATACAAAGGCACCCAGGCAACACAGGTGAGAAACTTAGTTAAAAATCTCCTCTGAAAAAGAGATCCAAGGAATTAAAAGAAAGGTGACCTGGAGGCTCCATTGGAGCTAAATGGGCTCACTTTTATTTGCCTATATTTCAGTCTGGACTCTCTGAGTCTCTCAGAGCTGAGGTCTATTTTGCCTTTGTCGACATGATGCTAGTCAAGCAGGTTAATGGATTTTCCCCTACTGAGACGCCCACTGAAGTGGAGCTATATAGAGCTAGGCAGGAAGTTAGAAGATGGAAAAAAATACATGCCATTAACAAGAGTGAAATCTGACCTAAATATATCCTCAACTCATTCTAAATGAGCCCCTTGGAATTGTCCTTGCTCAATCACTAGTTTTCAAACTACCTTTGTGAATCCCACAGTTAGAGAACCGACGTCTTCTACAGCAACATGGCAGCTTTGTAGAGGGGGTCACCGAGGGTCATGGACTTCCTGTGGTCCAGTGTTAATTTTGTTTTTATGTTTCCTGGTTTTTGAAGCCTTTTCAGTGGAGAAATCTGTGCAACTTCCTTTATCTTCAGCCTTATATTATGTGTGTCAACCAGCTTGAGTGGCAGTAGAGTACTGGGTTAGAGCAAATGTCTTTTCATCTAGGTGGTGTAGGTTCATATTTTCTACCTACCAAGCTGTGTTGATTGGAAGAGTTGCTTAATTATCTAGTCCTTAGCTTCTTCATTAACACCAGGGAATAATCCAGTCTACCCCACAGTCTTGTAGGTAGTATTAATCAAAACAATATATGGAAAGTACATAGCATAGTGCCTAGGACATAGTGTCTACAAAATAGTACCTAATATATTTAATACTATCTTCCTTCTGTGCCTCAGCTGTGATAGAGTTGTAAGTATAAGTTGGCTGATATCATTTATTTGCATGTTTTTTTTGTTTCATGAATAAATTTGTTCTCTTAGCATATCCCTACTCCTGTTTCCAAACTTAAAATGTTGCCCTTTCTGAGAAGTGCCCCCTGACTTTCCCCCATCTTCCTGAGTCCATCACTTCCTCTGGAGCACCATGGTAGAGCAAGCACCCGATTCATGCTCACCTCTTCATATCAGCACCCTCAAGTGCAGCTTTTCACTGTCACGCAATTAGTAATATATATGCACATCTTCCCTACTTAATACTGAGCGCACCCACATCCATCAATCCCTGGCTTTTGAACATTCTGTTTCCTGAGCTGCTTCCAGGGCAAAGTCAAGGTCTACAAACGTTGGTAATGTAGGGGTAGATGAGACAGTAGGCCACCTATTGCAACAGACTCTTATAATTTGAGCAGAGCTTTAGCTTCTCATAGTTCATTTGCATCTGTCCTCCTAGCTGTGTCTCCTATATTGCCATCAAAGATCAGAGGGCATTGATTGAAGTGAGCTGAATTCTCATTTCCTTTTCAACCCCCTCCACCAGTGCATGGCATCTGGGAGCCGCTGCAGCTTCCCACAGCATTAAGGAGCTTGGCCTTCTGACTAGGAATATTACTTCTCCATAAAGAAAATATTTATCAAATCATTTAGAAGTTTCTGTGACCTACTGCAATTTTGGAAATTAGCAAATAGTCCTTGTTCATCTTGCAGACGGTATTTTATTATTGGATTAATGTGCAAAAAGCCCCTATTTTGTAGCACCAAATATTTACTTTGGAGACATTCTCCAGTTTTATCACGGATTTGCCTTGTACTGTCAACAAATTACTGCAGTGTACATAATGAACTATGGGAATAAAGAAAATATACACAGGGCTAGACTTGCTTGGAAACATATATTTTGCTTTTCGGGAGGGGATCAGTGAAGAGTTGACATCCGGTCACCCTCTGACTTTATCTTGTGACCCTATCTCATAAAACACGCAGAAATTTTACTTTTTATTTTAAGCATTTGGGCTGCTTTAAAAGTATAAGCCAGATGTCTATGCCCAGAGTTCAATTTTAGGGCTTAGTTCTACATCATAAAGAGCATTTACAACTCCTCCACTAAGCCAGGTAAAACATAGTAAAATGACAACTATGGTGGGGCCATGAAATAGTTTTTGCCATGGTCAGGAGGTTCTTATGTCTCTATTCAGGAAGCACCTTTCAGGAGCTACATAAATTCTCCACTCTAGAAGAAATATTTAGAGATTTAGAGGATGAAAGTATGGCAGTTACTTAGTTCTCTTATTGACATAGGAGAACTATATTTGGGTGTGTTTGGGCAAAAGAAAAAAAGCCATCTTCCCTGGTAACTGGATAATTTTTGGACATGCTTCCATCCTTGAAATGGGAATCAATATGAAAACTGTCCACTTGTCCATTCAACATGGTAGCTTTCTTCCTGTGACATAGTGGCTGATAGAGAAACATTCTCTGCATTATGTTCTAAGCATACCTGTTGACTGTATAGCAAGGTTTTTGATAAACCTGTTGAACATCTCTCTGAAGCCAATGTATCCCTCTCCCCACTTTACTTTCCAGCTTTACCACCACATCCTAGTCTAAGCTCGTGTTTTACTTGGGCAATGCCATTTTCCTTTTATTGTACCCAGCATGAAAACTTTAGGCCCTCCATTTACTATGCTGCCTTCAGAACACGAATTTACAAATACACTAGTTTTTTCTGCTCTTCAGCTAAATATGGTAATCCTTAGCCTGAATCCATGCCCTATCTTGTATGCCAGCCATGCTATTCTTGTGTGTCTACCCAACCAGGCCTTCTTCCAGACAACAGAATGTCCTCCTTCTTCTTGCTGCTACCGAGCCTTTGCCCATGCTATGCTCCCTGCCTAAAATGCCCTTCCTACTCACACCCCTGGACCTAGGTAACATCTATTTTCCATAAGACCAGATCAAAATCCTCTTCATAGCACTTGACTACAGTTGAAATTGTATATTGTATATTTATGTTATAATTTTTTTCCTTAGCATGGGTCTCTCCTAATAGAGTAACAGGGAGTTCTAGAATTCAGCCTCAGAGAGGAAACTGTAGAGTGGCTCAGGGGCAGGACAGGCTGGAAACCTATTTGTGGCTAGAAAATGGAAGGACAGAAGTACCACCACCACCACACACAGACAACTGCCCCACACAGATGATTCTGTCCCTCTGCTTCCTCGACATTGTAGCCAGACATTGCCACAGCAACTGTACAAATACCCAGCCCAATCCCTGTCCCTACAAAGTGGAAATCCAAAAGTATTTCTCTAACCTCAAGCCCTAATGCCTTTCCTCCCTGCTTCTACACTTTCAGCTCACAACCTTAGAGATGCCATATACACATCTGGAAAGAAATAAAACAAGGTTTTAATTGTTACAGGTGTTTAAGAAAATTGCTTTTGGGTAACTTCCTGAATTTTCAGAATTTTCTGTAATTAACACTTTTATAATCTCAAATAAAAAACAAACATCAAAATATAAGATATACTTAAAAACATTTATAATATATAAGCTGATGTGTCAATATTCAGGTGCCAAAGCCAATGGCAGGATATAAAAACAACAGCAACAAAAAACACATACCCAGAGTCTTGTCCATAATACTCCCAATTGACTGTACGCTCATGGCACCAACAGGAAACTAGAGGACAACTTTAAAGTATTTTTTTAACAGTGCCCAGCTGCTCTCAACCTTTTCTTAATTTCCTTCTGATTGCTCCAGGATTTTCATTTAATGGAGTGGGTTTCTGCTGGAGAAAATTAAGGGCTGAAATTATTAAATGAGTATGACCCCAACTGTGAAAGAAATTCTTTCACTTATTTCTTTAGGTGACAAAGTTTGGGATGAAACTGATGTGGTAATAGTTACCTGGATGATCTTTCATATTCTGTAGATTCTGTAGGACACACCAGGTCCAGCTGTATATTTGGAAGAGTAAAATCCTTTAGTTTGAAACCCTTAGTTTAAAATCCCTTAGTTTCAAACCTTAGTTTGAAGCATATCATCCCTGAGTTTGAGGCAGCATCTCAATTTGGGAACACTGATGAAGGATAACACCTTGTATTTGCAGAGCACTTTTTATGATCTGTTGCTTTTTTCCCCCCGTGTGCCCTCATATCCATTATCCTACTCATTTCTTGCATCAGCACTGTTTCATAGGTAAGATAAGTATAATTCCTGATTTACAGGTGAGGAGACTGAGCCTAGAGGGGTTAAGTGCTTCATCTAAATGAAAATAACAAGCCAACAGCAAAGAGGGCCTAGAGATTCAAGCTACTAATCTCACTGCTTTTATAATAATGTCAGCGGCTCCTACCGGGCCCCTAATATGTGCCAGAGACTTGACCTTTATGAACTCCTTTAATACTCACGATAACTATATAACACAGATTGTATTACCTTCATTGTAAACATGAGGAAACTGAGGCTGAATTGATTTGACAAAGAAATGTAACATAGCCACCCAGACAATGAATCTCAAACCCAGAACAGTCTGAGGGCAAAGCCCATACTGTTTCCACTACACCATCTCCCACAGGAGAGCACACTCATATAGATTTTAGGAGCTGACACGGTGAAGATGAGCAATATATATTTTCACACAATTCATATTGTTCCTTCAAATTAAACCACAAAGACCAGAGAATAAATGTTGCCAAGTTTTTCCTATGAAGGTGACATGGAACGTGAAGACATGGAACTTTTACTTAGCCACTGATATTTTGTTTAGGTTTGCTTAATTTGTTTATCTCAAGACAACCTTCTGGAGTTATGTATTAGAAACAGAAAAGAGAAAATTTGGGTTAATTTGGAAAAAAGAAGGTAAACAGATGAGGTTGAACTGGTACAGTATTTATTGGTTTGTTTTTGTCCTGCAGGCTTGAAAAAGATGAAGAAAGCTGATGTGAAAATTCTGTAATCTTGAGATTATATTCCTGTGAGGTTGGGGTGTGGGCAAGGAAAGTCCAAAAGAGGGAAATGGCTATGATAGTGAGGCCTGATGAAAGTTCTGGAACATTGTGCACTGGGCCAGGGGGTGGCACATGAGCATACAGGTCTTGCGCATGGCAGGGAAGCAGTGGCTGTGATGGAGACCTCTAGAGTCACTTCCAATCTGTACTGGCCTCCCTTCACATGAATGGAATTGCTTCTGGGCTCCCATCTGCTCAGCTACACCTCATTTTCCAGCCCCCTTGCAGTTGAATGGCCAGGTGACAAGGTTCTCACCTGTAGAATGTGACAGTAAGTCATGTGTCTGGTTCTTGAGATATTGATTTGCTTCCTCCATACTTTCTTCTTCTCACTGGCTGGAATCTGAGTATTGTAGCAACCAGCTTCAATCATGCCGTGATAACAATGCCTGGACGTAAAGGAACAATGATTCATCAGCGACCTGGATCCATGAACAGTTATGTAGAGCTGGGCTGCCCTGCCAGCCAGGATGTCTCATCACATGGGGCCTGGTCCATGAAAGAGAAACAAACTCATTTGTTCTTAATGTTTCTTGCCACGTTGGGTCTCTGTTACAGCAGCAAAACCTTACACTAATTGATACAATGAATTGATGTAGGGGCACCAAAGCTTTTCTTATCTTAAGCATGCAAGTTACTCCCCAAAAATGGACCAGAAACATATAAACAATACTATAAACCCTAGAATTTTCTCAAAGATAAATTTACTGTCATGAATCAAACCGCAAGAACCTAAGACCATTTCTTGATCTAAAACTCTATCTTGGTTTCTGCCTAATAAACACATAATAGCTAAAATATCCACATCATTTAGGAAGTATGTTTTATTCTTATAATCTCCCCTGTGACAACTATTTTTATGTTACATTTTACTGAAAGCAGTTTATGCAATACAAAGGGCAGGTTGATTTGAGAATTTCTTCAGTTGCCATTTTTTTCTCAAAATAGCAGGCTGAATCACAAACTGAAGTTCTATTTATCTTGATGTTACCATGTAATAAATCCATTTTGTCAATGAATTTCTTTGAAATATTGTCTATTAAGAAAATAATAAAATCAATTTGTTAAAAAACATGAAGACGTACAGACGTAGAACACCAGAAGTCAAAATTATGTGACTCTTTCTGTATTCATACCCACATCTATGTGTTCTATCACAGGCATCTGTTCTCTCTGTCTCTCTCTCTCTCTATCTCTCTCAACTTTTCACAGTCTATTTAAGTTTCTCAAAATAGGGCTACAAATGGGTTTAAAGTTCCTGGAACACAAAGTGATTGAAACAGTGGGCACTTAAAATTCATGATTGCAAGGTGAACATCTGGAATGCATTCAAAAGAGGAAAAAATTATGAAATGAGAGCGTTATTAATAGCTAACATCTTGCAAGGAATGAATCAATGGACAACCTATTTCCTAGATTCTTTTTGGGGAAAAAAATATCGGAAAGAAAAATGCACCAGACTGCAGAATATAAAACTACCATGAAAGGAAATATGATCTACAGCATTACCTTTTAGAGATAAACTTTTTCACTTGTTTAAAATGCTGATAATGTCTGCATGCTATTCTTTTCTCCTACCTTATGTGTTGCTGAGAGAAGAGCTTTGTAGTTAACAAGGAGTTTTTTTCTTCACCAACAAAGTGGGATTTTCACACATGTGCTTTGCAGTAGCGAGTCTCAGCCCTGCAGTTTATTTTTGTAATAATTAATAAAATATCACACTTACTGGCTTCCTTACCCCTGCCCAGAGAATGGCTTGCTGCCACCTTCCTGGATGCTGTTGTAGGAAATGAATCAATGTTACATGAGGCTCTAGGTTGGGAAAAAAAGTATAAGAAGATTCTTATGCTCCAATTGAGTGCTTTCTGAATGACAGTTTCAATGACAGGTGACCCTCATGGATCACCAAATGTGTTGCGTGGTAGAGATGGTGAACAGTATCCATAGGTCCTGGTGTTGAAATGCTCAAAAAAATGGCGTCTATATTATTAAGAGAAAAACAGTCCTCTACTATTCTTATTTTACGTGAAAGAAAAAGGGGCACACAGGCCTGGTGAGGTGGCTCACGCCTGTAATCCCAGCCCTTTGGGAGGCTGAGGTGGGCAGATCACTTGAGGTCAGGAGTTCGAGACCAGCCTGGCCAACGTGGTGAAACCCCATCTCTACTAAAAATACAAAAATTAGAAAGGCATGGTGGCATGCGCTTGTAATCTCCCAGCTACTCTGGAGGCTGAGGCAGGAGAATCACTTGAATCTAGGAGGTGCAGGTTGTGGTGAGCCAAGATTTCACCACTGCACTCCAGCCTGGGCAACAGAGTTAGACTCTATCTTAAAAATAAATAAATAAATAAAAGTGAAGGAAAAGAAAAAGAAATAAAAAGGGACTCATTTAATTGCAATGAAGCTGGCAAATATGTCTCAAACTAAATAGAAAAAGCAAAAAATTCACTTTCGATAGTAGAAGGGTTATTCGTAGGTTTAATAAATATTTATGGAGTGCCAGCTGGGCTCCAGGCACTATTCTTGGCAATGGTGATATTGTTTTGAACCAGTCAGAAAAGCCCTACAAAAAATGAAAGAGGCAAATGCGTAGTCTGGGGAAAGAGCTCTTTGATCACATCATAGGCTCGAGTCACTTCGAGGATCACATTATTAATACCCAAGGAAACCTAAGAATGGTTTTCAAAACTTCTCACATTCTGTCTTGTAGGAATCAAATCCATCTCCTACTACTTCTGCACCATCTCCATCACCATCTCCATCATCTTCATCTTCAGCAATATAAACACTAGCAAGATTTTCTTCAAAAGGTTTTTTGAACGCTCACTATGAACTACACATGACACTCAATGATTTATGTGTTTTACTCCTTTCCTCTTCTCAACAATTGCTCGAGTTGGGTGGTATTATTACCCCCATTTTGTAAATGAGGAAACTGAGGCAGAGATATGTGAACAATACTATGAGAAAGAATATGAGTGAGAAGTCAGGATGAAAACATGAGCAACTGGACTCCTGAGCCTGTGCCATAACTACCCTTTCCCTCATTGTTACTTGACAATGCTCTAGATTGCTCTTTGTGCAACACAGCCTTCCTCAATGAGTCAGGCACTTTCATGTCCCTGCCTGGAGGCCCGTCCTATTTTCTTCACCAAAGCCTGGGAAACTTGTTCTATCAGGACACTAGAAAAAGCCTCCCACTAGAACCAAGATCAAAGAAAGCATGTATTACTCAAGACCTACACATGTCCTCTCATTGTGGAACCTGCTGATACATCATGAACCTCAAAAGGAATCCATGCGTTATCCAGTGGGTAGTCTAAATGAATGTATAGAATGTGAGTCTTGAAGGTGTCATTAAACGTAAGAGAAAGGCCAAGTGTGCTCATGCCTGTAATTCCAGCACTTTGGGAGGCTGAGGCTGGAGGATTGCTTGAGACCAGGAGTTTGAGACCAGACTGGGAAACATAGCACCCCATTTCTACAAAAAATATTTAAAAAATTAGCTGGATGTGGTGGTGCATGTCTGTAGTCCCAGCTACTGGGAAGGCAGGAGAATGGCTTGAGCCCAGGATGTTGAGACTGCAATGAGCCATGATTGCAGCACTACATTCCAGCCTGGATAAAAGAGAGAGAGAGAGAGAGAGAGAGAGAGAGAGAAGCTTTTTCTCCAAGCTTGAAGTGAGAAAAGCAAATATGCAGCTTTTTTTTTTTTTTTTTTTTACATACTTCAAGTTCTGGAATACATGTGCAGAACATGCAGGTTTGTTACATAGGTATACATGTGCCATGGTGGTTTGCTGAACCCATCAACCAGTCATCTACGTTAGGTATTTCTGCTAATGCTATCCCTCTCCTAGCCCCCCACCCTCTGACAGGCCCCAGTGTGTGATGTTCCCATCCCTGTGTCCATGTGTTCTCATTGTTCAGCTCCCACTTATGAGTGAGAACATGCGGTGTTTGGTTTTCTGTTCCTGTGTTAGTTTGCTGAGAATGATGTTTCCAGTTTCACCCATGTCCCTGCAAAGGACATGAACTCATCCTTTTTTTTATGGCCAAATGTGCAGCTTTTTATTTGTGTTAACTTAAAATTCAATAAACATTTGCCCAGTCCAGTGCTGCCTGGAAGTGAAGCTATCATATGCCTCTTCCAGTAGCTTCCAATTTTGAAGACAGAAGACATACTACAATAAAAACAGGACCTCTACAATCTTTCATTTAAAAATCTCTTTCTTAATGCTTTCATAAGCATCATTTTGTATAGAATTCAAGCAGTCTAGGAGATAGGAAAGACAGCAATTATTATCACCACTTGACATGTGGGGAAATTGAGGAAAGAGAATGTGAATCCTTAAAGAGCACGCTAGCATTTAGGTTCCCGACTCATGGTTGATTGGAGTCCTTGCTCTATAGGAAAATCTCCTAAGTGGAACATGCCGCCAAGGCATGTGCCTCAGCCATACTTCTAAAGCAACCAACACTTCAGCTCCAGGTCCAGCTTGAACAAAGGGGTCCACAGTAGCACTTCATTGGCACCATACTCTGTGCCACTTTAAAGCCGGGAATAAAACAAGTCCCAGCAATAGTGGCTCTGCCATATGCTACCACACTGCTGTGCTGCCTTAAGACACTGCACAGGTTTTGGCTGCTCAAGCAGCTAGACTTTTATCATTGGTTCACATTAATGTACTTGGCAATCACACAGAAGGGCTTTTAAATCTAATGGCTCAGACAATAACAAAGCAAAATTACACGAGCATTTTCAAAATGTTGGGGCTGTGACTCTTTTAGGTATGTCATGCTGACTTATCCCTGGGACTTGCTGGAGTTGTAGTACATTACACAGACTTTGAGTCTCTTCCTATTTGCCCAAGTATGGCACTAGGGGTTGATAAATTGATAATGTAGGCAGTGTGAGGTTTTTCAAAAATGTGAATCTGTGCCATCCTCTGTGTGTGTATGTGTGTGTGTGTGTGCACACTGTGTGAATCTGTGTCCATGTGCTCAAACCTGTACAAGTGTCTGTGGCCAAAACTGCAATGAGATAGATCACCTGAACGTAAATACTCAGGTTCAACAGGACTAAACTTCAGCTGTGACTCCTTTCAGAGCCTCTTTTGTGCTCTACTTTCTTCTTGAAATCTAAAGCTTCTCTAGTTCTCCATTGGTAGCTGTGAAGAAATGTTTTCCCTAGATTAAAAATTGTGTTTAGATTTTCAGCAACTAAGTTTGTAAAGTAAATAAAGACCTTCTTTCACCAATTTAAAGTGTACAAAATTATTATTTTCAATAAAAGTATAAAATATCTATAATATATGGAATTAATAAAATACATTCAAGGTTCTTCATATTTATCAAGGCACTTTTTTTTTTCCTTCAATTACTTGCACAATCCATTTCCAGGTGATACCATTGTTGGTCCTCTTATCAGTGTCAATAATTCCATTTGGCAGCCAGCAGCTAATTCTTTTCATGTGCTAATGATTAATCAGACAAGCCTATTTACTAATGTATCAGAATGCATTAGAAACATAAGGTAATGGCGGACAGAACATCAATTCAAATATAAATGAACTACATTTACATTGGATACCTATTGACTTATGTCACAGAATGAAGTAGAAAATACAATTTACTTGTAAACCATTAAAATGAATGAAAATAGAATTTCAAACTCCATCTTCAAACATAACTTTATTGGCTTGGCCGTGAGCCTTAAGGGAGTGCCTAACTAAGTTTAAAATATATAAATAACACACTAATTCATTTTGCCATAAAAGAGTTAGTGTCTCACCAACTGAACACCATGGAATTTACTTAAGTTGGAACTAGTACAAAATAAAAAGAGGTCACAGGGTATAATGTGAGGACATGTTAGCATTCTCACATTGGGGTTTTCTGATTTTAGCTCTCCTCTAACCTATTTTTGTCCAAAATCTTCCATCTTTGCTTGTCCCAAGGGCACTGGCCCATATTTTACCAATCAAAAATTTGAAATTAAAATCCTTGTGAGAGTGAGGGTGGGTTAAGTCAGATCAAATTATAATAGTAATCATAATATAGACTAAAGTACTGGAAACCAAGCTCTATAGGCATCTACATTGGACTTTCACTGGATGAAAGGGATATTTTAAGATATTCAGAGAAACATTACAAGCAATTAGATAAACACTGGAAAGTGAATAGATTTGACACACTTAGTATGGAAAGTTTCTGTGACACTAATAGGATTTTTTTTAACTGAAGTCCAGATGTCTAGCATGAGATGGAGATAGACAAGACTTCTTGTGTTAGATTTTCTCAAGTGCATAAGAACTGCACAAACATTAAGAACTTAGAGGTAATCAAAGAAATATCCTTAAATTCCAAGCTCCTGTTTGGTTTGTATCTGTGACAGCTCAGATTATCACCACTTGACATGTGGGGAAACTGAGGAAAGATAATGTGAATCCTTAGAGAACACGGTAACATTCAGATTCCTGACATTAGCCAAATGACTAAAAACTACCTTCAAATTAGAGATGTAGGCAATTGTTGCAGTTTTGAAAAGACAGTTTTGGGAGAGTCCAAAGGAGATGTAGGACAGTATTTAAAAATGTACCCACCTGACTTTCCCTTTCTTTTTTTTTTTTTTTTTTTTTTTTGAGACGGAGTCTCGCTCTGTTGCCCAGGCTGGAGTGCAGTGGCGCGATCTCTGCTCGCTGCAAGCTCCGCCCCCCGGGTTCATGCCGTTCTCTTGCCTCAGCCTCCCGAGTAGCTGGGACTACAGGCTCCCGCCACCACGCCCGGCTGGACTTTCCCTTTCTTTTAGACCTCTTCTTCCCATGCTAAACTGAAAGATGCGAATAAAATGAAATGTGTACCCAGAGCAGTGTTTTCAAAAGCATATTCCCTAGCTGGACATGGTGGCACACACCTGCAGTCTCAGCTACTCAGGAGACTGACGTGGGAGGATCACCTGAGCCTGGGAGGTCAAGGCTGCAGTGAGCCATGATTGCACCACTGAACTCCAGCCTGGATGACAGAGTGAGACCCTGCCAACAAAACAAAAGAAAACAAAACAAAGCAAAAACCTTATTCCGAAAAAGGTAGTTGAGAGAGAGGTGGTTTGTCAATAAAGATTTTTATAATCAATTATGTTTAGGAAATGCAACATTAGCTTCACTCTCCAACCCCTTGGAAATTCACAGGGCACCTTAGCATATTCACAACTCTGAAAAGTCCTTCAGTAAAGAAATCTTTATAAATTTGTTCCACCAGCACGTCTCGAGCTTTACTAAACAGAGTAATATTTCCTTCCCATATTCATGGATTTAGTGTTTCATGGAGCATAGGTGTAGAAACACTAATGATGATTTAACATACTGGGAAAATTAAATAAAATTTGTGGAGCCAAGCAAATCTATTTCTTATCCTACAGAAAAATGGAGGCTGGGTGCTGTGGCTCACACCTGTAATTCCAGCACTTTGGGAGGCCGATGCCGGCGGATCATATGAGGTCAGGAGTTCAAGACCAACCTGGCCAACATGGTGAAACCCTGTCTTTACAAAAATACAAAAATTAACTGGGCATGATGGTGGGTGCCTGTAATTCCAGCTACTTCAGCTACTTGGGAGACTGAGGCAGGAGAATCACTTGAAATCAGGAAGCAGAAGTTACAATGAGCAGAGATCGTACCATTGCACTCTAGCCTGAGATGTCATCTCAAAAAAAAGAAAAGAAAAAAGAAAAATGGAAATCATTTTTTAATGCTAGTAGATTTAAAGAGAGAAGGGATACTGCTTTAGCACTTTGCCAAAGAAACTCTTGTCAGTTTCAGCAGAAGAAAGTTTTTGCAGCTCTCCCTCTAGACTTATTTGAGACCAGAAAAATTCGACTTCATTATTTCTCCATAACCGGAACACTTGTTCACACCAACGCCCCCCCGCCCAACTCCACCCCACCGCAAATTATATGTATTTGACATCCAGAGCATGTCTCATTGCACTGCCCTCTTTTCTGGTGTTTGGATTCTGTTTCATAAAACATACCAAATACATTTTGCATTGAGGGACACACGCAAGAATAGGCACAGCTCTAGGTGCCCCAGGAAACCACAATCTCCAACACGAATTACCCCACTCAGAAGGATATTGCATAGGTATTACTGCAGTTACCAAGGGAAGAATTAATAGCAGCTTTGTCTGTGCCCAAAGAAGCACATAAAAGCCTCTCCAGTTTATTCCCAACATCTAATCCATCAGGAAACTGTCAGAAAGATAAATTGGAGCTAAGCCGACTTCTGTTAATAATGTAACAATTTTGAAAGTGCAGCTTTAATCAACGGGAAAATTTTCCAGAATTTGACAACCTTTTCCATTCCCTCTAGTATAGGCTCCATCTTTTTTTTTTTTTCAAAACTGTCTAATGCTGTTTCTTAGGTGGTGTTCAATAGAAACCAGTCTATAGTGCAATGCACTCTCTTTATGTGATGTTTAGATATGAGATTGATCTCCGTGGACACCCTGGCATTCTGAAAGTAGGATTATTGGATTTTGTGGCTTTCTCAGATGTTGAAGATCTTTAAACAGTGTCTTGCAAAGTTGTTACATCTTGCCTGTGTGTGAAACACTTATGAACTCATCAAAGAAGGTAGTCTCCATGTTAATTAGACACGGTTTGCAAAGGGGAGCTGGGAGTCGACAGCCCCTTACCGTGGAGTTAAGTGCCTGGACCCAGTTCATTTTCATACCTTGAAAAGAAAAATGAGTTCACCCATCTCCAGATCAATAGGGCCTGAACAAGAACATTGCTGACAGAGGGTTGAATTCAGATTTCAGAATAGCAGAGAGGACAAAAGATGTGGTTGTTACAGCAGAAGTTTGGCCACCACATTACTCCAAGATGTCTCAAGATTTTAAAATCTTTAGGCTTTGGCTGAATCAGAGAGAAGCAGTAAAATGACAGGTTGGCTTCATGGATTGTGAATCACACTTAAGGAAAACAGGGTAATTAGGACACGGTGTATTTCCTCTAGCTTTAAAGGTGCCTCACATAGCCACCGTGAAAGTAACCCTACTGTAGCTACTGTGGCTCACTCCTTCCTTTGGTCACCCTTATAAGCACTAGACAGTGTCAGGTATCTGCCATGTGAGCAGAATGGATATTACTCCATAGAAAACGCAGCCATTCTTATAGCACAACCACCTGGAAACTGACGCTCCACAAACCAGACTATAGCTTTTGCCACTACCATCAAATAGTGGCTCTCCTTTTCAGATTTGCAGCCAATGGATAATATATCAACCAGTCCTTAAATGCATACATGAATAAGAATGAAGAAGTTTTTTCATTTTGAATTTTCTTTTCTTTTTTTTCATTACTCTCAGCATTTGTAATCACACGTTTACATGCAAATATAGTAAAAAGTTGTATCTGACGTGGCACAAAACTTCATGGCCTTATTTCCCATTACATATATATCGCACAGGTTTATTGACCATTTTCTTGGCTCTGAGGATAGGTGAGATCTTTGAGATGGTTTAACTGATCCTAGCCATGTATTGATGCTGGAGGGGTTTCTTTAAAACACCACCACACTCTCTGGATGCACAGGGCACATGCCTTCTGCCTCAGGTGTACTCAAGTGTCCAATGACATTGAAATGGTGGATGTCCACATGGGATGGGTTGGATGAGATCAGTCATGGGGCACAGATGACTATAGCTCTTGCTAGCCTGTCAGTCAGCAACATGCTGGCTCTGTCAAAGGGATTCATCCACTGAGAAGGCAGCCACTGATGATATCAGGGAGGAGATCTTATGCCCAACTCAGCAGTGGCTGGGCACTCTGCAGATAGGAAGACATCTCATCTGTCCTCCAAATGTAAACCACAGACAAGGGCTCCTTGAGATGCAGTGCCTGGGGAGCCTCCGGATGGCACTCTGCTCTGTTCTACTTAATCACCAGCTCAACAACCTCTCTCCTTCCTTACTTCCCTGTTGTATTAGTCCTTTCTCATAGTGCTATAAAGAACTACCTGAGACTGGGTAATTTATGAAGAAAAGAGGTTTAATTGACTCACAGTTCTGCAGGCTATATAGCAAGCATGGCTGGGAAGCCTCAGGAAACTTACAATCACAGTGGAAGGGTGAAGGGGAGGCAAACACGTCTTCACATGGTGGCAGGAGAGAGAGTGAAAGGGAAGGTGCTACACACTTTCAAACAACCAGATCTCATGAGAACTCACTCATTATCACAAGAACAGCAAGGGGGAAATCCACCCCCATGATCCAATCACTCCCCACCAGGTCCCTCCCCTAACATTAGGAATTACAATTCGACATGGGATTGGGGGGGTGGGGACACAGAGCCAAGCCATAGCACCCATCAACCTTCCCTTCCCAAAGTCCAGGGTCTTCTTCTATTCTTGAGGGTGGGAAAATTTACATATTAGGCTCTTCCAGATTTCTGCCCAAATCTACGCTCATGAATCTTCCCTTGTCCTGCATCTCAGACTTTAGAAACTCAAGAACCATACAGGACTCCTCTTTTCTCTCTACGTTGTGATTGGATCATCTTTTCCTCAAGCAGTGAACACACCGTGCCTTGATGACTGAATAGGAGAAGGGCCAGGAAAGAAAAGAAAATGTCCCATGTGTCCTCAAACACATTCCTTTCAACCTTTAAAATGTCATGGCATTCCATAAAATGCATGAGGACTTCTAGGGACTGTGGCTCTTGATCATGCTTCAAATGTCAGGAATAGAGTCTCAAGACAATGCTTCTTTAGCTAGTAGATGGAAAATACAACTGGGCCATTAAGGCTTCTGTGGGTGAGATGGTATTTTGGGACACCAAAATTGGAGGAACAAAGGAATAAGAAGCTATAAGAGGTGGTGCTGAACCTCATCCTCATCACACACACACACACGCAGACACACACACAACATGTGAGCTTCATCTCAAAATATAATTGTCTATACATGATTGTACACAAACCATCATGATTTGTTTCTAGGTAAGAGAAAAGATCAATAGTTCTGTGTCACAATGTGAAAAATAGTTGGTTTAGGATGAAAAGTCCTGCAAACAAGATTTACTTATCCTTTAGAAAATGTATGAGCTTGGGCAAATCCTCTATTATTTCTGAACCTTAGTTTTCTCATCTGTTAAACAGAGATAATAATCTGTCTTTCCCACTGGTCTTGCAGAGCTGAGAACTTTACATGAGCTCAAGAACACAGAAGTGTTTTTAAGGCTGGAACGTGTCATCCCCTCTCCAAGGCTCTGACTTGGGAGGAACTATTAAAGTAATCACCAAGTTTGGGGAAAGAGAAGGGGAGAGAAAGGGAATTGATCCATGTGTGTGTGAATGAAAAGGAATACTTGTAGCTCATTCCCCCAACCTGGTCTTCCCCTGATGGACCCTCATCTCCCAGCCAATCTCCACACTTACAGGAATCCAGCTCTGAGTTAGGGGAGTGGGGAAAGGGCAGTGCTCCCTCAAAGCCCACCCAGAATCCACTTCCTAGAAGGAAATTTAAAAATAAGTTTAAATCTGCTCCCTGGGTGTTTTTTGGCACCATCTGGTTCTTAGTGGGTAGAATTTAGACTGAGTTAGGTAGTCAATGTCTCAATCTTCTGTGCATGTCATAGAGCAGTGCTTTTTAACTGTGGTCCACAGACTGCCTGCAGAAGCATTAGTGCAGTTGTTAAAAATGCAGTGTCCTTGGCTCCACACAAATTGTGGAATTAGGTGACAAGTTTGTGGCCCAGAAATCAGCCTTTAAGTGATTATAACACTAAAATGAAGAGAAACTAAATATGAGTCTGGATAATCATACTGATACTCATAATGACTCAAATTAATTAAAATTCTCTTTATGTGTGGGATACTATCTTAAGCGTTTTGTGTGCATTAATGTATTCACACCCATAATTGTGCTATGAAGTGAGGATTGTTACTATCTCCAATTTACAGATGGAAAAATGGAGC
The DNA here is from genome assembly GCF_000001405.40 of Homo sapiens. Taxonomy (NCBI): domain Eukaryota; kingdom Metazoa; phylum Chordata; class Mammalia; order Primates; family Hominidae; genus Homo; species Homo sapiens. Next base: position 51,931,485 of record NC_000016.10, read on the forward strand.
TCACGGAGGCAGGTGACTTCCCAAAGGTCATGCAGGGAGTAAGTGCCATAGCTGAGGTTTGCACCCAGATCCTGGGCTTTCCAGTTCACTTACACCCAATCACACCTACAGACAACATACAACAGAAAATACATGAATGTACGATGTTCCTCTCCCCAAGCAGGATAGATTCCCCGGATTATGCTGTGGCAAAACCAGCAGCTCCCAGAGTGAAGATTGCTCTTCGTGCCCAAACAGTCTCCAGATCCAGGCAGCCCCTCTCTCTTTTATTTCATTATATTTTGCTTCTAGAGATGCATTTGTGATGTTTAATTTATACTCCCTGATCTTAAAGTGATTGCATCACTAAAAAGGCTGTGATGTTGATTTATACGATAGTTGCCTGTGTCTGTTAATTAGAGAAATGTCATTTGGCTTCCTACAGAAGAAAAACAATAAATTATAGAGGAGGAGGGAGGGGCAACCATCCCCCAAACCTATGCCGGTTACTCCTCTTGAATCATATTTATGATCTTAACCGATTTTATTCCATTTACACCAATAATCTTCAGGAAAAAACTGTAACTTGGGCTGAGGGGGAAATAATAATAGAAAAAAAAGGTGGGAATATAAATGTAGAAATAATCTCTATTTGCATATTGGTGCATATGAACACTAGGACACAAAACTGTGATGCAGAAGTATAAGTCAGCTCATGCCAAGTGTTTTTCCTAAGACGCCACCCTTCCACCCCATCTCCAACCTGAACACCACTGTCTCCAGGGCAGGATGCTCTCTAGCAAAGCCAACAAATAAACAACTTTCAAGTTGACAGGACTTAGTTGCCTCTTATGATCAGTGACCTTATATTTCCTGTGCAGTGACCTAATATTTCTGTGTACCTGAACAAGGGCTGCCTTTTTATCCAACAACTGTTATTGACTTCATAAGCGAGATGAAGGGGAGTACAAAGAAATATATTTGTATTCATTAATTAATTTACTTAATCATTCACACATTCAATAAACATTAACACATGCCTACTCCATTGCAGGTCATGAGAACATGCTGGGCACACAGAGGTCAGCACAAATTATCACAATTCCAGACCTCACGGAGTTTACTCTCTAATGGGGGTAGTGACATATATCAACAAATCACTAAGTAATTGCAACTATGCTCTATGCCACAAAGGAGAGGGAGAAGGGATCATGAAAAACTTCCATGAAGAAATATTTGAGTTAAATCTTAAGGCTGAAATTTGGCTAAGACAGAGGGAAAAGCATTTCAAAAAGAAGGAACAGCATATGCAAAAGCTAGTGAAGTGAAGGAGCAGAGTGAACTCAAAAGACTAAAAGATGTCCAATGTCACCACAGTGGACAGTCCAGAGGGGCGCATAGTGGGAGATGGGGCTGCAGAGGCTGAAGCCAGACCACACAAGGTCCACAGGCCCTGGTACAGAGGTGATTTTTATTCCAAGAGCAGTGGGAAGCCACTTTAGAGCTTTAAACTCAGGCAGGGGATATATGATCAGATTTCCATTTTGAGAAGGTCATTGTTTATGCCTTGAAAAGACTTAGAGTTTTCTGTGATCAAAAAGGCTACAAAATGTGGACTAGGTAGGCAGCTCCCATGTGGAGGTGGGACATTATGGAATGTGATGGCACATGGCTAAACCAGGGCTCTGACATTTCTTGTAGGGAGGAAACCGTCTTCTTCCCAGCCCATCCATCCCTGGATCATCCATCCACTGGTACCCATGAATATCCATGCCTGGAAACTATTGTCTTGCGACTGTCAGAAGTGGTGGTAGAAAAGGGAGGAAGATAGATGGAAGGGATGACATAGCATCTGCTCTCTGCTTAGCTCCTTCACCTAGATTTGAGCCCATGTTATTATAGTGATGAGAACTAGAAGGGGACAGAGAAGAGGCTTGTGAAACCTGCTCCTTCTGATCCTTTCCTCACAAAAGCTTCATGGACCACTGTTTATTTCCACCACGAAATAACCCAATGCATGTATTCACTTCTTTATTTGCCTTCCACTAGAATGAGACCAGATGTCTTTCCTTTGTTCTACTTATCTTTGTAACATAGCATAGTCCTTTCCACGTAGTAGCATTTGTGCCATGGATAAATGGTGAACAAGTGAGTTATGGCTTTAGCAGCATTAGGAGACATTAACTTTTCTGAGAATATGCAAAACCATGCTAAAAGAAAAGTATAAAGAAGTTAGGAAGGCCAGGCACAATGGCCCACGTCCGTAATCCCAGCACTTTGGGAGGCTGATGTGGGAGGATCACTTGAGCCCAGGAGTTTGAGACCAGTCTAGGAAACATGGTGAAACCCCATCTCTACAAAAAAAATGCAAAAATTAGCCAGGCGTGGTGGTGTACGCCTGTAGTCCCAGCCACTTGGGAGACTGAGATGGGAAGATCACTTGAGCCCAGAAGGCAGAGGCTGCAGTGAGCCAAGATCGTGCCACTGGGCTCCCACCTCGGTGACAGAGCAAGATCCTGTCTCAAAAAGTAGAAGCTAGATTAAGGAAGATAAACAGTGAGGGCTGCTTTTATTCTAGGGTTGTCAGGGAAGCTCTTTTGATGGCATTTGAGTACAGACCTGAAGAGAGTGAGATGTGCCATAAAGATATCTGGGGACAGAGCATCCCAGGCAGAGGAAGGGGCAAGGACAAAAATGACAAAGAATTGCTAGAATTTAGGAATGAGTCATGGTTGACTGCCAGTTTGTCTTGCCTGAGAATTTGGAAGAATGAGATTGTCATTCTCTGAGGTGAAGACTCTGGGCACTGAGTTAGGCAGGATCTCCCTGGGCACCATCAGCAGGAGTCACTGCAGGACACCCTCAAGTGGCCTCACAGATAAGATTTCAGGAAAGGGAAGCCAGAGATAGAGAGGGAGAGAGAGAGAGAGAGAAATGGCAAATGTCAGGTAGGACTGTCACTAACAGAGTGAGTGTTATCAAGGGTCATGGGCCGTGCCTCTCCTGGGGGGAATGGGGGAAGCCTGTTGTGTAAGGAGGAAGACATTGGGATAAAACCATCTATAAACCAAGCAGAGAGGCCTCAGAGGAAACCAATCCTGCCGACACCTTGATCTTGAACTTCTAGCCTGCAGAACTGTGAGAAAATGAATTTCTATTGCTTAAGCCACCCAGTCTGTGGTACTTTGTTATGGCAGCCCTAGTGAACTGCCACCCTTACGCCCTAAGATGCCTGAGAGTGAGGTGATTGCAGAAGTTTTGTTTGCTAATGTTATGTAATATTGTGACTGTCTTGGTATCCTCTTATCAGGGGCTGAAATCCACTCGACTTCTAAGGACTTCTAAGGACCACTTTTTCCAGAAAGATTCTCCAATCTCATTTCTCTTCTTTCTTTATCTCCTTTGAATGCCCATGAAGCCTACTCTGCAATGATTCTAGATCAGAGATGCACATAAAAATGACTTCGTTAAATTGTACTCAGCAAATATTCCTGTGCTGCTTCTGCCTCCGAGCTCCTGAATTAGAAACTCAGAAACCGTAGGTGGGAAAAGATACATTCAAGAAAAAGATGGAATATAACTGGCGTAACCACAGGTAAGCAAGTAGCCCATGTGGCACTTATTTTGAAACATAGAACTAGGACTTAATGTGGAACAGTTTTATACTGTGCACTCTTTCACTCCATGAATTCAATCTGAATTTCTCCAGTCTTAAGATACATGAGAACCCTTTGCTCTGCTTCTGTTGACTAGTGCCTGGTGCTTTGTATGCAGTAGATAATTAATAATTATGTAATCATTGCTGAAACACATAAAATACTGTATGCTATTATATCAGAACCTGGAAGCTTGTTCTCTGACATTTTATAGGACATTTTTGCATCTGATTATTTTAGAAAATTGCACTATATTGTTTGTTAAATTGAACATAATGGAAGCATTGGAAGTTCCAGTAGATTGTTCTCTGGGTGGCTTCCAGTGAACCCAGCCTCCTGGTATTAATACCATGGGGTAGCCTCTTCCCAGGATGACCCCAGCTTGGTCATGTAACCAGCTTTTGTCAGTGGGACAATAACAAGTGCCATGCAAACAGAGTTTTGTAAGCTCGGGGAGCACCATAGGATCATGTGGGTCACAGATACGATTTTCAAATTTTTAGCAGCCATGTTGGAAAAATAAGCCAATAAGGTTAATAGTATGCTTTATTTAACAAAAACAATTATTTCAAAATGTAATCAAGATTTTTTTAAAAAGTGCTAGTGGTATTGTACCCGTTAATTCTTCAGACTGTGTTTTTAAACTCAGGTGTGCGTTTTGCAGGTAAGTGACATCTCAATTCAGACCAACCACATTCCGAGTGCTCTATTGTCATGTGTAGTTAGTGGCTAGTGTCTGGGGCAGTGCAGGCTTAAACTTGGGTCTTGTCTTCCTGGAACTCTTCTTTTTAAGATTCTCCCCTTGGCAACCTACCTGCCGTGCTGTGAGAAGCCCAGCTCAGCCATGTGAAGAGGCCCCATGAAGGAGAAACAAGACATGGCCACTAGCCCTAGCCGAGCTCCTTGCTGGTAGCCAGCATGCCAACCTCCCATCCATATGAGTAAGTCATCTTGGAAGTGGATTCTCCAGCCACATTAGAGTCATCCCAGCTGATGCCATATGGGCCAGAGATGAGCTCTGCCTAAATTGGAGAATTTTGAGCAAATAGTTGTAGCTGTTTTAAGCCATCAAATATGTGATGATTTGTTAAGTAGCAATAGATAATGAAAATGGGAGTTATCAAGGATACCAGCCAATGGAGCATTAATGATTTTCTTTTCTCCTTCAAGCATTCATTCATTTTTATCTTGCCTATCCAGCATGCTCAACCTGAGTTGAAGTAAGACAGAAAAGGAGCAAAAGTCTAGTTGACCATCTGTTAGGAATTTACAGGTGAACTCAGCAGGCACTACACTTTGGGGATGGAGAATTAGCTCAGGCTCACAGATGCTGAGTTCTAATCCTGGCATCGCCACTGACTTGCAATATGATTTTAACCAACTCAGTTCCTCTCTCTGACCAATTTTATTGCTATATCCTTTCTAATAAATATAATATAAGGGTTAAAGGAGGTTATAGATGTGAAAGAAGGGAAAGAAAAAACAATCAAAACTAATAGAGGATGTCCTGGCCTTTTTGCATCTTTGTATGTTCGGGGATTCAACAAATGATGCTAAATAACCAAACAAATGAATGAAGAAAGTATCATACCACAAGAAAGAAAATTGTGGTTAGACATAAGGATTTCTGCTGGGTAGATAGTGGAAAGAGTTACAACATTGATGAGGAGAAGGTGGAAGAGGTGGATGAAGATAGCTGGTATTCTGTGAGCTCCCACCATGTCCCTAGGAGCATACAAAATCGTGAGTGTATTTTTATGTATATTCATTCATACTATTATTGAAGCAATGCAACATGCCTCTGAAGTAGGCACAGTTAGGCTAGGTCCCTTGACAAAGAGACTGAAAACCAAGTCAGATAGAAGACCTAGTGTTCGATCGATCAGTAGGGTGACTAACATTTACGTCATCTATGTACATTTCAAAATAGCTAGAAGGGAATAATTTGAATGTTTCTAGCACAAAGAAAAGACAAATATTTAAGGTGATGAATATCCAATTACACCGATTTGATCTTTATAAGTTATATGAATGTATTAAATTATCACATGTACCCTGAAAATAGATACATCTATTATGTATCAATAAGACATGTTAAATAAAGAAAGAAACAATTTCATGAGTCATCATCAAAGGGAAAAATTATTATCTAGGTTTATTCAAGCTCAAAAAAAGGAGAGAGAAACTCAGGAGTAGAAAAGTGATGAGGCCGCCGGCTGCTGTTAGAGAGGCTCCATTCAGTATCTAAGTGAAAAGAAAATGGGCAAAGGGAAAGATGGAAACAGGAAACAGAGTAAGAGTCTTGCATAATGTCTTGAGGAGGAGAAGAGGGAAGAGTAGAAGGAATGATGGGAAAAGGGAGGGGACAAGAAAAGGGAAAAAGAAAGTGAAAGGGAAGGAGAAATCATAAAAGTATTGATGGATCTAGCACTAATAGCACCAAGCATCACTAGCAAAGCCAGCTTCACGGGGGTGTGGCCGATGCATATGGCCCTGTGTTTAGAAGAGATCCATGTTTAGTTTCATGCCCTGCTGTTACCATCTTGAAAATCTTAATTTTTGATCAAGAGGTCCCACATTTTCATTTTGCACTGGGCCCACAAATTCTTACATACGGTCCTAGTACCACAGTATTCATGCATTGAGCTTTTATTATGAAGCACTGTGGAGATCATTATGCACACATAACTTCATTTCCATGAGACTATGAATGAACCCCCGTGCTGTGAGCACAGACAGGAAGGACCCACGAGGTGATGGTGAGAAAGTCAGTGGACGTCAGTGGCTGAGAGGCTGTGAGGACAGAGGGAAAGAATAACAGGCAATCCCTGCTTGGTGGTTTGGTTCTCTCTTCCCCAGGGAGCTGCCCAGTGACCACAAAGAGAAAGACATGTTCTCGTCTACAGTGGTCAGGTTAGAGAAGGCGCCCTTAGCAGCAGACCTTGTGTCTCAAAGGCCATAACACGAGCTGACAATTCTTTGTTACTAGATTTTGCCCCTGCCCTACTAAGCCTGTTATTTAATATACAGAAAATACTAGGGCATCATTCATTCACCCATTCATTTATTCCTTTTACATTTTATGAACACTCAGGAAATGCCAGATGTCATGCTGATCTTAAGAAAGAAGGAAAAATAAGTAAGTTCATGCCTTCCTTCAGGAAGCCTCCATTTCATGACCTCAAAAGTATAAGATGCATCAGAAAATATAATGCAAGACAGAAAGTGTTAAGTGCTGGGACCTTGGAGGAGTTATCATAAGGACAAAGAGGCCCTGTGAATTGGCCCTGAATGGTAAGTGAGTGGTGGAAAATTGGGGCTTGACGTCTGACCTCAGTCTCTTTACTTACCCTGCAAGAATCTCTGCTTCTAGGGCATCTAAAAAAATAGTCTCCCTTGATAGCAGAATGAGTCCCCTTATTCTTTGCCACCTGCAAGTGCCGAATTTCGGCATCTTTTCCCCAAACCTCTAGACACACTGCATGGGAACCTCAGCTGAGCAAACACACACACACACCACACACACACACACACACACACATACATAGGCACACACAGGCTCTCCGCTGTTCAGTAGATGTGGGGATAGGATGTGGCATGAAATGAGAATGAAGTGTAAATTCCCACACGGTTGGAAGGAATCTCATACCATAAAACCCAAGCACAACATAATCAATATGGCGGCCCTCCACCTCACCATTCTAGAACCAGTTGAATCAGGAACAGGTTAAGTCCCTTGTTTAAAAAGAAAAAAAAAAATCAAGTCAAAACAAAACAGACCATTTCATCCTTCAAGCAGCATTCCCAGAAGTTGTGGTAAGAGACTTCATGAAAGTGCCGGCCACTCCACCTTCTACCTTCCCCACTCCCTAAGCTTTCATAAACACTTGCCATTTCATAAAAGTTACAGTTTTACACATGATTTCTAAGCTGCCAACAATGTACAGTGTGCACCGCCCCGCCTGTTCCAACATGTTTTATAAACATAACAAGCTGTAGCAGCCACCCCAGATGTTTTCACAACTTATTTTTTTCATAATTTAAAATCTGTTTGACCTGATGTTTTTTGCTCTGTGTGCATTTCAACTGTAAAAAAGGAAACTGAAATATTATTCATGTGGTGTTATGCTGTTACACCTAATTTCTTCTCAAGTTCACACTAAACTGAAATGTCTCTAGGAACCTTAAAAAAGGCAACAGCCGAGAAAGTGAGGAAATATGTCAAGCACTTGTAAATAAACAGCTGGCTCCCAACATATGGATTTTCTTCTATATTTTTCAGGTGCCACAATCTCCCATCCGTATCTGCCAGCCCTGCAGCATGCGGCATAATTCAACTGTAATTGATAATGTAAAGGCAGATGGAGAGGACTGTCAGCTCCTCCCTTGGATCTCTGGGGACGCTGCAGAAATCAAAGCAGATGGCCCAATTGCATCTTCTTTATGTGTTGCTGCAAGCTTCTCTGTCTGCAAGATAATGGATCATTACGGCCTGCTGTGTACAAACACCAATATGCTTTTAAATCTGGTTCTCAAGCTTATGAAAAAGCACTATATTTCATATTAATTTGTGAAGCTGCACTTAACAAGGTCCACTGTTGTTAATTTACGATTTGGAAGGGTGGGAGGGAGAAGTTCCCATGGAGAGCTCTCCTCTGCCTTCTCCCCTCCCCCATCTTGGCTCTCTCTGCCTCCCCCGGCCCTGCCTCCCATCCGGCAAGAGGTGGTCAGCTGAAGAGAACACAATATCCAGATCTGCTGCTCTGATATTCAATTGACGCATTGGATTCCGACAGTCAGAGGTTTGCTGAACATGCCACTGGGGAAGAGGTTGGGTTTTAATCCCCCAACAGTGGCATGGATACTGGAAAGGAGAAAGTCTCAGAATCATTCTTTCTGCACTCTCTTGCCTCCTCCTCCTGCCTCTCCAGTGAGGAAAAAGAAGGCAAGGGAAGTAGGAAACTCAGTGTCCTACCTGCTCTATCACAACGTTTACGGGGAAGGGTTCATGGCAAAATTGCAAAATCGAAAAGATTTTCAGTGGTACATACACATCCACATTCAAGAGACCTTCTCCTTTCTCCCTTGACAAGTATTTTAAGCCCTCACTGTGTACCAAAAAATATTCTGAGTTCAGAGGACACCAAGGGGAATAATATGAAATGAATACCCCTAGCTCTAGCAGCTTGTGACTGTAGCTATCTCAACTGAAAACTTGTAAAGAATGTGAAAGAGGTGCTTGATTGTGCTGGTCCCAGGCTGCTGTAGGAACATAGAGGCAGAACAAATAAATCCTGCTCAGAACCTTGAAAGTGTGACCTACGGGGTGGGTAGGACTTGGGCCAGGTAACAAGATATACAGAAGATATTGAGGTGTAGTAGATTTTACACTGCATGATGGAGAACTTTTGAGAAATCTTGATTTGTAATGTGAAAGAATTGCATTCTTCCATTCTTGGCTCAGAGCCTACCTTGCTCTCCTTTGTCCTATTCCAACAGAGCTTTAAAGCCAGTTGCTCATGAGATGCCAGTAACTAAAGGCTTAAAGAAGGGGCACAGTGGCTCACACCTGTAATCCCAACACTTTGGGAGGCTGAGTCAGGAAGACCGCTTGAGCTCAGGCATTCCAGACCAGCCTGAGCAATGTGAGGAGACCCCGTCTCTACAAAAAATAAAAAACTTAGCCAAGGGCAATGGTGTGTGCCCATAGTCCCAGCTACTTGTGAGGCTGAGGTGAGAGGATCACTTGAGCCCAGGAAGTTGAGGCTGCAGTGAGCTGTGATTGCACTTCAGTCTGGGAGAGAGAGAAAGACGTTGTCTCCCCTGAAAAAGGGGAGGGGGTTGCAACTCGAATGCCTACAAAGATCCAGCATATAAAATTGGGTGTAGCTGGCCAGCTGTGCCATAAAAAGGGATGAGTTGGGAGTCAGGGAACTGGAGAGGCAGGCTGTGTAGACCAAAGGAAACCCCTCTGCTGGCAAGAATAGTGGAGGCCACCAGGTTGTAGTTCTTGCCTTTGGTTACTAAAACTAACTAGTAGTGAGGGATGGGGAGAGAAAGAGAGGTTAGTTAATGGATACAACAATACAGTTAACTAGAAGGAATAAGATCTAGTCTTCGATAGCACCATAGGGTGACTATAATTAACAATAATGTATCGTATATTTCAAAATAGACAGAAGAATATATTTGGAATGTTCTCAATACAAAGAAATGATAAATGTTTGAGGTGATGGATGTCACAATTATGCAGATTTGATTATTGTACTTTGCATGCTTGTGTCAGAATATCACACACACCCCATAGATATGCACAACTACTATGTGCATGAAAAATAAATGAAAAATAAAATTATCTAAATAATAAAAGCTAGAAAAGCCTAAGTACTTCATATACATCACTTAGTTTTGTTTTTTTTTCTCATGCAGCAACCCAAAGTACCCCCAAACCATAGAACAGTGCTATTGGCTTGCACAGCTCCCTATAGATCTGCCCCCTTCAGGCAACTATGAGCTAGGGGAGAAACAGGAGCAACAGAGCAAGTGGATGCTCCCTGACTCCAAGGCTGTGCCAATGCCTCCCTTTAACCAGAATCCAGAAACTGTGTGTGCTGTCATGTTTTGCTTGAATCTCACAATTTAAGACAATAATATTAATCATAGAAATAATGAAATGTAAAAATTGGCAGATACTAGCTCTAAAGCCAGATTCCAGCTTCTCATAAAATTTCAGAAGATCTGACAAGCCAGAGACGCATGATCATGTGGCAAGCCTCACCTGGAGCCTAGTACCGACAAGGCCCACCCCTCGTGGTGGCTGTGAACACCATGGCCAAAGGCAGAAACCACCAGTTAGTGGGGCTCATTATGGCAGAACAAATGATTCTCACTCACCTTCTTTCCACGTGAAATTACAACTCCCTGAAAAACAAAGCACCTGTGGTCTTCCCAGGCAAGGACTTTTTCATTAGCATTCTGATGGTGAATAATATCTATCTCATTTCTCTCATAGGCAAACAAATAACTAAAAGAAAACAGAACCACATACGGTAGCCCCTAAATGTGTTTTTTTTCTTACTGACATGAATTAATTACACAGTAATCATAAATGAGACTCATGTTCATTTCTTCATTTGCTAGATAGTTATAATAGTTAAACAGCTAAAATGGTTCATGGTTTATCACTGAACCATGATTGTATTGAGTTGACCGAAGACAAGAGACTGTGTTAAGTCTCCTGGAATCACAGCAGTAGAAGAAGTCATGAAGCAATCCCCTCGAATGAGCTGAACAACAGTAGGAACAATTAGTTTTAATAGTTAAGATTCCCAAGACGTCTTATCTAATCTTATTTTCAAAACTCTCAAAAATGTTTAGTTTTTCAAAATAAGCAAAAGTGCAATTGTGCGGGTACGTTGGTATGAACTGATTCTATATTCTTTCAATATAATGGTGACACTGATTGGGGGTAACTTTCTTCATCTCTTTTCCTGCGTTTGTGAAAAAGGATAGAGCCAGAGATTGGTCTATACACACAAGGCATTCTATTAACCTCTTAGGGTCTCAAAATTTATTCTTTCACTCACTCATTAATTCATTCAACTCGTATCTACCAAATGCCCACTATGAGCCAGGTTCCTTCCAGTTCAACTATTTCTTGAATGATGAATGGAATTTATCTGATTTTAATGCAGGTTCATCAATAGGCAGACATTTTATTCATTCCCCTTTCCAATTCTGACTTTGCAAGACAGGAAACCCTATATACACATCCACCTTAAGCAGTGGGGAAGGGAGGTCAGTCTAAATGGGGCTCAGGAAGAACCCTGGAATCACATTCTGCAACCAGATTTGGAAACTTCTCCTCTGTAGTGTCTTCTCTCAGAATAATGAGGGGAAACCAATTGGTAATCTAACCGCTGCAGCACAAGGCTTAGCTTTCTTGCCTGTCTTCCACATTGGTCTGCATGTTCTTCAAGGTCCATGTGGCAGTGTATATTGAGCATGGCCTTTGGGGTCTGATAGACCTGAGTTTAAATCTCGGGTTTGTACTTACTTGCTGTGTCATCTTGGGGTGCTTACTCAATCTCTCTAAATCTCTAATCATTCATTGAGTAAAATACAATAAATAATAATTACATCACAGAGTTATATATAATGAAACAAAAAATAAGGCTGATAACATGCATATCACAATATGAGGCACATAGTAGGTATCATTTGGGATCATTCCCATGTCTCCAGAGGCAATGTCTCATTTGTCCATGGCCCCAATATACACACTACTCAGAGAATATGTTTTGAACTAAAAGAAGTATTTTCCTGTCTAGCTCGCCATTTGGACTGGCCTCCTTTCAGTTGGAATTAAAAATGTTGGTTCTTACTACTTTTATATCCCTTAGTGTCTCTAATGCCCCTCCCCAGACGTAAGGAACATGGTCAGTTTTTCCTCCTGAAACGCAAAGATTGTCACACCAGAAAATCTAAAAGCACAAGAGATTCAGGTCTTGTGTTTTGGGTTTTAGTTTGCAACTTGGGGGTATAACTTCTCTGAGAGCAAAGACAAACCTTAAATTATGGCATCATTTGCCAAATGTGGGATGATTTCAAGTTGCCTTAGCTAGATATCTCCTGAGGTTGAGGTTGAGGCCACAGGTCCCTGCACAGTGGCTGTTGAGATTTCGCAGCTCACCTGCTCCTGGCATCCTTGATACGGAGCAAGCTTGAAGCCTCATACTGATACTGCACCAAATAACTCAGAATGCTTTGTAAAAGTTAGTACATGTTTATTAGGAGCTTAGAAGGGCCTTGAGATTCCAAGACCACTCTGCCAGAAAGAATATGTGCATGGATGAGGAATATCTCATTTCTTTCCAAAATTGTCCCTCACTTTCCCTACCTATCTACCAAATGTTGTTGTTATTGTTCCAACCCCCAGGGATGTTTTGAAGTTAAATTGAGTGCCATACATGAGAAAGAGCTGTAAAATACATCATGCATACAACTGCTCCATTATTACTGATGAGGCAATCGGGTAGCATTTCAAAGAACATGGGCTTCAGGGTCAGATAAAATTAGGTCTGAAGCCCCACTTTTGAGCCTCAGGTTCTTATCTGGAAAATGCAGATAACTACCTTATAGGATAGGTAGTGTTTCACATCATCCTTGGCAAATAGTATGTATATGGTGACTGATAACAAGAATAAAGACAGAACGGGTGTGGTGGCTCATGCCTGTAATCCCAGCACTTTGGGAGGGATTTGGGAGGATCACCTGAGGTCAGGAGTTCGAGACTGGCCTGACCAACATGGTAAAACCCCCATCTACACTAAAAATACAAAAAATTAGCCAGGCATGGTGGTGGGCATCTGTAATTCCAGCTACTCGGGAGGCTGAGGCAGGAGAATCACTTGAACCTGGGAGGTGGAGGTTGCAGTGAACGCCACTGCACTCCAGCCTGGGCAATGAAAGTGAAACCCCGTCTCAAAAGAAATAAACAAAAATAATAAAGACAATAATATTAATAGAATAGTAACAATAGTTAACATACATTGAACATTTTCCCTGTTTCAGGTATGGTATTACATACTTTGCATGCTTTATCCCATTAACTCCTTGCAACAACCCTGAAACTGATGCTATTATTATCCCCACTTCACAGATTAGGAAGCAGAGGCCCAAAAAGATGAAAAAATTTGCCCAGATTCAAACTAGATGGGCTGATCACAGCCCTGACTTCAGAAGCAAGATGTTTCCGTGAGAGCTAACATTTATCATTATCATTATTGGAGCTAGGATGTTGCTTCCAAGTCCAATGCCTGTGCCCTGCACTTACTCCCTTTGCAACATCTGTCATGATGCCAAATCATTCCAATTTTTCTTGACTGATTCTGATGTTGGGAACCTTACTACTTGCGACTGCCCTGTCCAGCATCAAAACTCCATGACCCTAACATTTCTTCAAGGACTATAGAGGTTTGTGCCCTTAGAAATAGCTAGGAACAAGGAATGACTAAGGAAAAGTAGCAGATTAAGAGAGAGTGAGAAAAAAACAGCAACCAAATGCAACGTGGGACACTGGATTGCATCCCAGACAAAAAAAAAAGAACATTAGGGAAAGACTGGTGAGATTCAAATAGGGCCTGCCATCTAGTGAATAGTATTGTACCAATGTTAATTTCCTGCTTTTGATCATTTTACAGTCGTTGTGGAAGACGTCAATATGAAGGAAAACTGGGTGAGGGGTATATAGGGACTCTATAGTTTTGCAACTTTTCTGTAAGTCTAAAATTAGTTCAAACTAAAAAGTTTAAAATATATATCCAGAAAACAAAGGAAATTTGAACTAATGATAAGAGAAGAGAGAGGGTTTTGTTTTTTGTTTTTTGTTGTTGTTTTTTTTTTTTTTTCTAAAAGAAGAGGAGACCCAAAAGAGAGCATGACTGGGGTTTTGTTTTGCACAGAGCTAATATCAGAAGGAAACAAAGATGCATTGGCAAGCCCCTCTGTGGGCTTCCTGACTGGGGGATGCTATTGTTCCTAGACATCAGAGGATCCTCTCCCATGCTCAGCACACACCTTGTCTGCACTACCTCACACTCAGATACCCCACCACATGACTGTGCCACCTTCAGCCTCAGCAAGCCTGAGAAACACGAAGAACACAGATCATGATTAAAAAGCCCTTCTGTGCACAGAACAATTCTGGAGTTAATGCAACCCCGAAGGAACTGATGGCAAGCCCCATGGAGCAGGGGTTACCTTGGGACTCAGCATAGTGCTTAATAACACTCCATAAAAGCCCATTGGTAAATACAGATTGTCCTCGACTTATAATGGCTCAATTCAAGATTTTTCAGTTATGATGGGTTTATGCAGGTGTAAACCCCATGCTAAGTCAAAGAGCTCCTTACAATTTACCATGGAGTTATGGTTTCTACTGAATTCTTACCACTTTTGCACCAACTTGAAGTAAAAAAATCAGCAAGTGAAACCATTGTAAGTCAGTCAAGGACCCTGTGCAGTGTTGCCAGCATGAAATGTACTTTTGACTCAGGATGGGTTTATCAGGATACAGCTCCCTTGTAAGTTGAGAGGCATCTCTGCATCAGTGAGTGGATGGAAGGTGACTATTAACTTGCCATTAACCAGTCCTTTGGGCCTAACAAATTCAATGTTTAGGATGAACTTTGAAAATAGTGAAGTTATATAGATTATATGTCTAAGAAGTTATATAATAAAGTTGTATAGATTATATGTCTAAGAAGAACTTTGAACTGAATATGAAATTGCCTCTGATATTTGTTATGAGCTTGACATTTGTGGAGAATTTTAGAGATTAAATCCTTTTGCAACATGCTGCACCTATACATTATGATGGGCTGAAAAACACGGAGTGTTTATTAACTGGGGCTTCTGAAGTATCTCTTTCGAATAAGGAGGCATGTTTATTTATTTGTCACTTTTCTCTATTTGGAACTCAGGTCGGTTGCTATCATTTCCCTGCTCAAATCCTTCCTTTCCCATATTATACATGTATTTGCTGATTGTCTGTCTCCACTCCCTGGATGTAAATTCCATGGGACAAGGACTATGTGGCTTTGGTCAGTCCCATAATCAAAGGGCTGAGGGTAATACCTCACAGAATAGGTGCTCGATAAACGCTGATCATATATATGATGATTTGTCACCTAGGAGCAGTTCCCTACAAGTAATAAGGTGCTGTCACAGATTTTATGCATATCCCCTAAGAGCTCCATGGGGTGTTTGGAAATCAAGGCACTGAGAAAGAAAGGTCCCACAGCCAACAGAGAGGAGCCCGCACTCCAACTTAGAGTTTCAGACCTCCTAATGTGGCAACTTTCCTCACACACCACCATGGAATTCCACCAAACCAAAACCCCCTCCACTTCCAGCCCCACCCGGCCACCAGGCACCTAGCTAGGCCTCAGGGCCCCCACTTTCCCCCTCACTGTATATCAAAATATGCCTTTGAGGTGTGCACAAACCGAGTTAGTTTTCTTTTTCCCACCACATAGAAAAGTGTCTTGCCTTCTTTCACCAGCTTTTCAGTGTGAGTGTCATTCCAATAAGTGCATTCTCGTAATCCCAGGACACTCCCTATCACAGCATTTCTGATCCCTGCAGAAGAATGTCTTTTATTCTTAACTCTGCCTCATTCTCATACTGGGCTCAATGGGATTTATTAAGGCAATTATTTTTTTGCAAATGAATTGGCATCTGAGCAATGAATCTAACAGGCAAAAACCCCCTTTATTATTATTTTTTTCAGGTCAGCAGATTCACTGGTCATTTCCTTAATAGGTACTAATTCAGTCCTTCCTGAATAGGAGGTTGGGGCATCGCTTGAAGACTTCTTAGATCAGAAGAAAATTCAGAAACACTCCTGACAAGAAAAAAAAAAGAAAAAAATATATATAGGATCAAAGGGATACACCCATTACACCCCCACACTCCCCCAGCCTCCAGGCTCAAACGAAGGGGCAGCACTGGAGAAGAGGGAGGTCAGGAAGCTCTCCTGAGCATACAGGTGGACAGACCATTCTCTTTGACTAGATATCAGTGGGGGTAGCACTAAAAGGCTGAGTTCCCACTACCCCCAATCTTAGTTTTTAAATCAACACCTACCTAAAAACTTCCATGGCTCTAGAGGGCACAATTCTCCATGCCTTGTTTCCTGGTCCTTACTCAATATTCTGATCAGACATCACTGTCTCCACTTTGCAGGTGGGGAAACTTAGATTTGTCCAAGTGTGAAGCCGGGGTGGGGGAGGGGCAGCATGAAGAAAGCCTTGGTTTTGTGTGTCCTTCTGAGATCATGAACTCTGTAATGAGACTGCAGACAGGTGTTCCAGGGTCCTGTGCTTGCTAGCTGTGTGACCTTGGGCTGGTCACTGTTACTCAACCATTTCCTCATCAGTGAGCAGGGAATAGTAATAGTACCTAGCTCAAATGAAACAGCAGATATAAAGGCCTTGGTGCCGCATCTGGAATACAGACAGCAGTCACAAATGTTGGCTTTCACTGCTGTTATTTTCTGTAGTCTTCTCTTGGGGTAACTGGCCCTGGTTAAAATAAAATGAGACTAGAGTTTTTGGCCCCATGCTGACTTCTCTGTTTTTCCTGTGGAACAACCTTATAGGTGAACTTCCCTCCCAATAAAGCTTCTGTGATAGTTGGGAAACTAAACTCTTTGAATCTTGAAACAGAATTCTTTTTCACAGAATTCCTTTCATAGAAAAGCAAAATAATTCAGTTCTGTTACAGAGAGGCAGAATTCAGGATGCATTCAACACCCAAATTCAACTACATGTGCTCTCTTTTTATGTAATTCAAAACCAGCACACAATTACGTTTTGCATGTTGCTTTGCTATGTATATTCTTGCGTGTTGCTCTGTTATGTATAGTCTGTGTATATTTTCTGTTGACACATCTGTATTACTACAGAATTATATCCATAAGATCTAGATTTCTGAGCTTCATTGTTGGACAATTTACAAGTTCCAAGGATAACTTTGACCACTCAACATTTTCATCAGTCTTTAGCATCTAACCTCTAGGTTAGAAGCAACACTGCTATACTCCACTCTTTCTTTTTTTTTTTTAATTATACTTTAAGTTTTAGGGTACACGTGCACAACATGCAGGTTAGTTACATATGTATACATGTGCCATGTTGGTGCAGCCATAAAAAATAAAGAGTTCATGTCCTTTGTAGGGACATGGATGAATCTGGAAACCATCATTCTCAGCAAACTATCACAAGGACAAAAAACCAAACACCGCATGTTCTCACTCATAGGTGGGAATTGAACAATGAGACAATGAGAACACATGGACACAGGAAGGGGAACATCACACACCGGGGCCTGTTGTGGGGTGGGGGGAGGGGGGAGGGATAGCATTAGGAGATATACCTAATGTTAAATACTCCACTCTTTCTGAAGCACTCTTCTGTTTAGAAGCTCAAAAGCCATCACCTCTGAATTCCTGATGAGGCCAAAACGAGGTAACAATAACTGAGGGTTAGTCGTCTAACATAGAGGATAACCAAGGCCCAGAGAGAGGTCTGCCCCATCTCCATGCATGGTGATGTAGTGAGTTCGTAAAACCCAGAGAATGCCTAGGTGAGTCCACATCAGAAATCAGCCAGTGGCTCCGGCACTAACAAATGAGATACACTGGCTGTTCATTTTCTAATGTAAATTCTAGATGGGAACCAGGGAGGGAGGAGAGCAAAAGAACAAATTGGATGTAATCAGAATCAGATTCAAGATAAACTGCTAATGGTTAATAGGGTCAGCCACCCAAGCAGCAGCCAGACCTGGAATTTTCCACTCTCACTCTCTGCCTGACATTCACTAGAGGCCACATGTGCATTAGTCTACAGTTCAAGTAACCAGCTCCCGGTGCTGATGAAAGGCAGGAGAAACAAGGGGAGTTACCTTCCACTCTGGCATGGCCAGGGTAAGGGAGGGAATTCCTCTTGGAGAGAAATGATAATCATAACAGCATAAAAATAACACCCAACCCCTTCATCAGCATTGCTAACAACATTAAGAGTTAACTGGCTAACTCTGCAAAAAGGGCTTTAAGTAGATGGCCTCATTAAACATTCGTAACTATCTTTGAGATAAATAGATATTCTCATTTTACAGATGAGGAAACTGAGAATCTAAGGGACCAAGATATTGACAGGAAATCACTCAGCTAAGAGGAGGCAGAGCTGGGTTTGGAGTGCATAAGCCCCAAAGGTTTGTTAGGTGCTATATCAATACACTTTTAGACTGTTTTAAAAATAATTCTAAATTTTTATTTGTTTTGCATGTACCTCATAGCTTACAAACCACTTTCAGATATTAACGTTCCTATTTTAAAGACAGAAAAAAAGTAAAGACAGCTCCAATCAGTATGCAGAAATACACTTCCAAAGAAGTAAACAGAAGGGGAAGGAAGCACTTAATTTCAGCTACTCTTCTCTCCAAAACACACCCCACAGTTACCTAGGAAGGCAGGAAAGAGTTAGTGTGTAAAGGTGCCATAGCCTAGGCTTTTCCATGTTAATGTCCAGCTAATATGGGGTGACTTCAACCATGTGCTGGATGAAAGACAGACAAGGAGGAGGAAGGGGATGAGACAAGCAGGAATGGGCTCTTGGGCCAGACTCTCTGCCCAGGCCCAGCGCTTGACAGGTACCCTGGCAGCCAGAGATATGACGGTGACAGACACAAGACAGTGTGTTATCTCATTCTCTGATTCCATCCACTCAAAGTTAATATAAAACCACCTCACTTAGACATATTATACTTCTCCATGGAAAGGAAAAGCTTCCATTTGAATATAGTCATGGCTGCAAAATCTCTCTTTTTTCAGCTTCATCGACTATCAGGATATTCAAGTCCTGGAGTTGCAATGGAATCCCTGTGGGGAAAGCTCAATTAACTCACTACAGAATGCACACAGAACAAGATGGAGGGAAAAGAGCATGAGAAGGGGGAAAAAAGACATTTCTTTTGAATAATAAAGCTCCAGATTTAAAATTAGACTGTACAATAACAGCCTTAATTCCTGGAAACCCAGATGGGGAATTAAATACATAATATATTGAGAGGAATTTGCTTTCACAGACCTTGAGGATGTAATACGTCTTTTGGCACTTCACACATCCTTGGTGGGTATTTCTGCTGAGTGGAGGAGGCTGTTAACCACCTTTTCATGGAAAACATACCTCCATCTCGAGTCAGAGGTTAAGTTATTCTCTAGCCAAAAGAAGCAATCCATAATGTTTCATTATGGAGCAGGTCTCACAATGAATAGCAGTTGGCAGAGATGGATAACTTAATATGACTCTATTCGGCAGCACTGTAAATGTATCTGTCATCTCCAAGACTGGTTGAAGTGGTCAGACGCCACTTGAGGTCCCAAGCAAAATTCTGGTTGTTTCAGGGGAGGAGCATGGCTGCTGAATGTTCACCTTAATAACAACCACAGCATGAAACATCCCTCAAGCATGTATTTAAGCATCTACTATGTGTCAAGCTACTGAGTAAAAATCTTGGCTTTAACTACTTGCAAACTCTGTAATCTTAGGTGGATAACCACCTCTAGTTCGGTTTTTTCATTTATCAAAATGGGATCAATAATAATATCTGCCTTACAGGGCTGTTGTGCAAAGCTCTTGAGGTAATGACAGGTGTACAGTAAATGCCTAATAAGGGTTAGTTGTTACCTTAACCATCTCAACCAGGGCACAGACTACTGGGAGGCAGGGGGCCTTGCAGGATACAGTGTTTAAGGGGCACTCACTTTCAGGGTCATGCATGCGTGCTTCTCTAAATGTGACACTGCAGAAACCTCACTGGTGTTACTCCAGCACCCGCCTGGATCTCAGCTTTACAGATGTGGAAAGAGAAGCCCAGAGAAAGTGAAGTAACTTACTAAAATCCACCCAGTAGACTATATGCAGAACCTGGATTCACATCCTATCTGTCCCCTACCAGTGGTCATTCTATCATTTGACCATATCACACTGCCTGAAAAGTGAGGTTTCTGGAAATGAAATTTCAACTTCCAAATTCTGGTACTCCATGTCAGGATCCTGAGCAAAACAAAGCAAAACTATCAGATCACGTAGACTTGACACCTGAAGAGACGGTTTATCTGCTGGGACCAAGAGAGTAGAGAATAGCACCCCAACATTAAGAGGCCCCTGCCGAGTCTCTTTCAAGGCCCAATTTAGGTGCTAAATAATGCAAAACTGCTTACCCTTGGAAAGTGGCTGGAGTAATGAGAACTGCATTTCACTGGTCAATAGAAAAAAAAAAAGAAGCGATACATGATTCTCTGGCAAAACCTTCCTTATCAGCTCTGTTGGGGGAAGGAAAAAAAACAAGGCAAATAAATGACAAAAGCAGAGGGAGCATCAATCATGCCATAGTTGGTCTGCCAGTTCCAGCTGCAGGCGTGCAACTCACAGGCCAACCTTTGGCTCAGAGAGGCTGGGCTCACCCCAGCTCCAGGCAGGAGACAGAGGTGTGAGCCTGGTTGGAAACCAGAGCCTCTCCTCCTCTTTGCAGCTCCGCTCCGCCACTTGCTTTCTCTGTGACTTTGGTGAAAGTAGCTAAATGCCTCTGAGTTCCCTAGCCATTTCACAGATCATCACAGCATTCTTTCTCAGCTCCAAAGGCTTGGATCCCCACAAACACAGTAGCAAAAAGAATATTCTGAAATCTCATCTTCTCTCACTTCATCCCTCTATCATTTGGAAAACTTTCTAGATCCTTCATATGTGACATCTTGCCATTGTTGTTTTTTGTGGTTGTTCAGTAAAAAGCAAAAAAAAAAAAAAAAAAAAAAAGAAAAGAAAAGAAAAGCAATAAATAGGCAAAATTTGCATAGCTATAATGAGAAATTTTATCCTTTCAACATAATTCTGAGTGCTTTGATTAGCATCAGCAAACCTATATAGGATGTCCACTTGTTCTTCAAAGCTTTGTAGCAGGCAGCATCATTTCTCTAATCCTCATAGCCTCTATTTTGCAGATGAGGAATTTGAGGTTAGAATGATGCAATGGTTTCATTTGTTCTTTTCTTTTTTCTTTTTCTTTTTTTTGAGACAGAATGAGTGGTGCAATCTTGGCTCACTGCAACCTTCGCCTCCTGGGTTCAAGCAATTCTCCTGACTCAGCCTCCCAAGTAGCAGGGATTACAGGTGCCCGCCACTACGCCTGGCTAATATTTTTGTATTTTTAGTAGAGATGGGGTTTCACCACGTTTGCCAGGCTGGTTTCAAACTCCTGACCTCAAGAGATCCACCCGCCTCAGCCTCCAAGGGATTACAGGTGTGAGCCACCATGCCCAGCCCATTTGTTCTTTTATTCATTCATTCCTTCTTCATTCACTCAGCAAACGTAATTGTGGGTCTTCTAGGTGCCAGACTCCGTGCCAGGGGCCAGAAATTCAGAGATAAATAAAACAGAGTCATGATCCTGACAGAGACAGTGTAGCAAGGTCTTTGAGCACTTACATTTTGGAATCTAACAAAGCTGGGTACAGGCCCCTACTTTAGCTGTTCATAAGCTCTCTGACCTTGGGCAATTTATTTAACCTCTCTCTGAACCTCAGGTTAATTTCTACAAAATGGGAATAATGATTTCAACTGGTTAGGGAACAAGTGAGGATTAGATGTGCTGATAATGTAAACCACTCAGCACAAGATCTCAAACACAGAAAACAGGCAATAAATAGCTGCTTTTATTATAAGCTTCAAGAACATTTTGAGTTGATGGCTGGGCCAAGCATGGCAAATGGCTATTTTTGTTTAATGATTTTTGTTTCGTCTCACAGAAGGCAGATCTCCCACGTGTTGATGAATTTTGTGGCAGCCAAGAGACGGAGAACAGACTGCCTGCCTGGTTCTCCTTGGAGTGGAAGCCGGGGGATTTCACAGACCACCCTCCAGCCCAAGGCTTGGCTATGAACCTGAGGAATACTCACCACCTCACATTAAAAAGGTCACTTTCCTTCCTGAATCAAAGGAAATGCTATATCCTTTGGCAATTCAGCTCAAATAACTTCAGCAACTCCCACAGTGGTTCAGACACCCCACCCGACAGGCAGACGCTTTTCTTCCCCTCCTAGTGCCAAGCTCCAGGGTTTGCCCAGTCTAGTTAGGGATCCCCAGCTCCAGTCCAAGAAAAGCTGCTCAATCCTGATGAACCAGGCCTTGGGTCAGATCAGAGCACCTGCCTGGGGCAAGCTGGAAAAGTCATTGTCGGGTAAATCCCAGACATAAGACACCCTGTCACCATGGTGAGGGGGACACTCACCAGAAGGGGCTGCATCCATCCCCTTGCTGCAGTCTGAGCACTGTCGGCATGCAACTCGGCACAGAAGGTTTTGTCATTTGGACTGTAATAAACCCCACTTCCTGAAACCCATGCCCTTCCAGGTTCTGCCTCAACCATGCCATCCCTGTGTCTACCCTTGCCCTGTTCAGAGCCCAGAGCACCTGCAGCTGAAGCCATTTGGAGGAGCCACTGGAGGCCTCAGGTGCCGCTCACATGTGCTAATGAAAAGTGCTCTGGCCACCTTGGAGGACAGGGGGAGCATGTTCCTGCTAAGGCAGTAGGGTTCAAATTTGGCTGCAGGCTAGAATCCTCTGGGAGCTGCCACAGTCCTGATGTCCAGGCCACAGACCAGAGCAGATAAGCTGAAATTTCTGGGGATGGGTGGGACCTAGGCATCAGTATTCTTTTAAGCTGGCCAAATAATTCCAGCATGCAGCCAAGTTTAAGAACTAGTACCTAAGGAAAGAACACTAGGCAGGGCCTACAGACGGTGTCCTTCTTACCTCTCTCTCTTTTTCCTTCCATTTCTCTTTTCCTATTTTCTTCTTTCCTTCCTTCCTTCCTTCTCTCCGCCCCTCCCTTCCTCCCTCCCCCCGACTCCCTTCCTTCCTTCCTTCCTTTGTTCCTTCCTTCCCTCCTTCCTTTTTCCTTCCTCCTTCCTTTTCTTCTGCCCTTCCTCCCCGCCTCCCTTTCTCATTAGTTACTGAAACAGCATATTCTGTAGTTAAAGCCCAGAGTTTATAGTCAGACCATTCTCATTTTTGAATTCTGGCTTTGCTGCCACTAACTGTATGACCCAAGTCAAGTTACTTCACTTCTCTGAAGTGCATCTTTCTCATTCTATACAATGGGGAAAAATCGCCGGGCACTGTGGCTCACACCTGTAATCTCAGCACTTTCAGAGGTCGAGGCGGGCGGATCACCTGAGGTCAGCAAAACCTCATCTCTAATAAAAATACAAAAATTAGCTGGCCATGGTGGAGTGCGCTTGTATTCCCACCTACTCGGGAGGCTTGAACCTGGGAGGCGGAGGTTGTAGTGACCCAAGATGGTGCCACTGCACTCCAGCCTGGGTGACAGAGTGAGACTCCATCTCAAAAAGAAAAAAAAAAAAAAGGAAAAATCTTTAGGAATTGCTACAGAGAATACTTGTGAGGATTAAATATCACAGATAAATTGCTTAGCATAGTGCCTAGCAATTAGTATGTGCTCAATAAATGTGCACTCTTTTCCTTCTAGTTATTATTGTAATTATTTGCTAAGAGCTATTCTAGATGCTGGGAAGACAAAAGGAACAATGCGGGCATGATGTGTGTTCTCACATAGCTAACTCTCTTCCCATTCAATCCCTAGGTGGGGAATGGCCCTAATTTGCTTTGCCGGGACAGGGAGGACAGAGATTTCTCTCAATAGAAATAGTGATTATGTATTGAGCATGTCCCATGTGCTGGGCACAGTTCAATCATGCCATAGACATTTGGGGGCACCTAATAGAGAAGTACAGTACTGGACATGATTCCATCACAGGCTTCCTACCCCAGAGAGGATGGTATTGATAATTACATTTTGCAGGTGAAGAATCTAAGCCTCAAGGGTTTGAGGTTGCAGTAAGCTGTGATCATGCCACTGCACTCTAGCCTGGGCGACAGAGTGAGAGATGGTATCTCAAAAAAAAAAAAAAAAAAAAAAGGCCTGGCATGATGGCTCACACCTGTAATATCAGCACTGTGGGAATCTGAGACAGGAGGATTGGTTAAGGCCAGGAGTTCAGGACACCCTGGGAAACATGGCAAGACCCTATCTCTACAAAGGTTTTAAAAAATTAAAAATAAAGAAGCCAGGTGTGGTGGTATGAATCTGTAGTCCCAGCTATTTGGGAGGCTGAGATGGAAGCATTGCTTAATTCCAGGGGTTCAAGGTTGCAGGGAGCTATGGTTTTGCTACTGCACTCCAGCACTCCAGCTTAGACAACAGAGTGAGATCTCATTTCTAAAAAAAAAAAAGAATCTGAGGCTCAGAGCCATTAAATATTTCATCCAGGGTCACACAGGCAGATGCAAAGCCAAGCTTTTAAGCACCACACTGCTGTTCTTCTTGCAAGGATGTCGGGAGTACCTGGGAGGGAATTCTGAGGTCCAGCTAGAACCAAGAGAACAAAGCAATTCCTGCAAACTGGAGGATTTTGCAGGAAAAGCACACAACCAAACTGGGGTGAGGGGTCTGGAGCAGATCAGGATAAGCATGATGACTGAGGGTAAAGTGGGGGGTCTGGGTGAATTCAGGAGTGGGGTAATAGAGGAAAACTACACAGTGGTGAGTGGGTAGTGAGTCTATTTAAAGGTTCCAGAGCAGAATAGAATGTTCCCATTTTATAGAAATCCTGGCCAAGTCTAATGATGTTGGCGTGCCTCAGTTTCCCTAACTGTAGCTATATCACCAGTACAGGTTGACGTAAAATTAAATAGCAAACTATGTGTGCTGAGCAAACATCTTGAAATATGATTTAAATGACTTATGTCAAATAGGACTTGCTTTCACAATATGGCTTTATTATCCCTAGTTGGAAGAACAATAAGCTGTTGGTGAAAAAAATCACTTAGGCAGCATGATGGAGGCTTAAGCCAGGCCTGGCTTGGACAGGAAAGTTGAGTATCCTACTTTTAGGCTTGTGGAATCTAGGTTTAATTCAAATCCTGGTTTAAATCAAGGCCCTGCTATTTACAAGGGTGTAATCTTTCTAGGCCTCAGTTTCTTCATCTGTAAAATGGAGCTAACAAAGCAGCTTTCACACAGATTGTAAGTACAGACAAAATGTTACTACGCCTGTTAAACACTGATTATGGTACTTCACATACATAAAGCATTCAAAACGTGCTAGCTATCCTGATTGGTAAGACAGCCATCACGTTCTCAGGAACTGCTCCCTCTCAGCCCTGGCCTTGGCTGCTTTTAGGTTCTCTGCTAAAGCCAAGTTTATTTTTGCTCTTCTGCCAGAGCTGGTTATGTATTATTTGTTTTGTATGGTATTTGTTTTCCAATATTTTTACTAAGTAGGACAGTTCTATCAATGAGGTCTGCTGCTTTATTGGTTGCTAATTGCTGGGGCATAATTGTTGCAACATTACTTGGTGTTCCTATAATTCTCTACAGCCAATCAAGGTAGCCAGTTCTCTAATTATAGCACAGTGAATTCTCAGTCACCAGCATCCAAACACTTACAGTGTTCAGTTTATAAGAACTCTTTCCAGCACTTTTACAAGAAAGGCTTAACTGGCAAAAGAAAGAAAGTCAGGTTCAGAAGTGTTTTTAAACCAATTTTATAATTACATATGATGTATAAAATAAACATTTTGGCCAGGTGCAGTGGCTCACATCTGTAATTCCAGCACTTTCAGAGTCCGAGGTGGGAGGATCACTTGAGATGAGGAGTTTGAGACTAGCCTGGGCAACATAGGGAGACGCCATCTCTATAAAAAATAAAATAAATAAATAAAAACTTGCCAGGGGACATGGCGTGAACCTGTAGTCCCAGGTATTTGAGACACTGAAGTGAGAAGATCTTTTGATTCCAGGAGTTCAAGGTTGTGGTGAGCTATGATTTCATTATTGCATACTAGCTTGGGTGACAGAGCAAGGCCCTGTCACAAAAATAAATAAATACATAAATAAATAAATACATAAATAAATATTTTATAATTATAGCAATAAGTATATTTTCTGAAGGTAACATCTAAAAACCATCTAAGATTTTACTTGATTTCTATCTGGACAATGAGTGTTGGTGATTATAATGATCATAATTCTGAGGCTCATATAGACCCATGGGGCCTTTGCAATATAATCAGAAATTGAACTGTCCTCAACCAAATTTTTCTAGAACTGAAAACATTTTGTTGTGTTTAAATGTTTTCTGGAACGTGGAGCCCATCTATGTCTTCCCCATAAGTCAAGGAATCAAAATATTCAATCCACTAGAATCACTAAAGATAAAGTTGGCCTTGAAAGCACTTTGTATACTGCAGAATAAAAAGCTAATTTATTATCAGTAATAAATCTGTGATTTTAATCTGATAGTATCATTTCTCTGCTTCTATTTTTTTTTTAGAGCAAAATTCAAAGTTTTAACATGACCTCCAAGGCACTACTTGTTCTGGCCCTACCAATCTCCAGCTTCACCTCTTCCCACCTTCCCCACCCTCTCGCCATGTGGCAGCCCCCCTGGCTTTCTTTTTGTTCCTTTAACAGTCATGATTCTTCTCAACTCTGAAACTCCTCCCTTACTGCCCTCTGTGACTGCTGCTCCTCCTACAGCCCTTCTGATGGCTCATTTCTTTCCAACCATAAGTCTCAACTCCAGTGCTGTATCCACAGGGAAGTCATCCAGAATGACAAAAGGCCATCCTCCAACTGCCAAATTTTTCTGCTTGTATCCTGAATAACCATAATCACAACCTGGTGTTATTAATTAATTAACTTTTCACTCTCTCTTCAGAATTCAAGTTCTGTAAGGAAAAGGGTCTTGTACATCATTGTGAACCCAACGCCTCTAACCAAATGGACCATAATAAGTGCTCAATGAACAGCTGTTTAACAAAGTACATGAATGAATGAATAAATTAATGAATGAATGGATATACATTTATGCCCCTTTATTTCAATTTTTTCCAATCTGCTTTTGCTTTATGCAAGATACATAACTGGATTTATCCACAACTGCTCTATCCTGTATCATTACAATCTTTCTATTATTATCGTTGCCAATAGTACTTAGTCATCTGCATTTATGGAACATGCACAGTTGTGTGGGGCCCTGCTTCAAATGCTACAAAGAAGAATGAAGATCAAAATCCATCACTGTTGCTGTCACAGAGCCTCCAGTCTAACTGGCAACAGAATAAATGGATTTGGCCGAGATACGGGCAGAGATATGGAAGCTCATGGGAGAGATTCTGTTTCTCCCTGTTATAGGCTGAATTGTATCTCCATGGCAAGACTCATATGTTGATGTCCTAACCCCCAGTAGCTTAGAACATGACTGTATTTGGAGATAGGGCATTTACAGAGGTAATTATAATTCAATGAGGTCATTGGAACAGGCTCTAATCCAATATTATTTGTATACTTATAAGAAAAGGAGATTAAGACATAGAAAAACACAGAGCAATGATGATGTGAAGACACAGCAATAAGGCAGCCATCTACAAGCCAGTCAGAGAGGCCATAGAAGAAACTAACCTTTCCGATGCCTTGATCTCAGACTTGTGGCCTCCAGACTGCAAGAAAATAAACTTCTGTTGCTTAAGCCACTCAGTCTATGGTATTTTGTTATGGCAACCCTAGCAGACTAATATACTTCTCAATATCCATTTTCCCTTACTTGCCTAGGGATAGAACCTTGGTTTTGCTGGGCACCTGGCCACCTTGCTAAGAAGTGCATTTCCTAGCCTCCTTTGGAGACAGAGATGGCCATATGACTAATGAGTTGTGAACAAAAAGTATTAGACGACCATTGCTGCTCCTCCAAACTCTCACACTTTAGATCCCAATTCTAACTCACATGCTCAGGGAGGCTATTGGTTGAGATGTGCAGGAAGGGAAGGAGACATGAAGAAGTAAAAGTAATGGCAGATTCTCCTGGGCAACAGTCAATACAAAGGCCCCTGCTACCCAAAGCTCTTCTCTCCCACAATTCCTACTTGAATTGCATTGCATTGCTATGCTGGCCTGCTGGAAAATCCATCAAATCACATCTTCAAAAAAAAAAAAGTCCTATAGACCCCTCTAGCAGAGCCAAGAAACATCAGCCACTTATACATTAGTGTTTCTGAATCCTTGATGAGGCAGGTGCCTTGAGGAAATGGGAGGCATTATTGTGGGCCAGGCAGGTGTGTGGCAGGTTCTCTAGTGAGGGATTTTGACTATGAATGAGTCTTCAAAAATGGGAGAAGCGCACGGTAAAAAAAAAAAAAAAAGGCAGGAAGAAGTCAAAGGCAAACTTAACTTATTTCAAAATTTCCCTTGGGAATTAGTCTTGTATCTAGCATGAAGAGCAAAAACTCTCCCTCTTGCCTCGCTGGGGTCTTTGCTCCCAGAATGGAAATGCCAGACCTGTACAATGGATGCTACCTTTTGGCTACATCACAAATTAAACTGGTTTTGAGGGGCCTTTGTGAAAACCTCCTACCTACTATTTTTTACATGATCCTTGTGGATCAAAAGAAATGCACTCTGAATTCCCAAGAATAAAACAAAAAGTTAACTTTTGGGACAATTTACTTGATAAGTACAGGGTCCCCAGCAATTGTACCAATCAAATAGCAGGGAATAAGCCCAAGCCACCAAAAAGGGCACCAATAGCGAGATCTACTGAAAAACAAAATTATACCTGTGTCATGGATGTGGATTTCAACCATTCTACAGTATTTTTGAATTTAGTATGATTGCTTAGTTTTTTGCTTTGTTTTGAAATTTTAGTGTTTTTTTTGTCAAACTTTTTATGGGGAAATATAATGTACCCACTGAAAATTAAACAAAAAAAAAGTCCTGTGCATTTTTGCAAGTGGAAAATTATGTCTTCAGCATCCCAGATGCCCTTGCTCAGTGCCTCTCAAACAGTGGCAGAAGTGGTTCCCTTCTGCCACTTTTTCTGGTCAACCACAAAGCTTAGCCACTTTTCTGACTTTTATAGTTTCACTCTTTCACTTTCCTTTATGGTTTTTCCATAGCCTGAGCATGAATCCTTAAACATTATGGGTGAATTTTTTGCTTTTAAACAAATTATTGAATCCATAGAATCGTACAGTATGTGCTTTTTGGTGCCTGGTTTTGTTCATTGAACACGATGTTTTTGAGATCGCTTTATGTTGTGTAGCTGTCATTTCATTCATTTTCACTGCTATCTTGTATTCAGTTGCATGAATATATTCCAGTTTGTTTTGTATTCCTATTGATAGACTTTTGGGGTTGGCTCCTATCTCTTAATTTTTAAAGCACCTTTAGATTAACGGGCAGAGGTAACAGGCAACCTCACCTAGAAGGTGGTTCTTATCAATGGGGCTTCCTTCTTCCTCTTCTACCCTCTCTACATCAGCAGTTCCTAATCCTATTCCACCCATCACCGGCTAAGCACAAAGCTCTGCATCCTGCTTCCTGAAATGTCCATCAGGCTTAGATGCCTCAGGAGCCAAAAGCCTCTTTGATCACACTTTTGGACCATTTATTTGTTCATTCATTCAACAAATAATTGCTGATTGCCAACTGTATGTCAGATTGTTCTAGGTTTCAGGGTCCTGCTCACGTGGTCCTCAAATTCTAGCAAACAGTTTGACGTCAACCTGCACTTTCCTTAAGACCAGAACACATGGGAAATGGAAAAGGTAAGAAGAATTTTCTCTGGGAATTTCCATGTTAATCAGTAGGAAGTGGTGACTAGGCTTCACTCCCCAGGCATTTTTAGCATCTTCTGGAAACTCTGATCTTTGAAGTCTTAACATCACCTGTCAAAGCAATTTGTAAGTTCATTCGATGAGCTTTTTGGAATATTTTGATTTTACGATAACATCTCAAAACCTCTGCATGAAGCATTATTTATAATAGCCCCAAACTGGAAGTAATCCAAATGTTCATCAACAGATGAATAAAAAACAAAAGGTGATATATTCATACCATGGAATATTATTCTGTAATCCACAGGAATGGGCAACGGATCCATGCAATAACTTGAATTAATGTCAAAAACAAACTCAGTGAAAGAAGCCAGATACAAATGAAGACTATACATTGTATGATTGCAACTATATAAAAAGTCCAGAACAGGCAAATTTACAGAGACAGAAAGCAGGTCAGTTGTTCCCTAGGACTAGGGGTGGGGATGGGGAGTCACTACAAGTGAGCATAAACACTGGAGAGATCAGTAACTCAAGCTAGAATGGCTATATTGGTGAGAGATTTTGAAGTCTAGGACCTAGAGCCTCCGATACGCAGGAGAACAGAACATAAGGGAGTTAGGGCAATGCTCTAAAATGGGATTGTGATGATGCCTGCACAACTCTGAAAATTTACAAAAAGTTATTGAATTCTATATTTACAATGGGTGAACTTTATGGTATGGAAAGTGTGCCTCAGTAAAGTCAATAAAACAGTTTTTAAAGATCTCGACATCAATTGTGTTTATATATTAATTTAAATTAATTTAAGGAAGGGGATTTGGAAGTTGTCACAATAGCTTTTGAAATAATGGGAACTGTAACTTACTTGAGAAATAAGTTATACCTGTGGAGGGAATCACTACCACAGGAGAAGGCCCTTTCTTCTTACATTTTGATGTTTGATAATGGCTGATAATGAATTGAGCGCCCTCTGCGTTGGAGAGATCAGAAACTCAGGTTAGAGCAGTTATATTGGTGAGAGATTTTGAGGTCTGGTGCTAGAACTCAGACCCTCTAACTTAGACCCTTAGACTCTGGGCAGGAGAACAAAGCCACCATCCCAAGAGTGAGACGCTTTATTTCAGCACCAGACACCGTCCATGGTGCAGGCTGTTTTCGTGCTATAAAGCCTGGTACTTTCTAAACATGGATCCCTTCCTTTACCCCTGTGCGCCTGCCCCAAGTCACATGTCTGGGGCTCATGACCCGCCCTAGAGTTCGGGGAAAGCTTCAGGTGAAGATTTTGTCAGAGATAAATGGCCAGGCGCCATGAGCAGCAGTGAACTGGAAGGATACCCAGGATGTGGTGCCATGAATCAGTGGAGGTCCCCCAGGAGGAGTGGCGATCTGCCTATTACACTCACCTCGTCATCGATCGAAACCATACAGACATCAGGCCTTGCCCCGCAGGCAGCCAGTGCAGCAGTTTCCAATTTATCTGAAGCAACTTAAATCCTGCAAACTCCAAAGTAGAAGCAGGTCCACTCTGCACGGAGAGGGGAAAGGGAAGTCGCCCTTCCCCACAGCGTCTTGGGTGGAGGTGGGAAACTCCTAAGTGTCCTCGTAACTCCCAACCCAGAAAAGTGGGTGTGCTGTGGGAGTCTCTCCTTACCACTGTACACCCAGAGTCCAGTAAATGTTTGTCTCACAAATGAGTAAATTTGGAAAGCAGACCAACAAAATATCATGCAGAGATTTAAATCACCTTTGAGGCTGTAACGACGTGGGTAAATGGGTCACTTGATATTGTTTAGTAAAACAAAATTACATAACATATATTCAGTATGATCCCAATGTTATACTTTATGTGTATACAACTGTAATAGTTATATACAATTTATTAGTAAAAAGTTATTTCCTTTTTTGCCATTATGGGCAATTTTTACTTTCTGTTAATGTATATTTTACCTTCTAAGTTTGCTGTGTTGTATACTTATTTTTTAACAAGTAAAAAATAGAAACTGAAGAACAAAGCATAGCACTTTCTTCTCCTGTGCCCCATGGTGCTTAGTTGGCTCACACATAGAGAGTCCTCAATGTTTTTCAGTAGAATCCCCTTGGCGTGCAATTTTCCCAAGTGTGAGGGACTCTCAGAGATGAGAAGCCATTGCCCAAATATCAGTCCACTGTCACCACTGCTCATTTGGGATTCCTCCTTCCTAACAGAAGCCAAATGTGGCTCCATGAGGCCAGTAGTTTACTGCATAACATTTTGTCTTCCACTTGTCACAGCAAGGTGAAAGTCTCCATCACTCTAGGCACCACTGTGCTCCATTTCACAAGACCAGCCCTTCTTCTCCACCTTTGCATAAGAGATCCCCAACAACCTTCTGATTTGGAGCCCAGAAGTTGGCTTCTCTACTCAGAATATCCACTGAACAGTCTTGGTCCACACACTGGGCTAGATAATAAAATTCTGAGCTCAAGTGTTGATTTTGCTTTGGCTGGGAGGATGTCTGATGTGGCCAGTGCAGCTCAGAAAGGTGTTTTGTGCTGCCTATGGGTAAGTGTGTGGCAGCACAGTGGAAGCTTCTACTTTTGCACCTAGGGTGGGCTTCGTGTGCAGTTCAGATATCCAAGTGGAGGGACACATGAACAGAACCATAGTGCCATGAGTGAAGGTCAACACCATAACCAAAACTGGCTATGCACAGCCCAAAAGTGCCTTCACCCATGAGACTTGAAAGCCTCATATAAAAAATAATTATATCTCCCTGATACTGGCACTATTAGCATTTCTTCCCTTTGAGATAAGGATAGCTATCCCCTTTCAAAATACAAACACAATTATATGTCAATGAGTATAGAAGAGTTAAAGCTGGAAAATCCCAGTAAGGCAGGCAATCATGAACCTGAACCAGTTGCATTGGAACTGGGGCATTTAATGGTGAAAAGGAGAAGACAACCATAGAAGAAAGATTTCTGAGTGATGGAGGACAGACTTCCAGATCCCACTCAGCCTGGAAGGAATCTTCTCTTTCATGTAAAATCAATAAGGTTCTGGAAATCCCAGAAATCATTACAGCAGTGCAGAGCAAGACACACTTTTTCTTTTCTTTAAAAGATGTTGCTAGATCCCACACATTGGTAGAGAACCAGCGTCCCAGCTCTTCCAGGCTTTCAAGGATTCTTAAAACAGCAAATAAACCACTGAAAGGTCACTGAAGGAACATTGAGACCAGTGTTCTCAAACTTGAAAGTGCATCAGAACCACCTGGATGGCTTGTCAGCACAGATTCCTGGGCTCAACTCCCAAAGTTTCTGATTCAGGGGAAGGAGATGGAGTCTAACTTTGGTTCTGCTTGGCCTTCTAAAGTGGAGAAGAGGGAGATGGAAGAAAACAATTCTAAGCAGGAGGGAACACTAGGTCCATTTCTCTCCATCAGCCATGGAGAAGCAGTTCCTTCCACAGCAGAACAAACAATTCTAGAAAGTCCAAGCCATAAGAAAGAGTTGCAAATAACTTCTCCTCCCAAGGAGGCATCATATCCTAGCACTGCACCAGTTAAGACAAGTTAGATTAGGTAACAATCTACACCAAAATCGCACTGCCTTCGCAGCACAAAGTTTATGTCTCACTCAAGGCAAGTCCTTTGCTCACTGGGTTATGCTCCTAGATTGAGCTATCCTTCACGTGATAACTGTGGTCTCATGGCACCTCTGCATGGACGCTTATATGATCTCCAGAGCACAGCAGAAGGACAGGTGAATAATCCCACTCATGTCATTGGCCGAAGCAAATCACATGATCTTGCCTTATATCAAGAGGGAGGAGAGGCATTACCTTCCATGTGCTCAAGTATAGAGGAGAACAAGATTCATTGGTGGATACTCATAACGTCTACCACAGTGACTCAACTGTATGTTTCTTCTTAATCACATTGCATCTTCAGAAGAGGTAGGAGGGGGTTAAAAGCCTCAAACACTCATGATATCAGACTATACACCCACTCCAGTGAGAGAGTGGTGGTAAAGACAGGATGAAAGATGCAACCTATTTTGTATTTTATTATTCCGATCATTAAAAAGCTACAAACAATATTGTGATTATTATCACTTAATACTTTAAAACATAGCAAGTAATCTGTATATGTGATAACATTTTACAGAACCATACAAACACACACACACACACACACACACACACACTGAATATATGTAAAAAACTGATGATATTCTAAATAAAGACAGTATTCTAGTTAATTACCAACATCCATTTCCAGGTTTTGATAGTGAATTATAATTGTAAGCTGCTAACATTTGGGGAAGCTGAATATGTAGGAATTCTCTGTACACTACAATTTTTGCAAATGCTTGTGAGTCTTATTATTTCAAAATTAAAAGTGGAAAAAAATTGCTAGAGAAGCTTTTCCATCCAGGTCCTTCGCCCCACATCTCTGCAAATGTCCCACACATGAGCTAGGTTGTCTGAGTAAAGTCATCTTTGGCTGGAAAAGCAGGAAATCTGATTAATGTGCCGATGAGATGGCTATAGAAACTCACCTGCCTGTTTGCACCTCCGGTCTCTGCAGGAACATAGATGAAATCTCTTCTTTGAAAGTTAAAATAAAAGCCAGTCAATCCCCACTTGCACGCCCTTTACTGCAGGTAATAAGTGGGAGCCCAGGTGAATTGTTCTGTATTTCCCTTTAAATTCTTGGGATTTCAGTGACAGACCAAGGCTCTCATCTGTCAGCAAACTGTTCCAGGCAGACCCAATTCTTAGCACCACAATAAAATGAAGGACATCAGGATAATCCATCAAACAAAAGCAGCTGGGAGCACCATCGTCTACCAAAGACTGTATTCATTTGCCCAGAACATTAAAAATCTATGTCCCAGCTCTTCTCCCCAAAGTCCTTATTTCACCCAATAAAATAAATTTAAAGTGCATAAATGTATATTAAAAATATCTAAGCAAACACTTGCAGCTAAATAATGTTCACCCAGATGCGCCTACAATTTTTTTATCGTTAGACATGTTTCCCGTTCTCCCAAGTAAATATTTCACTGAAAATGTTCCCCAAGCAGTTGTTATCTCGATATTTTCACAATAGAATATTCTGTGCTCTACACATATAAATACTGTGAATAACCAACATTTTCCCGAAGAGAACGCTGATTTCCCAGCATTTTTGTAAAATGACTTTCTCCGTAATGCCAGCTCTGTGAGCAGTGCAGGGTGTGAACTCCAAAATCCAAGGCACCAGCTCCCAGGAATTGAAGCCTGAGACAGGGTGACTCCCTACAGAATCCATAAGTGTGTTTCATTCAAGGGCACCTTGGGATAGGGGAAGGATCTCAAGTGTTGAGGTCATATAGACCCCATTCTTGAAGGCTATTTCTCCTACTTGCTTGACTTTGGGTGAGTTATTTAGTAGCCCATCTGTAAAAAGAGTAACAAGAGTACCTGATGCCTATGGGTATGATATGTTCGGCCCTACAGCAATACTTTGTCCTCCTACATTATTTAAGCAGAGCTCATTAAGGGACTGGACAACCAGATGACAGCCCAGGGTGCCACCTGTGGCTACACCCCCCCCCAGATGATTTCTCACATTGATAAAGACCCCACATCCACCCTTGCGAGGATTTCACATGCAGTGTCCCATTGGGCCCCAGGCTATCCAGTCACTCTATGGAAGCGGTTCTCAAACTTCAGTGTGCATCAGAATCACCTGGCGGTGACAGGGTCGGGGAGGGGGGAACCTGTGAAAACAAGTTTCTGGGCCCCACCTCTAGTTTCTAATTC
The DNA here is from genome assembly GCF_000001405.40 of Homo sapiens. Classification (NCBI taxonomy): domain Eukaryota; kingdom Metazoa; phylum Chordata; class Mammalia; order Primates; family Hominidae; genus Homo; species Homo sapiens. Next base: position 51,967,169 of record NC_000016.10, read on the forward strand.
AGTAATCTGGGAGGTACCTGAGAGTGTGCACTTCTACCAAGGACCCAGGTGATGCTGATGTTGCTCTTCTGGAGGCCACACTTTGTTGACCTCCTGCTATAGAACTTCAAACTTTTTCTGTAAAGGCAAGACAGTAAGTAAGCGAGACTTTACAGGCCACAGTTTCTGCTGCACCTGCTCAACTCTGCTGTTGTCATGCAAAGCAACCACAAGCCATCCATACTATGTTCCAATAAAACTTTATTCATGAGCACTGAAGTGTGAATTTCATATAATTTTCACATGTCACTAAATATTCTTCTTCTTTTGATTTTTTCTCAACTGTTTAAAAATGCAGAAACCATTCTTAGCTCCTGGGCCATAGCAAAACAGGCAGTTGCTTGGATTTGGCCGTTGGGGTGTAGTCTGCAGACCCCTACAACTAGGACACCAGGAAAATGCAATGCTTTCATCCCCCTTTGAATAAAAATGTCTCCATTTTCCTTTCTCCATCTGTTTGTGTGTCCAGTGAGCCCACTCCTTACAACATGCTCCCCACCAGCACTCCCACAGCGGCTGCTTCAGCTGAATCAACACTGCCTTGGCCACTGAGGTCTTGAGAGTCCCTCCTGCCCCCCAGCCCCTCCCCCAGCCTTCTCCTTTCAGCTTCACTTTTGCTCTTTTTATAGCTTTGCACAAATTTGTCTCTGTGGCAAATTTACAGCACGCACTGCTTGTCTGAACTATTTAAAGGCACAATATTCTCGACTGTGCCATAAAGCTTTCCCATTCTGTGTGTTTTATTTCTCTGTTTGAGGGCCTTTTATGAAATCAGCAGCTCAGCGGAAGGAAATCATTTGCATACTTGGCTCCATACACCTGGAATTCCTTAATTTTAGGGATTAGCGAAATGAGTCTAATAAAAAGTGGAGGCCCTTGTTAATCATCTCTGTAAAGTCCCTTCATTACCTGGTACTGGTGCCCAATCCAAACGCTCATTTCAGGAAATTCACATTGTGCAGGTCAGTTATTGCAATTTTATGAACTGATTTGTAATTTTACGTGACACAGTTTGTGTTTTTAGTGTTCCTGAAAGTTAAATGACTGTTTTCTCTCCCCTGTCCCACTCTTAAGAGGATACCTTTCAGGGTTATCATAGAGAAGGCCCAAAGGCCATGAGTGTGAGAACTGAATTATCACCTTGTAGTCCTGACTGGGAGAGTTGGAATTTCAGCATCCGTTGTGTTGTTATTGGAGATGATCTTGATGCAGTCCTTGCTAACATGGCTTTCCAGTAGGGAACATGCAAATCCCTCTTCTGTTCTGTTCTACATTCACCCCCCAGAGCATTCTGGATGCTTCTCAGAATTTCCAAATCCTATTCATCCCCTCCCTACAGAATGGAAGTAAAATGTTTCGGTTGCCCCTGCTCTTAAGGAGAATATGATTAAGGCCAGGTCAACAGTGCAGTTGCCACAGACAACTTTCTGAAAAGGGCAGAAATATAGAACATCTACTGATTGTCAGTATGTTTCCAGTAAATCCAGGGTTCCACATGCAGCTCCTTACAGAATTGGCAAAACATAATTAGGTCCCACAAAAGTAGATAGTTCCCATAATTGGAAATTAAAACAAAATAAAACAGCAAAACAAAACAAACAAAAATCCTCCCTGGAAGTTCTACTGATTTTTTTTTTCAAAATACAACCACTATGTCACAAAGCCCAAGAACAGAGCCCATGGCTGACTGAAGTCAGCAGTTGCAATCAGGATAATTCTGTAACTGAATAATGCATGCTGGAATGCTGTTTACAGGAAATGAGCAATTTATTTTATTATCCAAATTTTAAACCCTTTTAATATGCCTCCCAAGAAGATGTCTGATTTAGAAAATTGCAAAAGAGACCTTAGGAGAGGACAAGAGGTACTCAAAAAATTCACTACCGTAAAGGCCAGATAAAGAAACTTTAAAATAATCTGAATAAGACTTGGTAAGTATATCCACAAAAATTACCTTTATTTTGGTGACACTAAGGGGCCAACATGATACTGAGTAACAGATAAACTGTGGAACAAAAAGCTAAAATGTAAGATTATGTTCGGTAGAAGTAATAAATCTGTGAGATTCCCTTTCTGCAGTGTGTGTGTGTGTGTGTGTGTGTGTGTGCGCGCGTGCGTGCATATGTACTGCCAAATACGTAAAATGCTTATGTTAATCGAAAAATCACAACAAACTGCTAGCTGTAATGAAAAGGGACTGAAGGAATGGTTTCCTTTTTCATCTTGAAAACTTTTTGGCTTTTTTACATATTCTAATTGTACATGCATAACTTTTTTTGGATTATCAGAGTTTATGTGGATGGGGAAATTTGGAGTAATAGTTTTGTTTTCTTTCTATTTATCTGTATCTTTAGTAAACAAATCTTTTAAGGAAACATCATTTTAGGGGCTTCATAAGTCTTTCATTTGAACACAGAGGCAGATGTATATTTTGTTCCTAGATAAATCAAGTTCTCTCACACACATTGCATATACAAATATGTCAGGAACATATTTAAAAGGGCACCAAATTATCAGCTTTCCCAGGGCAGCCACATTTCATGGTCTCAGAGTTCTTGAGGACTGTCTTGGCAGTTCAGAGGGTTCCTGTCTTCATCCATCAGACTGGACCAGCTCCCCATGAAGGCTGAGAAAATAGTCAAGTAAGAAAATAGGAGGGTAGCCAAGACCGGCTGCCCTCTCTAGGAAAGATGCATAGTCTCCATGACATCTCTTGCTGCCTGTCATAGCACTCAACAACACAGATGAAAGAGCAAGAAGGACAAGTGGAGATGATTTTTTCTGCCCCTTTATGTGCAGATGAGGAGCTGGAGCTGAGAGATGTGGCATGGCTTGTCCCAGACAACTCAGCTGCACAGAGAGGGGAACTCCCACTAAAGTTACCCTCTGTTCACATTAACCACCTTCTGGAACCTTGTTGGCTAGCGCGCCCTGACTCTGTTTAGTTCATCTGATTAACTCATCCCAAGTAGAAGAGAAGGCAGGATCCTTAGAAAAAGAGAGCAGGGGAGGTTGGTTTTGATGGAAGGCAAAACACCCTGTGAGTGCCCTCTTCCCCCACAGTAGCCAAGGCCATGGGAAATGGACATGCTGAAAAGCACAGGGGTAAGTCAAAGGAATAAATATATATTTAATAGGGGAAGGGAAGTGGCATGTATTGGATGCATACATGTGCTAGGCACTTTGCATTCATTCCCTCCAGTGAGTGATGGGTCATCATCATCATTCCCGTTTCACAAAGGATGGTAAACAGCGTCTTTAAGCTTCTGCAGCTCCTGACTGAGCTGAATTTTTTTTTTTTTTTTTTTTTTTTTTTTTTTTTTTTTTTTTTTGAGACGGAGTCTCGCCTGTCGCCCAGGCCGGACTGCGGACTGCAGTGGCGCAATCTCGGCTCACTGCAAGCTCCGCTTCCCGGGTTCACGCCATTCTCCTGCCTCAGCCTCCCGAGTAGCTGGGACTACAGGCGCCCACCACCGCGCCTGGCTAATTTTTTGTATTTTTAGTAGAGACGGGGTTTCACCTTGTTAGCCAGGATGGTCTCGATCTCCTGACCTCATGATCCACCCGCCTCGGCCTCCCAAAGTGCTGGGATTACAGGCGTGAGCCACCGCGCCCGGCCTGAGCTGGCTTTTAAACCCAAGCCTCTCTGCATCCGAAGCCTAGACTGGAAATCTCTACACTCAATAGACTTTCAGGGAAATGCAATAGCTCAGGCAAACCTTGCTTACCTCAAACTTTTACTAAGCAAATAAACAGATTTTGAAAGTCGGCTGCCCACTGACCAGGCCGATAAGGAAAGAAATAGAGGGAGACACTCTCTTCCCGTTAGAGGGAATAAAAGGAAATTGAACTTATCGAGCATTTAATGTGCATTAAGCAAATGCTGCATATGCCGTCTCATTGGATTTTGATGAGAGCGGGTGTATTTTGATATTATTTTAGGGAGTAACCAAAGAATGGCCAATGACTCTCACTTTAAAGACACATGGGATTGCAGAGGTGAAGGAGAGGAGAGAAGCTCCCCAGAAAACTTCATTCGCCATAACTACAGTTTTGACTTGGGAGGTTCCTGACCTAGAGAAATGATGAGCAGCTGTGCTCCTGCATCTGCGATTGGGTGCCAGGCTGATTCTCTGCTTCAGCGCCATCTGGAGGTTTCCTCCAGACACTCCAAGCTGGTGAATCATAATTCTTTAATAATAATAACAGTAAATAACAGCTAACTAACATCTATTGAATACTTGCTATAGGTCAGACCCTATCCTGAGAGCCTTATACTTTTCATTGCATTTTATGTTCTCAGCAGACCTACGAGGTGAATTACTTTTATTAATTCCTTTTCACAGGAGGCTCCCAGTGACAAGAAATTTGCAAAAACAAAAAACAAAATAAAACAAACGACCACTAAGTAGTGGAGCCAGGATTGACAGCTCAAGTCTGAGTTTCTAACCACTCCGCCCCATTGTCTTTTGAGCAAAAAGATTCATAAAGGACCTTGGCTAAACAAATAGTTGCTGTTTATATCCTATCTGTAATTTTATGGGATACAGTTAGCAGTTTTAAAGGGAGGAAATTTAAATAATTTTTATTTCTCCATTCCCCACCTCCTGCTCACTGGAAGTCAAGCAGGGATGTTGATATGGATATGCAGACCCTATCACCCTCCCCCACCCTCTCTTCCTCCTCATTGGCTGAAGAAAAGCCACAGGCCCGGTTACCCATCTGTGCTCACATCCCATCATCCAAATACCAGAAAGGACCAGCTTGACTGTCAATCACCATTATGAAAAGTGAGCCATCGACTCATCCCTCAGTACTCCAAGGCCACCCCAAGGATAAAGCATGGCGGTTGTTACAACTGCCCCCTGGATTTTTACCAAATCCATCTCTCCCTCCTGGGCACACAGCTAGGTTCCAATGCCAGGCTGAGAGACTGAGTTCTGGAAGTGACATGTGCCCCTGGGACTGGTACACACTCTTCCCCAGCCCCCAGCCTCTGCCAATACTCTCTGTCTTCCCACTCTACTAGCCAGAAATCCATATACAGGGTGACTTTGAAAGCCATGTGTTCAAGATAGCAGAGCCACCAGATACAAAGAGACAGGACCCCTGAATCACTGTTTGCAGAAGAGTTCGCTGCTGATCAAGAACATCAGTTTAGCATTTTATGTGTGTGAAAAATAAACTTTTACTATAAAATGCACTGCTCTGTGGCAGTTGTTGTTTATAAAAGCTATTCTTACCCTAACAAATGCAGCTACTGCTTGGTATTATCAACGGACTCAGTTAGGAATGCATTCAGGACACATATGAAAGCACTACTCCACATGGCTAGGAGTGTGTGGGCAGCAGACCAGGGCTGGGATGGTGGCTGGGGATGGTGGTACAGGATCTTTCTTTCAGACATTCCACTCCCTCTTAGGAGGCCTATGCCCTTATGCATTTCACCTCATGGTCACGAGATGGCTGCTGTATCCCAGACCCTTATTCCAGGAAGAAACAAGAAGGAAGAAGATACTGAAAGGATGATACTGGTATCAGGACATAAGAAGTTTTCTCCAGACTTCTTGGCTTATGTCTCATTGGCCATAACCGACTCATGTGCCTACCTCAAGTGGCCAGAGGTCTGATATAAATTGTTACAGAGCACACTGAGGGCCTGGAGAAATGCCATGGTGCTCTTTAGAAGAAATAAGGGAACTAGGTAATGAGCAGTGTCTTAGTAATACACAGAACTAGTATACAGAATTTTAGCAAAGAAAAATTACTTAGGTTTCTGTGCCTGGCTGTTGCTTTGTCTAAAAACCTACATACTTCCTCTGTCCCAACATACACATTTTGACTGACAACTCTACCTTTCCCCTGTCTGAACATCATGCCACCTCTGACATGAATGCTTCTGTAACACATACAGACTTTTTTTAAGGTTTAATTTCAAACTTGCAATAAATTTGATAAGGATGCTACTTCAGCTTTTGTTTGAAATGTGCATTCTTGATGTCAAGTTGGAAAAGCATGTCTACAGGAGTAAAAAGTCATCTCGGAAAGCCAAACTTGATTTCATCCTCATGTCATCCCACTTTCCCAGCACCTTCCACCAGCTCAGCTCCCTGCCATCTCTCAGCTGTAGCCTGAGATCCTGAGTGTGCTACTTCATCAACAAAAGGACAGGTTTCAGCTCTCCTAGATGGAGAGTGCTTTTGACCAGTCACTAATAAAGAGCCAGAAGAGGATTTGCCAACACAAAAGATGGACCACATTTGAACAAGAAGGTATTTGGTGCATTCTGAAATGGAACTATGAGTTTGATTTTGCAGGCTGTTTGACCCGATCTTGAAGAATAGAAGTACCTGTTTTTGAATTAGAAATATATTCCTAAGCATAGCCGTCAACCTAACCCAACATACCAGCTTCCACTGAGAAGCTGAAATTTTTATCATTGGACAATGCAGACCCTATCACCATTGGTGAACCATTGGACAGATTCACCACATATGTCACTCTGGCTGAGATGAACAATCTGCATTATGCTTACAATGGGGAATGGGTAAAAATGTTACATCCAGTCTCAGGACTACACATTTTTCAAAAAGAAGCGACATAGAAAGTGGTGGCCTTATGGCATAGTGAAGGCCAGTGTCCTGAAACTGATTTGAAATCTTATAGCCAACATCAACAGTCATGGGAAGAAGGGATGCCTTATTAAGTTCAGATGACTGGTGTTCTCGATTATTCCCATTATGAATCAAAAAATATAAAACTGTGTTGTGTTTGATCCCATTTTAGCCTAAGTAGCCCAATCAACCATATGAAGCTCATAGCTCCTGTTGTTGTGTGGGTCCTGTCTGGCTTTCTGGAACTTGCAATGTGAACTTTAGCTATTTCTTCCCCTCTCTGTACTTCTGTTTATTTAGTTATTTAAATTTTCTGAGCCAGAATCTCACTTCGTTGCACAGGCTGGAGTGCAGGGATATCATTTTGGCTCACTGCAACCTCCGCCTCCCCAGTTCAAGTGATCCTCCTGCCCCAGCCTCTTGAGTAGCTGGGATTACAGGCACCCGCCACCATGCCTGGCTAAATTTTGTATTTTTAGTAGAGGTGGGGGTTTCACCATGTTGGCCAGGCTGGTCTCAAACTCCTGACCTCAGGTGATCTGCTGAGATTACAGGTGTGAGTCACCGCACCCAGCCTGTACTTCTGTTTTTATTGTTCCTAAAATGTGAAGAGTAATACCTGACCTACTTATATAAAAGACATAGTATAATGAAGTGATGTACTAGTAGGGATAATTATTAATTTAATTTAAGCCTACTGTGTACCTGGCTTGGTGTTACCTGCTTTCTGTAGAGTAGCAATTGATCCATACTCTCTAATAGCCCCTTAAAATAAGAGGTAAGTTTGTTATTTATTTATTTATTTATTTTTCTGAGACGGAGTCTCGCACTGTCTCCCAGGCTGGAGTACAGTGGCGCGATCTCGGCTCACTGCAAGCTCCGCCTCCCGAGTTCACGCCATTCTCCTGCCTCAGCCTCCCGAGTGGCTGGGACTACAGGCACCTGCCACCACTCCCGGCTAATTTTTTTGTATTTTTAGTAAAGACGGGGTTTCACTGTGTTAGCCTGGGTGGTATCGATCTCCTGACCTCGTTATCCGCCCGCCTCGGCCTCCCAAAGTGCTGGGATTACAGGCGTGAGCCACGGCGCCCGGCCAATAAGAGGTAAGTTTCTTATTACTGCAGGTGAGTACCCCTAGGCTCGAGAGGGTGAGCGATTTGTCCTCACATTCCTGGTATGTGGCTGAGCCTGGACTAGAATTTAAGTCTGCGACCATCATCCCTAGACCAGTTCAACGTTGTATCCATGAAAGATGTCAGTGTGATTTTAAAGAACTTAATGAAGAGTTTGGAATGAAGTGCAGCATTTACTATCTGTTTATTTTAACCTTTGCCTACCAATGAGGAAACAAATGTATTAGATTCTCTGAGAAACATAAAGAAAGACAGCTTAGCTCAAAACACAGCTTGAAATACAGGCCCTTGGAAAGAAATCATTCAGAAACCAAAGAAATACATCCCTATCTTCTTCACTTTACTATCCCCCCTGCCAGTAGGGAGAAAAAATTACCTGAGGACAGTTTTCAGAAACTTTTTCAAAAGATTTGAATTTCAGAATCTTTTTCAGATATTTGACTACTTTTTTCCTCTTCTTACTGACTAATAAATGAGGTAATGAAATGTAACTATTTGATATTTGGCCTCTGTGTATCTGTCTCTCTTAGAAGAAAATTTGGGGAAATGTTGACTATGTGGGGAGGACACCAGGAGTAGTAATTCTTCTATGGACTTTGTGTTTTTCTCTCTCCTTCACATGTCTGTGTATAAGCAGGTGGTCATCCAGCATTTCTTAGATGTAAAAAGGCATTCTCTCTGAAGCTTCCTGCTCCACAACCCTACTCACTTTGACCCCATATGGCTCTCTAGTGGAAAATATCTACATAGAGAATAATGTTCTGTTAGAGCGCTTAAAACAAAATGGCAGCCAGGTTTTTAAATACGCATATCAGCTTGGATTTGGAATGAATAGATGCTCCAATTATACTTGCAATATAAGTAGAAATTGCAGAAATTCATGGTTTTCCTAAACAAAGAAAACTGTAGGTACGTTGTTTGGTTTTAGTAATTAAATAATTTTAAAAAATAATTGCACATTCCTTTCTCTTCTTCAACTAGAAAAATTGGGATATGTTTCATGTTGGGGAATGAAACCCACTTAACAAATGTGTAGTCCACTCGTTCCTCAGGGATATATGTACTGAATTACATTTCCACTTGCACTACTTAATTTAGGAATTGATTGAATGCAGTCAGGTAAAGCGTGAGGCTTTTTCTTCCCCCTACACGTGAATGTGAGTGATAGAAAATATCAGCAAAGGAAATATTGGTATACAGATAATACCTGGTTGTAATACCTATTAAAAGAAAATGCACTTCTGTATTATTAAGGTAAAGCCTTAATGCTATGCATGCCCTTTGACCCAGCAATTTCACTTCTGGGAAACCATTACAAGGAAATAATTAAGAGCGTGGATAAAGCTCTTGGAGCCCTACAGTTGCCATGCAAACAAGGCTAGGCTGGCCTCGCCAAGGATGAGAAGTCAACTGGTCATCCAGCTGTCACAGTTGTCCTTGCTGTCCTAGTCAATATCAGCCACCAGATTTGCAAGTGAAGCCATCTGAGACTTTCCAGCCAAAGATGAGTCCCTAAAACTGAAGTCACATGAGTGATCCTATAAGACCAGCCGCAAAATACCCAACTGAGCCTTTCCCAAATTTCTGACCCACAGTATCACCATTCCAAACCTTTATGTGTAGTCTATTTCATTTGCCTTTAGAGGTAACCTTGATAGTAAAGATTCTGTTACCTACATCTCCAAAGATCCTATTAAGCAACCAGTGGGTATATTGGAAGGCACCAATGGAATGACCTGAGATGTCATAAATGCCATAGGTAATTATATTAGTTTGCTAGAGCTGCCATAATGAAGTACCACAAACTGGGTGGCTTAAACAACACAAATGTATTGTCTCACAGTTTCAGAGGCTAGAAGTTCAAAATTCAAGATGTTGGCAGGGTTAGTTCCTTCTGAGGGCTGTGAAGGAAGGATCTGTTCTAGGCCACTCTACTTGGCTTGTAGATGGCCATCTTTTCTCTGTGTCTCTTTCCATCATCTTCCCTTTAGGAATGTCTGTCTTTGTGTCCAAGTTTCCACTTTTAATAAGAACACCAATCGTATTGAATTAAGAACCACCCTAATGAACTCTTTAACTCAATTACCTCTAGTTTCAGTAAATACAGACAACTGTAAATAAATAGTTATGTGTTGAATACTATATAGGTACCAAGGTAGGGAGACAGACGGTGCACAGAAAACAAACTTTCTGTCTCTTCTGCTTCATCCCTTATCTCTGTTCCAGAAAAACTTGTCAGTTGGTGCTCACGCATCACAATTGCAGAAGCAGATTTCTCCCACAGCAAAAGAGTCTGGCTGCTTGGACCTCCCTCTATGGGGGCTCAAATGGCAAAAACCATATGCCAGCCTTCTGGGCCAGTAGAAGGGACAATAATTGAGGGCATCAGGTACTCAAGATCCAAGCTCTGTCACTCACCAGTTCTGACTCTGTACAAATGGGATGGAAAGTAATTCAAGACCCTTGTCTCTTCTTCCCCATTGGATTCTGCTGGGAAGGGCTCCAGTGTCTTCTTCCCATCACCATTCTGTTCATTCTTGCTCTTCCTCTCAGCTATGGCACCCATGGCTTTTCTTTTACTTCTCCATCCATCTTTGCTTGTGGAGAACTCAGATGACTCCATGAAGATAAATGGTTTTGGCAATAACAACAACACAACTACAACAGCAAACAACAACAACACAACTACAACAGCACAACAATGAAACTACTACAACACAACACAACTACAACAGCACAACACAATACAATAGCACAACACAACTACAACAGCGCAACACAATACAATAGCACAACAACACAACTACAACAGCACAACACAATACAATAGCACAACAACACAACTACAACAGCACAACTACAACAGCACAACAAAACTACTACACGACAACAACACAACTATAGCAGCATAACAACAACAATACAACTACAACAGCACAACACAATACAACAGCACAACAACACAACTACAACAGCACAACTACAACAGCACAACAAAACTACTACACGACAACAACACAACTATAGCAGCATAACAACAACAACAATACAACTACAACAGCACAACAGCATGACAACATCACAACTACAATGGCACAATACAACAGAACAACAACACTTGCTGAATGCTTTCTAGTGCCAAGCACTGTTCTGCCTGTTGTAAATGTATTACGTTTTCTAATTCTCACTGTCATACTAAGAAATAGGCATTCTGTTTATACTCATTACATACATGAAGAAACTGAGTCACGAGTTCAAGTGACTCTTCACAGTCACACGACTGTTAAGTGGGAGAGCTGAGATTTAAGCCCAACTCACACTATTACCCTATATAACAAAGAAAGAAAAGAGCTAACACTGTAGTAAACATCTCTTTCCTGGCAATGAAATGGGTGATATCCCCCCATGCTCCATGTGTCTTTTTCCACATCTATTACCACCAGATGTCCCTTTCTGAAGGGGGAAAACTATTTCACTGGAAAGCAAAAACATCTCGTGGCTTCCATGGTTCCCCAGGATTTCCAACCTTTTTCTTCAGTATTTTCCAACCTTTTTCTTCAGTATTTTCCAACCTTTTTTCCAAGACCCACTGTAAATGAGCACATGAAGATGTCACAGAGGCAACGGCCCAGGGACTGCAGCAACCCACACGTGGTTGACCTGAGCCCAATCGAGGCACTGTACCTGCAGTTTTGAAACCTGTGGGCAGACATTTCCCATCTTCCCAGGAGGGCTGTTCCCAATTCCTTCAGCCAACAAGAACCCTGAGGGTGCTTCCTCCATCAGCTGGCGAGGCTGCTCTTCTCATGCACCCAACACCACTTACGACAAATGATGGGTGAAAATGACCCAACCCTGACCATCAGTGATAAGGAGTAGACCCCAACAAACAAGAAGATTGTTTTCTCCACTCAGTCCCTTAAAGGAAGAAAAGGGCGCTTAGGATCAATGATACATCTACTAAATAATGATTGAACAATGCATGCTTATCCTAAGAAGAACCATGAATCTTCCTTTTTCTTAGTAGATACCACCAGTTCTGACTCCTAACCATTCAGCAGCCACATCACCTTCCCAATGAAAGTGAACAAGAGAGGCAACATGGACTTATCTTTGGTTTGCAGAATATTCAAGTGTCTCCCACATCACCAGCTTTCTAACCATCTCATCTGCCAGCCATTAGTGGCTGAATATGGGGTCCCATAAATGCAAAACTTAAAAGGACTGACTGCCCTGAATTGCAACTTGTTGCTTCTTTTCTTTAAAATTCTAGCAACTCAAGGCTGAACTCTTTACTAGGAAAACTATCCCAGGACTCTTCCCTGTCTTGGACCCCTAGACTAGACCAAGAAGGTGAGCACACCATGGTATTTCATGCAGTGTCTATCTTCTGAACGTGGGAATAGGAGAAACATGCTGTTCTGAGAGAAGAAAGCCACCAGACAATACAAGAGGCTTCCTCCCACGCTGGGCCATCTTTTTTATTAGATTTGGGAAGTTAGTACAAGGAGATAAGTTAGGTTCAGGCTATTGTAGCTGCCCCAGACAGCCAATTAGGAAGGGTCAACTTAAGGATTACTATGTACCAGAGACTTAGAACCCTATTGCCCAAGAACTTATGATTCCACAAATGAAGAGAAGACAAGCAACACACACACACACACACACACACACACACACACACACACACACACACAAGTGATTTGATAGTAATTCAAGGCAAACGTCCTTCCAGGTTGACTCTGATCCAGCCAGCTGCACAGCCAAGTGTTTGTCAAGGGGTTGAATCTCTTCCAATGTTTGTTTTCTCTTGTTGTTTCTCTCTCCTACGTCATCTCTTGAATTCTGGTCTCTGTCATGCAACCGCACTTTGTCCCCAACATTACTTGTTTCCTCTTTCGACAAGTACAAATTTAACATTTCACATTTTTAAAGCAAATATTTTCTCCATATCAAAAAATGACAACATCATTCTTCTGATTGCTCCAGCCAAAACTTGGGTGTCATCTTCCTTTCCTCTTATGTTTTCGTCATAGCTGCATCCAATTCCATATTTTAAAAATATATCACAATCTGACAACTTCTTCCCTCCCCCTCCCCTCTTTGGTGTCAAACTCCTCCTTTCCCTCCTCCTCTCCCCCCATCGCATCCATCTCACCTCGGCTAAATGGTCTCTCTACTTCCCTGTGGCACCCCACCTACACTGTCTGTTCTTATACCAAGGAGTCATCATCAATAATACCAGAGAGATGCAAAGTCCTTCCAACTCTCCATGATCTGGTTCCCATTACCTCTCTGACTATATCCTGCCTCCCATAGTGCAAAAGAATTTCATTCAATCAAGCAAGTAACTGAGGAGCAAATGGAGAGGCAAAGGAGAGACACAGCGTAATCACCAAGAAGGCTGGACAGTGAGGAGGCTGATAGATAAGAGTAGGACTTCTGTTTGCAGAAGAGAGAAGAAACATCATAGAGAGTGGCATATAAGCCTGTCTCTTTCCCTTTACTCCTCCGCATGAAAATGAAATCCTGCAGTAATCATATTCATTGTGTCAATTTACATGTACGCCATGTTTCATAAGATCCCTTGAGTAAGGTAATTAACACGCCCTGTTCTTCAATTGTTTGTCCCTTTCTTGCCTTCCTGTGAGTACTGCAGCCAGCAGCATCTCTGCCGTGGCTGGGACCTGCGTCACTCTGTCCGAGGTGTGCAATGGGTAGGTTCCTGAGGCTCTTGACTAGTGTCACCAAGACCGTGCCTGATACACTTATTTTTGTCCCTGCCCCCTCTCTTGTACAACTTCCCCCTACTTTAATAGAAAACCCTTCACCATTATAACTCTTCTGTTTCTCTCGGCATTCTCAGCGGGAGTGGAGGGATACCTTTACAAGCACAGGCAAATAAATGGTCCTAGGCTTTACTAAATTGATTAAATGAATTGCTTGTCATCCACACACTTCTATAAGGCAAATCATCCAAGCTGATGAGACAGATGAAGGGTTAAGGGGGTCATAAGGACAGGTTGGGTCCTGGGGAGAGGGGTCCTGTGTAAAAAAAATGAGTAAAACAAAAACAAATAGATAACACAGACCCAGTGAAATAAAATACCAAAAGCCAACATTTGCCCAGAACTTTACAGTTGCAGAGCACTTCCACAGACAAAGACTATTCTCACACTTTGCTAGCCCATTTATGGATCATGATTAGCAACTTGACTGTGGTTGCATAGGTTTCAAATCCTGAATTTTTCTTCAGGACAAATTTTGGGAGGCAGCTTTACCTTAAATACATCTATCAAAATTAGATATGCTAAATTTCCAAGATTTTGAAATCAGCCTTTGTTTTCCACTTTTTGGCATTTCTGAAACTGGGATGTACCCTACAATTGATGTGTAAGTTTAATCTGGCAGTGATTCTTTCTTCTTCTTCTTCTTCTTCTTTTTTTTTCCCCTTGGAGGGCTATTATTGGATCAATGGTGTGTGTTACAGTCAGCAGCATCTTAGGATCAAGGAAACAGAGTGTGCACACTTGTGGGAAATATGAGCATGGATGTGTGTACTTGCTTGTCTGGGTATTTCCACTCATTAGCTCCTTTTTACTACTAAATGCACACCAACACAGCCCTAGGGTCCTGGTAGGGCCCATGGTCCAGACTCCACTAGCCAGCCTACAGTCTTCAAGGAAAGCTACAGCCCTACACGATCAGTTTCTATTCTAAAGGGAGAAGCCTCCATAAGCTCCCAGCATCATCAATAAGCCAAGAAAACCCTGCGATTATCATTGTTGCTATATCCCTTGGTGCTCAGAGGATACCCTCAGAAGAGTTCAAACTCTTAGAGGTCCACGTTCCTCTCTGTGCCTTGTCCCTCTCTCTGTCAGCTCAGAGGGACAACCTCTCTGATCTGGCACAGAAACTCTCTCTTATCTGGCACAGAGGGGGACAGAGTCTGAGCCAGCACAGAGAGGGACAAGGACACAGGCCACATGCCTCTGTTCTGGGTTCCTATTGGAGACACCAAGGCCAGGTACTAAACTTATGCAAGAGGGAGCCGTCTTCTGCAAGTGAGGAAAAGGCTTCAGCATTTAAGCAGGATTTCTTTACAAATTCCTTAATTTCACCTTCCTGAATTTTACACTGAATTTTGTCAGTTTATAAATTTGCACTATAGCTCGGCACTGGGAAGAGGAGGGGGGCAGATAATCAAACCTACGGGCGTTTTACACACAGACACTGAAAAATAAAGACCATTAGCAAAAAGTATAATTAAATTAAAATGCCAACTTGCCAAGGAAGCTCAGTAAATGGGAAATATATCAAACTGTGATAATACAAATGGGCTATTTCTCAAGATGTGAGAATGTCAATGGAATAAACTCTGATAATTTGCTGACTTTTTATGCTGAAGGTAGAGTAATACCTTAAAAATAAATGACCACAATAACACACACACACACACACACACACACACACACAAAACCGTGCAGTATGTGCACAACTGTTTAACCATGCTAATATCACAAGCCTAGGAGCCCCCAGGGCTGGAAGATCTAGAAAAATCACTTAAAGCCCAATTTCTCCTTTTGGGTGAGTTGGCCAGACTCCAAATCCCAGCAGAAATTTTTTATTAGTCACTGGATCTACTTTCTTAGGTCCACTCAGCCTAATTTATTTTGAATGCGTGTTTGCCAGTTAAGTTTAACATATCCAGTTAACGATAGCTGAATATTCTCTAAAAACAATCTTATAATGAAGCTACGGTTCTTTGTAGAATATTGAAAATTACTTTTGGCATGCAAGTTCGTTTCCTTAATTCCTCTTTTAGTGTGCAAATAACCTTTGAAAACCTGCTTCTAGGTGTTTATGTGTCAGGACAGTATCAAAAATTATTCAATTGCCAAGTCACATGTCAACACTTCTACTACAAAGCCTCTGAGAACCCTGATTCTCACTACTCTGCTGCCCTCTAGTGGAAACCTGACAAATCCTCGCCTTCATTTCAATTTATTTATTTCAATGGAAGCATCGAATGGAAAACTCTTTGCATCACACCTTGATGGTAAGAGGCACTTTAGAAGTAGCAAACTTTAAATGACCTGAAAACTGGAGACTCAATTGAAATCCCTTGGAAGAACATTTAACGGAGGTGAGGCTGTCAAATATTTTCTAGTTATTTATCTAAGAATCACCTGCAGCTACAGCCATGCCTTGGAAAAAAAAGACGGGGGGCAACCCCTATGTTCATGTGATGGGCTCAATAGACTGTCTGCTCACGGGATGTTTGGGAATGGCTCAGTCTCTCAATTCTAGAATCACAGTGCACAGGCCAGAGTGTCAGGGGGAGAAGGGACATTTAAAGTTCAGTCATCCTACTGCTGGATGATTTCAAGCAACATAACTGAAATATTCAAATTCTTAGTTGAATTAAAGAAAAATCACTACATATATAACAGTACAGCAGGTATGCAGTTATCACAATGACGTGCAATTGATGAGTCATTTCATTTCCTTCCGTCATCTGATGAGAAGACAGACGCCCAAAGAGGGGAAGGGACTTGCCTAGCACCCACAACTAATAGGTGGCATAGCTGTCACCAGAACCCGTGTCCTGTGATTCATAGTTCAGGTATTTCCCTGTTACAACATTACAACAGGTGCCTTCAAAATTTATTTTTTACTTCTATGTTCGCAGCATGTGTGAAACACATTTTCATAATGTTGCAATGGACATTAACAAGTAACCTGACAAATAAGAACTGAATTATGGAACCTTATGGAACAATTACTTTTAGGAATAAATTAGAGTGGATTCCAGTTTATTCCCATAACTGCATCACTCTTGGAATCCATGAGTGGTTTGCAAGTGGTGCAAATACAGCCACGAGGAACTGTTCATGTGAGAAATAGAAATTTCGATTCATAAATACTGATGTGTGAGAAATGTAACTTTCTTTAAAAACTCAGTTTCTATTTAGACTCCCATCTCACTGAGTGATGGAAGCTTACTTTCAGTTGATTCAGTGTTGGTCTGTCTTCCCACTTTATCTGGATTTGAGTAGAGGGACCAATGTAGTAGGAAAGCACCAGAGAGACAGGTGCAGCCCTAGTCCCCAGTGTCATCATTTCTTCAAGGTGGCACCCGTGAGATTTCCTCATCCCTGTCAGGCGCTCCGTCAACAGTCTTGAGGCCTGCCAACCCCATCAGCTCCTGAATTAAACCCAGCATGCCCCCAGTGCCTAGGAAACTTCCACTGCTTCCCCACCATGAGCTGCCCTGTTGACCCAGGCATGGCACGTGGTTGTGTACACCCTGGAAGTTTTGTCCCCACCCCCAGTCTCTACTTGAGAAGAAGCATGATATTTTTGCTCTTGGATCTCCTCACTGATGTGAGGTTTCCATTGCCAGCACACCCACCATACACCCCACCCACCTAAAAACTGCATTTATGTGGCAAAAGGCAAGGCCATTCCTCAAAGACCCACCAGCATCAAACACACCTCATTCATTAATTCGGTCAATATTTGTTGAGCTTCTTCCCTTTGCACTGAAGATAACCCCATGAGTAGACTGACCAGGTACCAGCCCCAAAGGGGCTCACAACTTAGTGATGAGCATACCATTAAACAAGCAAAATGTACACACAATGACCTCAAGAAAGAGTGGGAAGAAAGTGATGAGGGGTGGTGAGGAAGGATCTGACTTCAAGCTGAGTGGGTGAGAAAAAGCCTTTCCAAGGAAGGGACATTTGAGCAGAGGTTTGCATAAACGTCCAAGCAGGTTCATTTCTAGTCTTGGAGCATGGAATCTCTCCTGGAACTTATCTATTCTTACAAAGAGGAAAAGCAAAAACATTTTATTATTGTGTGTTAGCCTTCTTGTGATCCATGAAAGTGGAGTTCTTAGCAGATAGAGTACACAGGGTCTCACAGAAAGTACAGAGAAAAATACCAGCTCATATTTCAAAATATTATTTCAGGACACATCCACTCTGGGCAGGCTTTGGGAGGGACATCCCTCGTGACAAATTATCTGCCATGTGTGATGAGGAGGCGAAAATAAGGCTGATAAATTGTGTAAAACAGCGTGGAGTTTCCTCAAAAAACTAAAAAGAGAACTGCCCTATAGTCCAGCCATCCCACTTCTGGGTTTAGATCCAAAAGAACTGAAATCAGTGTATCAAAGAGATATCTACACTTTCATGTTTATTGCAGAACTATTCACGATAGCCAAGATATGGAATCAACTTAAGTGCCCATCAACAGATGAATGAATGAAGAAAATGTGGCATATGCACTGTTGAATGTTATGCAGCCATAAAAAGAATGAAATCCTGTCATTCTCAGCAATATGGATGAGGCTGGAGGGCATTATGGTAAGTAAAATAAACCAGGCACAGAAAGACAAACACTGCCTGTTCTCACCCATATGTGGGAGCTAAAAAAGTTGATCTCATAGAAGCAGAGAGTAGAATAGTGGTCACAGGAGCATGGGGAAAGGAGGCGGGGAGACAGTAGATGTTGGTTAACTGATAAAAAATGACAGCAAGGCAGGAGGAATAAGTTATAATGTTCTATAGCATTGTAGGATGACTATAGTTAACAATTTACTTTATGTTTTCCAGTAGCCAGAAGGAAGGATTTTGAAGGTACTGAACAGAAAAAAATAATAAATGTTTCAGGTGAGAAATACACTAATTACCCTGATTTGAATACTACACATTGTTTACATGTGTTGAAATACTATTCTGTATCCCATAAATATGTACAATTACTACATGTCAACTAAAAATTAAAAAAATAAGGCTGATAGGATCACTATTTAGTCAGACCCCTGGTGGCTCAAGCCTTCCTTGAGGTTTATTTTTTGCCTCTGGAGAGTAGAGACCTCAGTCACTGTTGCACCCTCATGCCCATGCCCACCCAGTCCTCTGGCATGGTGGCATGGCCACAGTAGGCACCCATCCGAGAGGCCAACCTGAAGGAATGGATCATACCACACTCACGCAAGCAAGAGTCTGAGTAAGGCACCTCTAACTCAGGATAGAACTCCTGACTCCAATCAGGAATAGCCTCCAGAAAAGAAAAGTGCTTTTATGGGGACCTCCGCCCATTTGTTAGTCATTTATCCACATGAATCCTTAGGCCAGGAGTCCAAAATGCACATACTTTTGGAGGCTTAGACAGGTGACATAAATAAGAGAAGTGGGATGGCTGAGGGATGATTCTTCACTTTCCCAAAGAAATATCTTCTTTGCCATTTTCTTTGACTTGTTCTTCGCTCTTGTTGGTTCATTATTCTGTATGTTATAGGGACAAGGGAAAAAGAAAAATTTATATTCCTCTTTACTATTGGGCCATGAAAGAATTACAAATGACAACTAATTCTATGCCTCGATGGCAGAAAACCACCAGGGTGAAGAGAAGACCCTGGTGAACTGAACAGCATAGGTCTCATCTAAATAAGGAGGAGCTAGAGCTAATCATCCCCTCATGGGAATATGGACTCAGTGTTGCCTGCTGTTTTTTTCAAAAGAAGCTGGAACCTAACTATTCTTGTGAAATAGCCTAATATATTTACATGCACAATTCATACATACTCTTTTAAAACCCTGTGCAGGAAACAGGGGATACATTTTTGGTCCAGATTCAGGGTATGAATCAGCAATTTAGATCCTGAATTTTCATCATATTGTTCAGCTCTTGGGGTATCAACCAGATGTAGTAGCAGAAGTCTTGGCCTGTGAATCCAGAGGCTGGGGTGGGCATTCTCCTCTGTAAAAATGTGGACAACTTGTACTCCTCCCTGATCATCTCCTTAACTTCTCCAAACAAGGAGAGATTAGATGACCAAATTTATTTTTATATGCACATCTAGAGTGTAAACAGCTATCATAAATAGACTTTAAAATGCATGTGGCTTAAAAAATAAACAAAT
Organism: Homo sapiens; assembly: GCF_000001405.40. Taxonomy (NCBI): domain Eukaryota; kingdom Metazoa; phylum Chordata; class Mammalia; order Primates; family Hominidae; genus Homo; species Homo sapiens. Next base: position 51,986,890 of record NC_000016.10, read on the forward strand.
GAACAGAAGTTTCACTCTCCGTCACAGAACAGTCCAGGGTGTGACAGCTGGAGCTTTCCTCCACCCTGTGATTCCAAGATCTACTCTCCTGTGATTATGTTGGCTCCCATGGCCTTGCCATCGTCTACCTCTTGCTGCTCTCACAGAAGAGGTATGGTAGAGGAAATGAACACCTGCTTCTTGAAAATCATGGCCCAAGATCTATACAAATCATTTTTACTTACATTCAGTTGGTGAGAACTGGACACACAGCCACACCCAGGTGCAGGGTGTGACATGACTACACTGTGGAAGGGAAGAACAGATTTTAGTGGATGTCTAGCATTCTTTGCCACCTATCCTTCCAGAAAACGTTGCACATGAATCCAATATATAAAACGGTTCATCATGTAGCTGTACAAGATGAAGACAGAATAAGGAATTCCTAAACTCCATAATGAAAGTTGCATCACTGCTCAAAATATTTTTTGGTCATGGAGAAAGAAGATGTCTCTTTGTTGCACTGACATCAGGCTTGGCCATGTGACTCACTCTTGCCCAGTGAATGTAGCTAGAAGTGATGGGTGCTATTGTTAAACAGAAGCTTTGAAAGCCATGGTCCACCACTCTTCTATTTTCCTTCTGAAGGGGGACCAGTATGTCACAGAAAAGAGCTTCTTTTTCAGTAGAATTAGAATGAAGAAGATAGGAAACAAAATCAGAGCTGCTTTATGATAGTCATGTCATATGAATGAAAAATGCATCTTTAATTTTGCAGGTCATTAAGATTTGGTGCCATTTGTTACTGCAGTATAACTTGGCTTAAGCTGACTGATACACTCTCATGTCCGGTGTCCTCTTGTCTCATTAGGGGCCTGGGAAGCATCTCCTTATAACTTCTAGGACTTGGCAAAGTATTGGACCCAATCATTGCTGAGATCTCTCAAAGTCCCAGCATTCCTTGATTCTGTCTTCATGTGGTAGGGTCTCTATATTCCTAGAGGCTTTGAAGGACCTTTGTATTCCTAGAGCCTAACACTATGCAAGGTATAAAGTAGGTGCTCAGTAAGATTGCTGAACATGCAACATATTGTTTTGGCAATCTCCTGCAGCATGAAATTTTCTAATCAATGTCCCTCCCCACAGGCCATTCCTAGAGCGCCCTTCTCTCCCTCCCTCCACATGGTAGACTTCATATTTCAAGCCAAACTCAGGTGTTCTCTTCCCTATGACAGCCTCAGACCAGAGTCCGAAGAAGTGTGTCCCATCTCTGGATTCCAATAACTCTGAAATTTCTCTAGGCTCTTCCATGCTATATTCTTTTGGAAGCAATGCTTGGTTTAGTGATTTTTCATTCTCTCAGTTTCTAGGATATTGTCTGATTCAATAATAAGTCTCAAAATGTGCTTATTAAATAAATGAATCAATATAGTATTTCCAAATTTGTCATGATATAAAAACTTGAAAGAATTTGCTGTCAAATATGTATATTAAAATATAACCTTTATGTGATTTGAAGACTTTAATATGGGAAAAGTAATACCTTTTGTGTGAGATAAATTGTCCTTCTCAAGAACCTGCCACTGTATTATATTGTAAGGTACGTGTTATATATAAATTATAGCATTTGCCATGCATCTCCTCAGGCTAAATACTGCCCTTCCAGTCATATTTAAACAAATGTTTTTAAAGAAACTTTTCTCTGGGAGCAAAAGTACACCAAATCATTTACACTCTAGTATAAATTAGTTAATCAGTTCACAAGTTTTCTTCTCTCTCTCTCTGTCTCTCTCTCTATATATATACACACACACATATGTGTTTGCTATCATTTTAAATCTATTTGAATCTTTAGTTCTTAAAATTTCTGCCTTTTTACAAACGATGCATTCCTGAGAATGTCTTCCCAAGATTGTGCTTAAGTTTGGACTTTGGAAGCCATGTGGATTGCTGTGCTGTGGGGTTTGAATCTGTCTCCACCATCTACTGGTTGGTAAAGCTGGCCAAGACAGTCAAATTTCCTAGCTCTCATTTTCTCAAAATGAGATAATTGGTGGCTAATAAATGGTACATCAATCCACATGTATTAATCACTATGAAGGAAGAAAATGCATTTAGAATTTAGATTGATATAAATCATGGCATAAAATACAAGTTTTGGAGGCTTCTCCTTATATTGAACCCACCTGGATGAACTAAACAAAGACACCCTTACTCAAGAGGCTGAGGAATAAGGATCACTAAAGTCCAGGAGTTTTATACCAGCCTGGACAACATGGCAAAATCTCATCTCTACAACAACAACAACAACAACAACAACAACAACAATAATAATAATAAACAGGCATTGTGGTGTACTTGTGATCCCAGCTACTTGGGAAACTGAAGCAGGAGGATCTCTTGAGCTCAGGAGCTCAAGGTTGCAGTGACTTATGATGGTGCTAGTTCACTCCAGCCTGGGCAACAGAGCAAGACTTCCTCCCCACCTACCCCCAGAAGAAAAGGAAAAGAAGATGTTCTGAATGAGAGAGGAAGGTCTGAAACAAAGGTAATGAAAGCCTCTAGAACTTTCATTTACAAATCCAAGCCACCTTTTCTTCTGTAACTAAAACAACAGAAATATTTTCTTCTTTTTATTCAACTCCACCATCTTTAAATTGGAGACTCAATGAAACTGAAACTCCTGCCCTTCCAGAACTTAACCTGTTAAATGACTGTGCTTTCTTGCTACAACAAAAAACAATGTGGTACAAAGAAAACCAACCCTGGTTGGAGCACATATTTTTTTCTAAGGAGATTGATGAATTGCTTCACTGCATCCAGCAGAAACTGGAAATGATAACTCTTTCCCCCAGTCATAATGACTAACTGTTAAACTTGAAAGGATAAAACAAAGGAAGAATCTTGTTGCCTCCCCTAAGTTACAAGCACTACAAGTGGGACTGACACCTTTCATCTTCTCACTCACAACAGCTGGCTTCTGAGGAATAGCCTCCGGGGATGACAGGGTGGCTGGGGTGTGCTGGGGGTATCGTGCGGAGAAACAGCTGTTTCTCAGATTTGCTAGAAGGAAATTTTAATCAGGGTCAGGCTGAAATTGGTTTGTGCAGACTTGGGCCTAGTCATTCCTTTATGGGAGGCAAATGGCAAGGTGCTTTCTGGGTTACAAAAACTCCAAACTCCAAAGTCATGCTGGGACCTGCTTCATTCCTCCCCTAAGGCATCCGTGGACTGGCTTAGGTCCTTCTGCTAACTTAGGTTACCTGGCAGCTTTATCGTGTATATAGCAAAAGAACCTCTAGGCACACATGTTTTGCTGGCCCTTCTATTGAAAGGTGATGCTACTAGCCTCGAACAAAGAGATAGGCAGTGAGCACAGTTTAGACTCTGAATCTCCCAGTTCCCAAATGCGACGGTTAGTTTTATGTGCCAACGTAGCTAGGCTATAGGACCTAAGTATTTAACCAAACAATAATCTGGGTGTTCCCGTGAAGGTGTTGTGTAGATGTGGTTAACATCTCCAACTAGCTGACTCTAAATAATGGAGATGACCTTCCATAATGTGGGTCAGCATCACCCAATCGGTTGGTGGCCTAAAGAGCAAAAACTGAGGTTTTCCAAAAACGAAGTTGTGCCTCAAGACTCTGGCTTTAATTCTTGCTTGAGTTTCCAGCCTGCCAGCTCGCTCAGTAGATTTCTTTTTTATAATAGCTTTTAGGGTACAAGTGGTTTTATGTAACGTGGATAAATTATATACTGGTGAATTCTGAGATTTGAGTGCAACTATCACCTGAGTAGTGCACATTGCACCCAATGTGTAGTTTAGTGTCCCTAGTCTCCCTCCTACCCTCCATCTCCTGAGTTTCTAAAGTCCATTTATGACTCTGTATGCCTTTGCATACTCATAGTAATAGCTTAGCTCCCACTTATAATTGAGAACATTCAGTTTTTGGTTTTCCACTCCTGTGTTACTTCACTTAGAATAATGGCCTCTGGCTTCATCCAAGTTGCTGCAAAAGACATTATTTCATTCCTTTTGATGGCTGAGTAGTATTCCATGGTGTATATGTGCCACATTTTCTTTATCCACCCTTTAGTTGATGGGCACATAGGTTAGTTCCACATCTTTGCAATTATGTATTGTGCTCAGCACATTTTGGAATTGCCAGACCCCCAGAATCACAAGAGCCAATTTGTTAAAATAATTCTTTTAACATTGACATATATACATAAAACAAACATAGAGTTCTGCAAAACTAAAACATTCTAAGATGATAGTATACTATTTCTAGAACATTGCAAGTTTTTGCCTGATCCTGAGGTCATGAGGAATGGCTAAAGTCAGAGTGGTTAAAGAATTCCTTGATTTTTTTGCATAATTTTAGGGTCTTTTCCTGACTCCTTTTCTGAAAAACACAGAGAAGCCAAGATGGTCTGCCATTTATTGCTCCAAGGAAGAGAATGCATGACAGAGATAAAAACCTGAATCAATACTTAGCTTTTAAGTTTCAAAAGTCCTACCCTATGTGATCAGAGTGGGTTTGTGCATGGAATGGAAAGATTTTAGACTACAAATGGGGAAGAATTAAACACCTCTTTCTGTTAGCCATGCCTGCAGATTAGCTAATGATGCTTTGGCCCGAGTGGGGAGTTGGAGATGAAGAAAGTTTTGAGAAGGCAATATGGACTCTGACGAAGATCAGCCCTGTGCTCTAAACTCATCCCCTCCCACCCCTTCTCAGATCCTTTCTAGCTGTAGGGAATTCAAGGACAGAAGGCACAAGAGCCTAGCTTCCAGGTTAGAAGCAGGAAGGCAGTCAACCTTAGAATGAATAGCCATTCATTCATTCATTCATTCATTCAACAAATGTCTACTGAGTCTCTGCTGTGTGCCAACTATTGTCCTAGGTGCTGGAGTAGACAAGAAGGACCAAGTCTTCACCCTATGAGAGCTCACATTCCAATGCAGGCTCACCCTGTAAGAGTTCATATTAAAAGTTCTCACCCTATGAGAGCTCATATTCCATTACAGTGTTCCTCAACCATGGCTCTGTTGATAGCTTGAACTGGATTGTTCTTTGTTGTAGGGGCTGCTTTGTGCATTGTTGGGTGTTTAGAGGCATCCCTGGCCTCTACTCACTAGATACTTGCAGCAATCGCTCAGTTATCACCAACATAAAGGTCTACAATATGCTGAATGGCTGCTAAAGGTGGTGGATGGAATTAATGAACCCCAAGTGAGAAGCACTCTTCCAATGAATAAACACACCATAAATACACAAATAAAATGTTACAATACAGTGTCTAGTAAAGGTAAGTGGACAGGAGATAGCAAGGGATGGGGGCTGGTATGGTCAAAGACGATCTATCTGAGAAAATGGTATTTTAAGACTCCTAAATGAAATGAGAGAGCAAGCCACAAGAATATCCTTCAGAAGAGCTTTCCAGGCAGAAGGAATTGCACATTTATAGGCCCTGAGAAGGGAGTGTGTTTAGTGTGTATGAGGAACCGGTAAGAAGTCCAACCCAGTTTTGTATTACTCTCATTTTTTTCTAATGATTTTATTTAACCTTCCTGGAAACATTCTAGATGCTTAGAGTGTTCCAAGTGCAGAAAGCAAGAGGAAGAGTAGAAGGAGAAGATGTTGCAGAGGCTCCAAGGGCCAAATCAGGTGTGCCACATGAGGACGCTGGGCTTTATTTTAAGTATGATGGAAACCTGATGGAGAATTTTGAGCAAGGGAGCGATATGACCTGACTTGCTTAAAGGGGTTATGGGGGACAGGAAAGGCCTGGGAGCAAGGAGATAGTTTGAAAACCACTATAGGTATCCATCTGAATTATGATGGTGGCCACATTTGGGTGAGAGCAGAGAAGGTCATGAAGAGTAGTTGAATTCCAAGTATGTTCTAAAGGAAGGGATGATAGGATTTATGAGGATTTGGGTGTGATATGTGAGAAAAAGAAAAGGCATTTAGGAATTTTAAGTTTTGGGATGGATGGTGGTGTCATATACCGGGGGGTGGGTGACATTTGGGGAGAAGCATGTTTGAGAGGGTCATAGGAGTTAGGTTTTGATCACATTGATTTCAGAAAGCCTATTGAATATTTCACTGGAGATGTCAGTAGGCAGTTAGACATATAAGTCTAGAACTTAGGGAGTGGGTGGGGCTAGAAATAAAAATTTGCAAGGCATCAGTATACAGCAGAGTTTTCAAGAATAGGGTGAAATGGCTTACAGAGTGAGTAAAAATTGAGGAAAGATACAAGGATGGACACCTGGGGCACTGCAGCATTCTGAAATGACCCAGAGGTGTGGCTAGGAAGATACACTCTTTGATGGCCTCACGTTATTATGGCATGGGAGCGGCATAGTAACCCACACTGTCAAGAGAAGACAAAAGTCCAAGACAGGCCAGGACCAAAAAGGTTCTGTCAGTGGAAAGTACAGGTGACTCAGCTACCACTTTCATGAATTAAAGACAGCAGTCATCAGTGACCAGCACTTTTCAACACTGTCACTGTTGTGTACAGTAAGGAAAGACAGAGGAACAGAGATCAGGGGAAGCTAAGTGAAGACTACACAGAGAATCTATGCACTTTCTTAGCAACTTTTATATAAATCTAAAATTATTCCAAATAAAAGAATTATTATTATTTTTTTTGAGACAGAGGAGTCTCACTCTTGTTGCCAAGGCTGGAGTGCAGTGGCGCAATCTTGGCTCACTGCAACCCCCTGGGTTCAAGCGATTCTCCTGCCTCAGCCTCCTGAGTAGCTAAGATTACAGGCACCTGCCACCATGCCCAGCTAATTTTTGTATTTTTAGTAGAGACGGGGTTTCACCATGTTGGCCAGATAGGTCTCAAACTCCTGACCTCAGGTGATCCACCTGTCCCAGACTCCCAAAGTGCTGGGATTACAGGTGTGAGCCACCACCCCCGGCCAGTTTATTATGTTTTTATAAACAGGAGACAGTGTTTAAAAAATTGAAGAACAAGAAAGACTCCAGCTGCCTGTATCCTAATTAGAATGAGCACTTCTTAAATATCTACAATTTGCTGGGTACTGTGTAAGGCTTATTATCTGCATTTGCTTTAATAATTTCCTAATAACAATCCCCTAATAATCCTCTTGAGTCTGGAACATTTCACATTTATATAAGAATATAGAGCCCTTGGGAGACTAACCAACTTTCCCAAGTTTACAAAATATGGAAAGGGCAGGGCAGAAAATGCAACCCAGATTTGTATGAGTCTCATTTTTCTCTAATGATTTTATTTAACCTTCCTGGAAACATCCTAGATGCTTTGAAGACCAAATAAAAGCAATGGATATCTTGCCAGAAAATATATATGTACAAAGAATGTTAATTACCATATCAGGAGATTCATGGATACCTATACAGTATCCAGTAACCACCAGTTAAAAACCCATGTACCACGCCCCCCTGTATCTGAGATCTCAATTAGACAAAAGAAAAACAGATGAAGTGAAAGAGAAAGAAAACAGAATGGTATTCAAAGCCTTCTTTTGGCAGAGTTTAAAAATTTAAGCTTAGCCGGTGCCAGAATTCTCAATGTATTTACTGTTTCCATGATTTAAAATATAATAGAAAGCTGAGGTCTTACCCTGGTCTCTAACATGATCCTGGGAACATCTGGAAGGAGAAAGCAGCACAGGTGAGTAAAAGTCAGACACCACTGTGCCCTGGGCCATGGCATTTTCTGCTGCCTACATCCGGGGCTCCAGCAGGATACCTGGCCCCAGGCATTATTTGGAGAGGTGGCTAACATTAAACAAATAAGAAAAATCACTAACTAGGCCAGCAACACCTGTATCTGGAGACACACGATCCCAGCACACCTGCATGCCAAGAGCATTAGCTCATTACCGAACATATCTGAGCACCCTCAGAACACGTGGTCCTCGGTGACAAATTCAATTGCACTTGGCACAAAGCCATGGCGTTATTCACATGCCATGTCTCTGGGCCTTTGCCAAGGTTCTGCAGGATGTGGGACTCATTGAACACAAGTTGTAGGCCCTGCCCACAAAAATGAGAGGACAAGTAGGAGAACCAACGGAGGCAAAAACGGGACAGGGGATGAGAAGTAAGAGAGCAAAGTTACTTCTATACCCACATGATTATTTTCATTATTATTATTATCAACTTCCAATAAGTTCCCAAATTATTCCCATCCTCAGTAAAAATTTTCAGATTTTACTCATTTGGTTTATCTTAGTTCTCTTCACACCCAAAGACAAACATACAAGCATTAAATTTTTGGCACTCAAAAAAACACAATCAAACCTTATGAACTGGCACCTGTAAGACAAATTCAGCCCTTTGGAGGTGGTTTGCTCATTCTTCACTTTCATTCCATTTGGGGCAGCGGGCAGTTGTGCATTTCTAATTTGAAACTCTTGAAGCATTTTCTGCCTCCTCAGTTTGCCTCAGTTCCCACCTGGCCCACTGTGCTCCAAAGCCATGTGGATTTGCCACTCCATCTTAGAGAGGGCCAGCCATGCCCCTCTTCTCCTGCCTTTTCCTTTTCGTAAATGTGGAAACCAATCTATTAAGGAATAAAAAGATCACAGAAATTAAAAAGGAGAGGGAGGTGCCAGACCCAAAATCTGTCTTCTGGTGTGCCATCCTGTCAAAAATTGCAACATTAGGGTCCCATTCCTTTGGGTTAAGAATTTGTCTCTCAAGGAGCTGAGCAGAGAGGGGACAGCACAGACTATATCCCCAGAAACCTCTGCTATCTACTCAGAGGTGCTGCTCACTTTGGCATCTTGAAAATATTGTAAATCCTGCGGGCATGGTGGCTCATGCCTGTAATCTGAGCACTTTGGGAGGCCGAGGCGGGTGGATAACCTGAGGTCAGGAGTTCGAGACCAGCCTGGCCAACATGGCGGAACCCCGTCTCTACTAAAAATACAAAAATTAGCCAGGTGTGGTGGCACACGCCTGTAATTCCAGCTACTTGGGAGGCTGAGGCAAGAGAATTGCTTGAACCTGGGGGGCAGAGTTTGCAGTGAACTGAAATCATGTCACTTCACACCAGCCTGGGCGACAGAGCGAGACTCCGTCTCAAAAAAAAAAAAAAAAAAAAAAAAAAAGAAAATACTCTAAATTTGTGATTTAAGATGTGTGTGGGTGTGTGTAAATATGCATGTAAATATATTTTTATATATGTTATACATATACATATATATTTTATATACACGTAAATTCTCTCCATGGTCTCTCTTCCTCTTTGAGGCTTTTTTTCCTGCTTCTCCAAACCTCTCCAGGTTTTTTATTCAGATGTTGCTACTTGTAATCCTAACTCCAAAACATATCTATGTTTACTAATATATATATATATATATATATATGTGTATATGAATATATACTCATATATATTTTTATTTATAGATTAATATATAAGAATATATATTCTTATATATATTTATATATATAAGAATATATATTCTTATATATATTTATATATATAAGAATATTTATTCTTCACATATATATGAAGAATTTTTTTGTTGGAAAGATTTCAGATAGAAGCAGAGCTAGTGATCTGGCTGAAGGGGGTGGCGTAACACAGAGCCCCTCAGATCTGGCCCATCTGGAATCTTCTTCGTGCAGGGCTGTGCACTCACCTGTCTGCTTCCCTGAAAGACACTCCAAGCTCATTATCCCTGAGTGAGCGATTTTCGTGTTTTGAGTGCCATTTAGCTAAGCTCTTTGAGAGACAAATCCTTAACCCAAAGGAATGGGACCCTAATGTTGCAATTTATGACCAGATGGCACACCAGAGGAGGAAAGAGTTTGGGCCTGGTACCCTCCTCCCCCTCTTTAAACCATATGCCTAAGACTGGCAGTGACTCTGGGAAATGAACCAGTAGGGTTATCTTTTCCCTATGATATCAAATTTTACAACCCAGTCTGAAGGATCACTTTATTTCAAGAAACAGATACTCACTTAAGCTAGCTTTGGCAATAAGAAATTTATTGGAAGGATGCAGAAAAATCTCGTGAAACCTGTTTGAAGAACTACAGCTGGCCCTGGAAAGTCACCAGCACCCTCTCTTCTTTATCTCCTTATTTTGGGGACCACTTGAGCTCTCGCAGCTGTTTCTTTTTGCAAGCCTTTTCCATTCTCCCCATGGTCTCTCGTTCTCTCTGAGGCTCTTTTTTCTGCTTCTCCAAACCTCTGTGAATTTTTTTACTCAGATGTTGCTATTTGCCATCCCAACTGTTTATGGCCTCAGTTTCAAGGCCATCATGGCTGGCTGTATTTTTCCAAGCCCTTCATGTTTTTGAAAGAAAGACACTGATTGGTTCAGCTTAGGTCAGGTGACTCTCTCAGTCCAATCAGCTTTGGTAATAGGGCAAGGTCAACTGGAACAAAGAAAGTTACTCAGAGATAAAGGCTTCCATAAGACCACTAGGAGCATTCTGAAGAGAGGGACAGCAAGCTTCCTGAATCCGTGTTTCTCCTCCTTCCTACCTCACAGGGTTGAGGATGGAACATGGCACTCTGGCACAAGAACCACACATGAGATTAGGGGCAATAAGCTTCAACAGTTCCCCACCTACAGCACAGAAAATGCACTCCTCTCCAGTGATGGAATTTCCTCCATCTCTCCCCACCCTGCTGGGGCAAGTGCATGGGATGGACTAATTCAAAGCCTCTAGGGTAGAAAGAGAGGAGAAAGCTACAGGAGGCAGGACCAAGCTCAATCAAAGGAAGTGCAATGTAGCAGTGAAGGTGACTGTGGAGAGGACCATCCCCAAACCTCCAGGCTGGGGCTAGATGAAGAGGAGCTCCCTGCAAGGTGCAGGGCACCATGGCAGCTCCTGTGGCTCCTTCCTTCCCCATGTTGAGAGGTGAAGGCAGCTGGGCTTCTGGGTAGCTGGGGACTGGGAGAACTTTTGTGTCTAGCTAAAGGATTGTAAACGCATCAATCAGCACTCTGTAAAATTGCACCAATCAGCACTCTGTGTCTAACTAAAGGATTGTAAATGCACTAATCAGTACTCTGTAAAATGGACCAATCAGCAGGATGTGGGCAGGGCCAAATAAGGGAATAAAAGCTGGCTACCTGAGCCAGGAGCAGCAACTCCCTGGGGTGCCCTTCCAGGCTGTGGAAGCTTTCTTCTTTTGCTCTTCACAATAAATCTTGCTGCTGCTCACTCTTTGGGTCCACAGTACCTTTATGAGCTGTAACATTCACCGCAAGCATCTGCAGCTTCATTCCTGAAGTCAGTGAGACCACGAACCCACCAGGAGGAACAAACAACTCCGGACATGCCCCCTTTAAGAGCTGTAACACTCACTGCAAAGGTCTGCAGCTTCACTCCTGAAGTCAGCGAGACCACGAACCCACTGGAAGGAAGAAACTCCAGACACATCTGAACATCTGAAGGAGCAAACTCCAGAAACACCATCTTTAAGAGCTGTAACACTCACCGTGAGGGTCCGCAGCTTCATTCTTGAAGTCAGCGAGACCAAGGACACACAAGAAGGAATAAATTCCTAACACAATGGGTCTGTCATCTCATAAGTCACACATTATTTAGCAGGTTAAGAAAGATTCTACATCTTAGCATACCTGCTTCACTTGGCCCATCATTGCTCCATGCTTTATTAGGGGAGGTAGCAGCCTATACAGTACAAGCTAAGAATAGCCAATAGAACCCCCTTCCCCCAAACCCCTTCCTGCCTGCCCTCCTGAGGTAGGAGAGCTCCACACTCCAGCTATACTTTAGCCAAGCTAATGTCCAAGCAGCAAGGGGTGGAGAATACAGAGTGCCCAAGATATGATAGGAGATAAAACACAATCCCACAGGAAATCAGCTATAGGAATTATGAAACATAAATCACAGTTCTCCTTGTTCTGTGACCATGTCAACAGTGCAAATTTTATATCTAAATAGAAATGAAAAGCAAATAACTCATGGGATGATCTACTTCAATCATGCCATAATATCAACCTTTAACGAGAAAGGTGTGCATATGTGTCTGTGCATATGCATGTGGGGAAGAAGGCAACTGGAATGTGGTCAAGCTACTCCCTGAAATTCCACCATGTGTCCATACTGGGGCTAAAACCACAAGCATAAGATTTTGGCACCTGTATATACAATTTGCCTTTTTTAAACACCTTCAATTTCTAGAGTAGGCAATTGCTCAGTTCTCTTTCGGTTCTAAAGAGAACTACTCTGGTGCTAACATGGCATATTCTCATGCCAGCATTCTATTTTCCTTTGCTTTCTGGCTGATGGTGATCTCAGAGGTGAGTCCAGAGTAACCCTTCTGGGAGTGCTCCCCAAAACATGCACTCGGAGTGACATTTCAGGGAACTCTGGATAATGCCTATGAGGTACTTTGGGAAGTATTCTCTTCGTCTCTGGGCCCCTAAGAGCTCAGTCATGGACTGCCATGGGGTGGGCGTTATTGGTTTGAGTTGTGTGGCCCACAGGGCAGCTGTTCTGCAACAAAGAGAGGCTTTTAAAATGCAAACACCATGGTACTCCCCACCTTCATCTGATAACAAACACCCTTCAGTGACTTCCTGTTGGTCCTCTGGGATGGAGATGATGGGTGATGGGTCCATCTTCTGCTAAAGTGCCCTTACCCCTCACTGTGCTTACCCTTACCCTCATGCCCCAGCCTTGTGGCCTTCTCCAAGCTCTCAAACAACCAGACACCCTCCTGTCACCACCACAGCTTTCCCCCTTCCTTCTCCTTGAAATGCCACTGTCCTTCCCTTCCACCTTCAATTCACATCTACTTCTCTTTCACATCTCAGATCAATGTGACTTCCTCACCTACACCCTGATGGGGTCAATCTCTCCTTTTAAGACCCTCAGAGCACTAAGCTTCTTTTCTTCCTCCTACAGTTAGGATTTTCAATCTCTACTTTTCTTTTTTCTTTTAAGAGATAAGGTCTTGCACTGTTGCCCGGGCTGGAGTGCAGTGGCACGATCATAACTCACTGGAGCCTTGAACTTGAGTGATCCTTCTACCTCAGCCCCCTGAGTAGCTAGGATTACAGATTGGAGGGAAAGTTCCCTAGGGTATCATCCATGTCTGTCTTGTTCACTGCTCTACCCGGGGCCAATAACAATGCCTGATGCATAGTAGATCCTTATCAAATATGTGTTGTATGAATGGAATGAGTAAAAGAAAGAATGCTCACATGCCAGCTCTTATAGACAAGGAGAGGCTGGACACAGTGGTTTATGCCTGTAATCCCAGCACTTTGACAGGCCAAGACAGGAGAATCCCTTGAGCCCAGGGATTTGAGACCAGCCTGGGCAAGATGGTGAGACCCCTTATTTATAAAAATTTAAAAATTAGCTGGAAGTGGTGATATGTGCCTGTAGTCCCAGTTACTCCAGAGGCTGAAGCTGGAGGATCACTTGAGCCAAGAGTTGGCTGCAGCCGAGAGGCTGCAATGAGTTATGATAGCACCACTGCACTCCAGCCTGGACAACAGAATGAGACCCCAAATCCAAAAAACAAAGAAACTGAAGAAGTGTAAGGGAGACACAAAGAAGAGCTACATATGCAATCTTAAATCTTGTAGTAGACATATTCCAAACAAAACAGGTGAAATTAACTTTATTTTACTTTTTTACCATACTCAGTCTTTGAAATATGGTGCATATTTTAGACTTAACACAACTTCTCAATTCTAATGGTTACTATAGCAAATAAAACAGCTCTAAATTGATGAGCAACCTTTATCTTGAAGTCAGTGGTCACTCTGAAGACTTAGATGGTGGCTGTACCTTTAGAGGTTTTATAGGGGGCAGCAAATTCAACCCGTGGGCAAAATCTGGCCCGCTGAGTGTTTTTGTACAGACTGCAAGCTCACGAGGTTATATATACATATATATATATATATATATATATATATATATATATATATATATATACACGAGGTTAAGCGATTCTCCTGCCTTAGCCTCCTGAGTAGCTGGGATTACAGGCACGTGCCACCACGCCCAGCTAATTTTTGCATTTTTAGTAGAGATAGGGTTTCACCATTTTGGCCAGGATGGTCTCGATCTCCTGGCCTCATGATCCGCCTGCCTCGGCCTCCCAAAGTGCTGGGATTACAGGCGTGAGCCCCTGCACCCGGCTGGTTTTATATTTTTTAATGATGGGGGAAAAAATCAAAAGAAAAATAGTATTTCGTGACACATGAAAATTTTATGGAATTCACATTTTAGTGTCTGTAAATAAAATTTCATTGAAACAAAGCCATGCCTATTTGTTTGCATATTGTCTACGCTGTTTTGTGCTGCAGCAGCAAAGTGAAGTAGTTACCTATGGCCTGCAAAACCTGAAATATTTACTATCTGGTTCTTTATAGAAAAAGTTTGCCAACCCTTGGGTTTAGGGTTGCCAGATAAAATAGATGATGCTCAATTAAATTATTATATCAGATAAACAGCAAATGATATTTAGCATGTCTCAAATATGCACGGAACATTCTAGTACTAAAAACATATTTGACGTATGTCTGAAGTTCAGAGGTAACTGGGGATCTTGTAGTTTTATTTGCAAATCTGGCAACCCAACTGGGCTAGAATATAATTATTTACTCACCGTAAAGACCTGTCAATATCTCATTGACATAGAAGAGCAAAACGTAGTAATGAAAAAGACTTTCTGCTCTTCAAATCAACCATGAACCTTTTGGAAACCTTCACTTTAGTTTGAACTCAGTTCAAGGGCACTTGGAGTGACTAAGACTCAAAAACAGTTATTAGGACAATGACTTAAACTTTATTTTATTCATGTTCAAGAAGATGAGCTCAGTCAGGCCTAGGTTAGAAAAAAACGCCTAAGAAGCATTCTTGTTTTGTATTAAAATAGTTAGAAATATATTCTAAATACATGTTTTTCAAGCACATATGCCTATATCTTATTAGTAGTAGTATTTCATGCTTTTTATAGTCAATTTTGCACTTTTAAGATAGGAATCAGCATCAAGGAACAGAAATCCGATTCATAACCTTTACACAGGGGGTAAGGGAGTCCACTTCAAAGAGCTTGACTCTCAAATATCCTCCAGGAATAAATTAAACCAAAGTCAAGGGTCACCTACAAAAATTAACTTTGGCTTCTTCTTCGTTTTGCTGAAAGCCAACCCTACAATTGCCTGGAGACGTTGAAAAGAAATGTTCCCTTCAGCCGAACATGAGTAGGCTTATGTAAGACACAGGTAAGTTCTCCATTACCGTCTGGGCCCTGGGCCGTTAATATTTGATGCACTCCTCATCATCTCTGTTTGTGTAATTTGTCAACGCCCAACAGGTCCTCTGCCAGCTATGCATTAAAACTATTTTCAAAATATGTCATTGTCAGCCCTTGGCACACTCATTACTTATTAAGATAAGAGGCCGGATGAGGCAAACAGGAGGTGGCTTGCTTACTTAAACACACTTGACTCAACTGCAGAGGAATCAAGCTATCTAGAGAGTCACAAGATGGAATGGCTTCTAGAGCCCTTCCCCTCTTTATTGGACAGATGGAGAAACTGAGGCCCAGAGAGGGGAAGGGCTTGCCCAAGGCCATACAGAAATTTTATGGCAGAGATGGAAACAGAACCCAGGTTACTTAAGCTCTCAGTCCAGACCCTCCACCACCATTATTACTACATTCTCCTGTGTGCACACATTTTAAAAAGAGGAACAACTTTCCAGCCATTATGTCTTTGAACATCAGGGTCAACCAAAATAGCAATTAAGACAGTGTTTTTCAAGTATTTATTTTCAATACTTGAAAATTAGTTTTTCAAGTATATATTTCAACCCCTAATGATACTTAAGATGATTTAAGATGTCAGACACATAAACTTTTAAAATCAAATATTTTTATTTTATTGCATCACAAAACATACATCAAAGTTATGATTGAGGGGGATGTGCACCAAACCCATGAATTTGTAAGTATTATTGCTGAAGTCAAAGCCAAGGCATGAATAGGGATTTAATTTAAAATCAATTTCAATATCATTATTACACAACACATATTTTCAGTAACATAACACATGCATCTTTTAAAAATTACTTTATATCATCAACTTCAGTATTTTAAAGATAGGTGGGCTGGGCGCAGTGGTTCACACCTGTAATCCCAGCACTTTGGGGAGGCCGAGGCAGGTGGATTGCCTGAGGTCAGGATTTCGAGACCAGTCTGGCCAACATGGTGAAACCCTGTCTCTACTAAAAATACAAAAAATAATTAGTCAGATGTGGTGGCGTGTGCCTGTAATCCCAGCTACTCAGGAGGCTGAGGCAGGGGAATTGCTTGAACCAGGGAGGTGAAGGTTGCAGTCAGCCGAGATGGTGCCACTGCACTCCCAGCATGGGTGACAGAGTGAGACTCTGTCTCAGAAAAGAAAAAAAAAAGTGTCAGCATTCAGGAACTAAAATTAAAACACTCGCACAACTCATGATAGCACAGGTGTTTACAGACAGCAAGAGTAATAAAGGTGATATTGGAAGAACCAATGTTTAAGGAAAACTTAAGTTATAATATTTAATTAAAAATTATTAACATAAACCAGCAATACTTAAAAATTTATAATGTAAAAGGGTGTAGTTATAAGTTACAACTGTAAGTTAAAATATAATACCTAAGCATACTATCACACATGAAAAAGAGAAAGTCCTAGAATATAAACTATTAAAATGGTCCGTGTTTAGGCCCAATGCCTCAGCCTTTGCTTTAACTCCCCATTTCTGAGGTCCCAGTGTTCACATTCTCACCGATTCCCTGTGACATAGCTTACTCTTAGATAATTCAAACTAAGGTGTTCAGACTGTCCTGTATCAATGTACTCACCATTCCTGAAACAACTGCTTTCATATTGGAGGCCCATGGGCCTTCTCCACTCAAGCCAATGAAATGAAGCATTAATGGTGGAAATTCCAGGCCTCATCTAGAAATGGGAAGAGCTACTGGAAGGTTCAGCAGGCCTGCAATATCTGCCTAGATTCCTTTTTGTCAAACCAGTCAACACAAGGCCAACCAATAGAATCTCAGTGTATTATATTTTGGTCAGAAGAGTGATATCTGATAGAGGCCACTTCAGAATCCTAATGTTTTCTTTATAGAAACCTCAAGACCAAGAAAAAGAGTAAGGACTAGTTCTTTGCAGATACAGCAATAATGGATGATTTGAGGTTACATGGAAACAAGATCATTGGAGACTTCCTTACCACAGCCACAGTTTTGCTCAATTTAAGCCTACACAGAGCCTACTTCTGCAGGATGTGCTGCAATTCTTGTGTGCTCTGTGAGGAAAACAACATCATCTATCTTATTCCCCATTGTATGCCCAGCTTAAGAGCACAAAGAGGGCATGCAACAAAAATGTGTTCAATGAATAAATGAATGTTGAATGCTTGCTAATGCATTTTTTAATTAATTAACTCGTTAGTTAATTTGTTAATTGAACAAACCTATTCTCAAAGTGTGGGTCAAGTTCGCTCACTCCATCCACAGCTATTACATGCCTGCTCAAGCCAAGCTAGGGGTGTGTTGAAATAATAAAGGCCTCCAGGCTCTTCCTTTGGGGCTCATTGAATATTTCCCGACACTTGACAGTTTATCAAGCGCTTTCCTGTGGATCATCTCATGGGGCTCATGTCTACAAAGCAAGCATGACTGCCATTTGACATTGGTGACAGTGAATGTCTGATAAATCAGGGATCTTGTTTCAGGTCACTCAGCTAGCAAGTGATACGGGCAAAATGAGGACTTAAGTCTTTGTACTCTAAATCCTGTTCTTTCTTCAGAAACCAGTGCCGCTCACCTTTAACTTCCTTATGAAACACTCGTAGATCTTGTTAACCTGAAGACACTGCTCCAGCAGGTCTGGGGGAAGGGGCCTGAGAATCAGAATTTCTAACAAGCTCCAGGCACTGCTGCTGCAGCTGATCTGTGGACCACACTTTAAGCATCAGGGCTCTTAACGAGACCACTGCTGTCTCACCTGACTCCAATCATCCCATATCTTACAGCTACTGGGGCCCAGAGGAAATAAGTATGTTAAGTTTGGCCCTTAATCTTGTTAGAGATAAAATTCAAAATAAATGCACAAAAACCTAACTGAGCTCAGCCATACACACTGGATCACCAAGGGTCCTGACTTTTAAGATTTCTACCTCTAGAAACCGAGACCACTGTAACTAAAATAGTATGGCATTAGATCATCAGGCTCAAAGTGCAGCATTGCCAATTCCAGCCATGCAACTTTGATAAAGTTATTTACCCTCTCTGAGGCTGGGAAAGGTTCATTTGGAAAATGGAGGATGTGTTAATACCACTAGAAGAGATGGTAGAAAAGTTTAATGAGGTGAGATCTGCTTATTCCTAAAATGGGTCTTTTCGAGGCAGTTAATGCGATCTGCTCTCACTTAAGCTAAAACAGGGTCACCCCTAAGGGGTGCACAGCACCAGACAAATATTTCCTGCAGGGTCTCTGCCTATACAATGAACTTCTTTTTTAAAAAATGTTTTACAAAATTCATAGGCTCATGTGAAATATAGTTACTTATTAATGAAGATTGAGAATAATAGGTGGAAAAGAGGTATTTACATAGTTGTTTTTTAATCAAATCAATGCAGAAGATTCTTCCTAGTGTGTCCAGGCACGATCTCCTCCTATTCAGATTCAAGAACCATCTCTCCATGTTCCTTTTCATCAGGTGAACAATTCCTTGTTAATTTTACATTTCTGCTGCAAGAAAAAAAAATAGCAACAATTATTCCTTACACTGCCATGGCTCCTTCTTAACCTGTTTGCTTTGAAACAATATAGATCTTCACCCAGCTGCTGTCTCCTAACTCTAACTATTAATGCTGATTACAGCATTACTTACACAGCTGCATCACCTTCCAATGACTCTAAGAGGTTGCCACTGAGCTTTGTTAATAATGACCACAAATCCAAGTCTTACCCAATGTATGCAGACCAAGACTATGATGATTAATGTTCTCTGTGTGTTAAATTTACTGTTCCAAATTGAATGGGTTAAAAAGTAGAACAACCCATCTTCCCACCGTGTCTTCTTTTGAACTCTGTAGATTGCAATTGCTGCATTTATAGAATGTGATTGCTTTTAGTGTTGATTGGCCTCTACCTTCCATGTAACTACCACAGGGAGCATAGGTGAGTTTCTATGGCCAGAGGAAGACAAATGAGATGTCCCTTTAGTGCAAGCCATGTTCATCCCTTGCCTCATGTGCCATAGGACTGACCTGGGAGGGCAAGACTATCACATCTCCTGAGGCAGGAGAGGACATGTGAGTCCCTGTGGTGATACAGAGCCGTGGTCTAGGGAGCCCGTGAAGAAGACATGTGTGACCGCTCCTGACACCTGATGTGGAACCTATGGAGGGGATGGGGTAGCCAACCCAGGTGTCGGAGTTGGGGGCCCACCATTCTTAGGAACTGATTCTCTACATGAATGGTAGAGAATACTTGCATGGCTTACATGTGTCGCTAAGCCCAGGGTCTGCAGGGGACTCTCTGTAGCCAGAGCTACACTGTCCTATGTCTGCTGTGAGAATTACCCCAAATCAAGGTGTCAGCACCATTCTGGCTGCAGAACCTCATACAGTTATACCTACAGTGGGAGCAGTCAACTTCTTGGCCACCTTCCTGGAAGCTAGGTGGCAGATTGACCCCACATGTGAATATTTGCAATTAGACATTCAGAAAGTGCCCTGAACAGGAGGAACCTGGACCGGGTCCATGGGAATTCCCACTTGGCTCAAACACCCCACCAGACTCATCCCAGGCACAGATGAAGGTATTTAAAATTTTTCTAGCATGTTGTTTCAAAGCAATGGGGCTTCTGAAGGCAAGGCCAGGGCAGGGGTTCCCTTCTCCGACCCTAATGATTTTAGGGCTGTGTAATGGCAGGAATGGGTTAGAGAGGACAGAGGCTTAGCTCTAGACTTCTCCTAGCATCCTAGGGCAGACTTGGCACCACCTGGGGGTGGTGGGGAGCCCCTCTCCTCTGAATGTCTGTTCTCTGCTAATAGCAAAGTGGACACTTAGAGACCAAAGGGACATGGGCCCCCTTTTAACAGCCTGCTGGGGTCAGGAGTGAGGCAGGCTCTGGGCAGTGATGGATTGATCAGGAAGGGACTTTAGCCTCTGCACAGCCCAGGTGATGGGTGATTCCCTGCACAGGATAGGCTGATGGGAAACCCTTAGCTAGGCCTGCCACACCCAGAAACCACCCCTGGGTGGTGAGCGAGGGCCCACAGACTGCAGGAAAGTAGAATTTCTCCTTAAGCAGAATAAACTTCCTGTCCATTTAGATAACCATCTGATGAACAAGAAGACAGCTTCCATTCTTGAGGAGCTTCAAATTAGATGGGAGTGGCGGAGGGGAGGGAGGGAAAATTTTTAACAACAACAACAATAATAGACCAATGGAATAGAGAGGGAGGGGAGAACTAAGCAAGTATTATTTGGCCGCCACTATTGCCAAGCCTTATGTGACCTCAGTCCTTCATTTAATTCTCCCAATAACCCTGGAGGTGCTTTCACTAGTCCCATTTTGCAGATGAGAAAATTGAGCTCAGCAAAATTTCAGTAACTTCCCCAAAGCCACACAGCTAACAAACGATACAGTCAAAATGAGAATGCAGCTTTGTTTCTTAATCCCTGTCTGTTTACATCTCTTTTTTTATTATTATTATTGTACTTTAAGTTTTTAGGGTACATGTGCACAACGTGCAGATTTGTTACATATGTATACATATGCCATGTTGGTGTGCTGCACCCATTAACTTGTCATTTAACATTCGGTATATCTCCTAATGCTATCCGTCCCCGCTCCCCCCACCCAACAACAGGCCCCAGTGTGTGATGTTCCCCTTCCTGTGTCCATGTGTTCTCATTGTTCAATTCCCACCTATGAGTAAGAACATGCGGTGTTTGGTTTTTTGTCCTTGCAATAGTTTGCTGAGAATGATGGTTTCTAGCTTCATCCATGTCCCTACAAAGGACATGAACTCATCATTTTTATGGCTGCACAGTATTCCATGGTGTATATGTGCCACATTTTCTTAATCCAGTCTATCATTGTTGGACATTTGGGTTGGTTCCAAGTCTTTGCTATTGTGAATAGTGCCGCAATAAACATATGTGTGCATGTGTCTTTATAGCAGCATGATTTATAATCCTTTGGGCATATACCCAGTAATGGGATAGCTGGGTCAAATGGTATTTCTAGTTCCAGATCCCTGAGGAATCGCCACACTGACTTCCATAATGGTTGAACTAGTTTACAGACCCAACAACAATGTAAAAGTGTTCCTATTTCTCCACATCCTCTCCAGCACCTGTTGTTTCCTGACTTTTTAATAATCGCCATTCTAACTGGTGTGAGATGGTATCTCATTGTGGTTTTGATTTGCATTTCTCTAATGGCCAGTGATGATGAACATTTTTCCATGTGTCTTTTGGCTGCATAAATGCCTTCTTTTGAGAAGTGTCTGTTCATATCCTTTGCGCACTTTTTGATGGGGTTGTTTGTTTTTTTCTTGTAAATTTGTTGGAGTTCATTGTAGATTCTGGTTATTAGCCCTTTGTCAGATGAGTAGATTGCAAAAATTTTCTCCCATTCTGTAGGTTGCCTGTTCACTCTGATGGTGGTTTCTTCTGCTGTGCAGAAGCTCTTTAGTTCAATTAGATCCCATTTGTCAATTTTGGCTTTTGTTGCCATTGCTTTTGGTGTTTTAGACATGAAGTCCTTGCCCATGCCTATGTCCTGAATGGTATTACCTAGGTTTTCTTCTAGGGTTTTTATGGTTTTAGGTCTAACATTTAAGTCTTTAATCCATAGTAAATTAATTTTTGTATAAGGTGTAAGGAAGGGATCCAGTTTCAGCTTTCTATATATGGCTAGCCAGTTTTCCCAGCACCATTTATTAAATAGGGAATCCTTTCCCCATTGCTTGTTTTTGTCAGGTTTGTCAAAGATCAGATAGTTGTACATATGCAGCATTATTTCTGAGGGCTCTGTTCTGTTCCATTGGTCTACATCTCTGTTTTGGTACAAGTACCATGCTGTTTTGGTTACTGTAGCCTTGTAGTGTAGTTTGAAGTCAGGTAGCGTGATGCCTCCAGCTTTGTTCTTTTGGCTTAGGATTGACTTGGCAATGCGGGCTCTTTTTTGGTTCCATATGAACTTTAAAGTAGTTTTTTCCAATTATCTGAAGAAAGTCATTAGTAGCTTGATGGGGATGGCATTGAATCTATAAATTACCTTGGGCAGTATGGCCATCTTCACAATATTGATTCTTCCTACCCATGAGCATGGAATGTTCTTCCGTTTGTTTGTATCCTCTTTTATTTCATTGAGCAGTGGTTTGTAGTTCTCCTTGCAGAGGTCCTTCACATCCCTTGTAAGTTGGATTCCTAGGTATTTTATTCTCTTTGAAGCAATTGTGAGTGGGAGTTCACTCACGATTTGGCTCTCTGTTTGTCTGTTATTGGTGTATAGGAATGCTTGTGATTTTTGCACATTGATTTTGTATCCTGAGACTTTGCTGAAGTTGCCTATCAGCTTAAGGAGATTTTAGGTTGAGACAATGGGGTTTTCTAGATATACAATCATGTCAGCTGCAAACAGGGACAATTTGACTTCCTCTTTTCCTAATTGAATGCCCTTTATTTCCTTCTCCTGCCTAATTGCCCTGGCCAGAACTTCCAACACTATGTTGAATATTTGTGGTGAGAGAGGGCATCCCTGTTTTTTGCCAGTTTTCAAAGGGAATGCTTCCAGTTTTTGCCCATTGAGTATGATATTGGCTGTGGGTTTGTCATAGATAGCTCTTATTATTTTGAGATATGTCCCATCAATATCTAATTTATTGAGAGTTTTTATCATAAAGAGTTGTTGAATTTTGTCAAAGGCCTTTTCTGCATCTATTGAGATAGCCGTGTGGTTTTTGTCATTAGTTCTGTCTATATGCTGGATTAGGTTTATTGATTTTCCTATGTTGAACCAGCCTTGCATCCCAGGGATGAAGCCCACTTGATCATGGTGGATAAGCTTTTTGATGTGCTGCTGGATTCAGTTTGCCAGTATTTTATTGAGGATTTTTGCATCGATGTTCATCAGGTATATTGGTCTAAAATTCTCTTTTTTTGTTGTGTCTCTGCCAGACTTTGGTATCAGGATGATGCTGGCCTCATAAAATGAGTTAGGGAGGATTCCCTCTTTTTCTATTGATTAGAATAGTTTCAGAAGGAATAGTACCAGCTCCTCCTTGTACCTCTGGTAGAATTCAGCTGTGAATCCATCTGGTCCTGGACTTTTTTTGGTTGGTAAGCTATTAATTATTGCCTCAATTTCAGAGCCTATTATTGGTCTATTCAGAGATTCAACTTCTTCCTGGTTTAGTCTTGTGAGAGTGTATGTGTCGAGGAATTTATCCATTTCTTCTAGATTTTCTAGTTTATTTGCATAGACGTGTTTATAGTATTCTCTGATGGTAGTTTGTGTTTCTGTGGGATCGTTGGTGATATCCCCTTTATCATTTTTTATTGCATCTATTTGATTCTTCTCTCTTTTCTTCTTTATTAGTCTTGTTTGCTAGTGGTCTATCAATTTTGTTGATCTTTTCAAAAAACCAGCTTCTGGATTTATTGATTTTTTGAAGGGTTTTTTGTGTCTCTATTTCCTTCAGTTCTGCTCTGATCTTAGTTATTTCTTGCCTTCTGCTAGCTTTTGAATGTGTTTGCTCTTGCTTCTCTAGTTATTTTAATTGTGATGTTAGGGTGTCAGTTTTAGATCTTTCCTACTTTCTCTTGTGGGCATTTAGTGCTATAAATTTCCCTCTACACACTGTTTTGAATGTGTCCCAGAGATTTTGGAATGTTTTGTCTTTGTTTTCATTGGTTTCAAAGAACATCTTTATTTCTGCCTTCATTTCATTATGTACCCAGTAGTCATTCAGGAGCAGGTTGTTCAGTTTCTATGTAGTTGAGCGGTTTTGAGTGAGTTTCTTAATCCTGTGGTCTAGTTTGATTGCACTGTGGTCTGAGAGACAGTTTGTTATAATTTTTGTTCTTTTACATTTGCTAAGGAGTGCTTTACTTCCAACTATGTGGCCAATTTTGGAATAGGTGTGGTGTGGTGCTGAGAAGAATGTATATTCTGTTGATTTGGGGTGGAGAGTTCTGTAGATGTCTATTAGGTCTGCTTGGTGCAGAGCTGAGTTCAATTCCTGGATATCCTTGTTAACTTTCTGTCTCTTGATCTGTCTAATGTTGACAGTGGGGTGTTAAAGTCTCCCATTATTATAGTGCGGGAGTCTAAGTCTATTTGTAGGCCTCTAAGGACTTGCTTTATGAATCTGGGTGCTCCTGTATTAGGTGCATATATATTTAGGATAGTTAGCTCTTCTTGTTGAATTGATCCCTTTACCATTATGTAATGGCCTTCTTTTTCTCTTTTGATCTTTGTTGGTTTAAAGTCTGTTTTATCAGAGACTAGAGTTGCAACCCCTGCCTTTTTTTGTTTTCCATTTGCTTGGTAGATCTTCCTCCATCCCTTTATTTTGAGCCTATGTGTGTCTCTGCACGTGAGATGGGTTTCCTGAATACAGCACAGTGATAGGTCTTGACTCTTTATCCAATTTGCCAGTCTGTGTCTTTTAATTGGAGCATTTAGCCCATTTACATTTAAGGTTAATATTGTTATGTATCAATTTGATCCTGTCATGATGGTGTTAGCTGGCAATTTTGCTCATTAGTTGATGCAGTTTCTTCCTAACCTCGATGGTCTTTACAACTCGGCATGTTTTTCCAGTGGCTGGTACTGGCTTTTCCTTTCCATATTTAGTGCTTCCTTCAGGAGCTCTTTTAGGTCAGGCCTGGTGGTGACAAAATCTCTCAGCATTTGCTTGTCTGTAAAGTGTTTTATTTCTCCTTCACTTATGAAGCTTAGTTTGGCTGGATATGAAATTCTGGGTTGAAAATTCTTTTCTTTAAGAATGTTGAATATTGGCCCCCACTCTCTTCTGGCTTGTAGAGTTTCTGCCAAGAGATCCGCTGTTAGTCTAATGGGCTTCCCTTTGTGGGTTACCCGACCTTTCTCTCTGGCTGCCCTTACCATTTTTTCCTTCATTTCAACTTTGGTGAATCTGACAATTATGTGTCTTGGAGTTGCTCTTCTCAAGGAGTATCTTTGTGGTGTTCTCTGTATTTCCTGAATTTCAATATTGGCCTGCCTTGCTAGATTGGGGACATTCTCCTGGATAATATCCTGCAGAGTGTTTTCCATCTTGGTTCCATTCTCCCCATCACTTTCAGGTACACCAGTCAGATGTAGATTTGGTCTTTTCACATAGTCTGGTCTTTTCACATAGTCCCATATTTCTTGGAGGCTTTGTTTTTTTTTATTCTTTTTCTCTAAACTTCTCTTCTCACTTCACTTCATTCATTTGTTCTTCCATCACTGATACCCTTTCTTCCAAATGATTGAGTCAGCTACTGAAGCTTGTGCATTGGTCATGTAGTTCTCGTTCCATGGTTTTCAGCTCCATCAGGTCCTTTAAGGACTTCTCTGCATTGGTTATTCTAGTTAGCCATTCATCTAATTTTTTTTCAAGATTTTTAACTTCTTTGCCATGGGTGCAAACTTCCTCCTTTAGCTCAGAGTAGTTTGATCATCTGAAGCCTTCTCTCAACTTGTCAAAGTCGTTCTCCATCCAGCTTTGTTCCATTGCTGGTGAGGAGCTGCATTCTTTTGGAGGAGGAGAGGTGCTCTGATTTTTAGAGTTTCCAGTTTTTCTGCTCTGTTTTTTCCCCATGTTTGTGGTTTTATCTACCTTTGATCTTTGATGATGGTGACGTACAGACGGGGTTTTGGTGTGGATGTCCTTTCTGTTTGTTAGTTTTCCTTCTAACAGTCAAGACCCTCATCTGCAGGTCTATTGGAGTTTGCTGGAGGTCCACTCCAGACCCTGTTTGCCTGGGTATCAGCAGCGGAGGCTGCAGAACAGCAGATATTGGTGAACAGCAAATGTTGCTGCCTGATCGTTCCTCTGGAAGTTTTGTCTCAGAGGAGTACCCGGCCGTGTGAGGTGTCAGTCTACCCCTACTAGGGAGGGCCTCCCAGTTAGGCTACTCAGGGTTCAGGGACCCACTTGAGGAGACAGTCTGTCCATTCTCAGATCTCAAGCTGTGTGTGGGAGAACCACTGCTCTCTTCAAAACTGTCAGACAGGGACATTTAAGTCTGCAGAGGTTTCTGCTGCCTTTTGTTTGGCTATGCCCTGCCCCCAGAGGTGGAGTCTACAGAGGCAGGCAGGCCTCCTTTAGCTGCGGTGAGCTCCACCCAGTTCGAGCTTCCCAGCCGCTTTATTTACCTACTCAAGCCTCGGCAATGGCAGGCACCCCTCCCCCAGCCTCGCTGCTGTCTTGCAGTTTGATCTCAGACTGCTGTGCTAGCAATGAGTGAGGCTCCGTGGGTGTAGGACCCTCCGAGCCACGCATGGGATATAATCTCCTGGTGTGCCATTTGCTAAGACTGTTGGAAAAGGGCAGTATTAGGGTGGGAGTGACCCAATTTTCCAGGTGCCATCTGTCACCCCTTTCTTTGACTAGGAAAGGGAATTCTCTGACCCCTTGCACTTCCTGGGTGAGGCGATGCCTCGCCCTGCTTCGGCTCATGCTCACTGCGCTGTACCCACTGTCCTGCACCCATTGTCTGACACTCCCCAGTGAGATGAACCCAGTACCTCAGTTGGAAATGAAGAAATCACCCAACTTCTGGGTCACTAACATTGGGAGCTGTAGACTGGAGCTGTTCCTATTCGGCCATCTGGGCTCCACCCCCCTGTTTACATTTCTTATTTGTTTTTGTTTTTTTTTGCTTTTTCCATGCTCCATTGCCTCCCTTACTATACCTGGTCCACCTGAAACATATATTTGGAATGTAATGTTAGTAGAGATTGTATGTATAAGGTAGGAAGAAAAAAGAGGAAGAAAAATAGAAACACATCCAGAAGACAGGGAAGTTGAGCTGTGAGAGAAGGTTGGGGTTTTGGCAAGAAAATATTGGGGAATATTTATAAGAACAAAAAGAAGATGTTTGTCAACCTGTTTGTTTTTTAATGGGTAGTTTCTTTTGCATAGAAAAAAAGACTTTGCATTGCTTCATCAGTTTAGATTATTAGAGGTCTATAAAACATGGACCACATGTGGCAAAATACAAAAGAATAGTGGACATAAAGTCAGAAAGCCAAGCCCAGCCCTCCTTACCTTGGGGAAGTCACTTTACCTCCATTCATTTATAAAATGAGAATAAAAATTATCTGTGTAACTTACATAGAGTTAAGTTGCCTCATGGGGCATAACATCACGTTATTTAAGTGTCAATCTGGCCAGGTGTTGTGGCTCACACCTGTAATCCCAGCACTTTAGGAGATGGAGGTGGGTGGATCACGAGGTCAGGAGTTAGAGAACAGCCTGGCCAACATGGTGAAACCCCATCTCCACTAAAAATACAAAATTAGCCGGGTGTGGTGGCACACACCTGTAGTTTTAGCTACTTGGGAGGCTGAGGCAGGATAATTGCTTGTGCTCAGGAGGCAGAGGTTGCAGTGAGATGAGATTGTGGCACTGCACTCCAGCCTGGGTGACAGAGTGCAACTCTGTCTCAAAAAAAAAAAAAAAAGTAAATCTAACAGCCTAAATATGCTGAAAGGCAACTTTGTTCTTTACTGAAGTTTCATTAAAAGATAAAGAATCCCACTCACACCTTATAAAACTTATAAAATTCTTTCCCAACTTCTCTTTTATTATCCCCACCAAAGAGCAGCTGCCTTCAATCTCTAGTCTTTCCTCCTTCAAAATTCCAACGCTCTCTCAAAACAACCTCCACTCCTCTTCTCTCCTCCCCTCTGCTTCTCTTCTCTCCTCTTCTTTCCTCTCCTGTCCCCTTCTCTGGTTATTCTTCTTTCCTTCCTCCTTCCTTCCCTCCCTCCTACACTTCTCTCCTCCCATCTTACACACATTGTCTACTAAAACAACCTAGGCTGCCAGATTTCTCCAGTTCTCTGCCTCACCTATAATCACAGACATCATAAGAAGAGGGTTAGGCACTGGGCAAGCTAATGGAGACCTCTTTTCAAAAGACCAAGCATAGAGGAGATAGTGAATATACACATGTCACTGTGTTTTATCCCTGTCACATGGTTATCATGCTAGGCTGTTATGAAGGTCAGATGACATTATGCTACCAAATGCTTCCACCAGGAAAGGATATTGATTATTCTTTTCTCCTATGTGATGACCCCTCAGCACACTTTTCTCCATTGTGCTTTAAGAGTTCCATACTTCAATTTGTATTTGGAAATATGCCTATAACTACTATATCCGAGAGGAAAAATATCTTTTCCTCTATCTTCCTATGTTCAGTATCTGCAGGTCAGTGAATTAAATTGAAAACAGGCAGAAGCAGGATAAAAATTTATTGATGTAGCTATATTCATACACATGAGGTGCTCAAGGATTAGTAAGTCAAAGTGGTGGTTAAAATTTGGGGTGGATACACCTAACTTAGTAGGGA
Organism: Homo sapiens; assembly: GCF_000001405.40. NCBI lineage: Eukaryota > Metazoa > Chordata > Mammalia > Primates > Hominidae > Homo > Homo sapiens. Next base: position 52,015,496 of record NC_000016.10, read on the forward strand.
AAAGAAGGAGGGGGAAAGGCTCCAATGGGAAGGATATGAGGGTTTCTTTAGGAAAGACAAATGGGTTTTTAAAAGAACAAATGAGAGATAAGAAAGTTTGTGATAATGTTTGCCTATGCAGATACCATTGGTCTTTCTATCCACTTTAGGGCCATAACACTGCTCCAGGAAGAGAACTGGGGTAAGTTTTATTTGCATTTTTCATTCCAAGAGTGGATTCAGTCTGAAGTGGCAATTTATACAAGCTTCATTTTCCAAAAGTTGCTGCTTTTAGTCAAAGAAGGGAAACTCCAAGAAGGCTTCTTTCTGCATCTGTCTTCAAATCTCAGATGTCTTCAGCTTAAAATAGTCATTATATTAATGACATCAAGAGACAGAGTAAAAAGATATTTCTCAACTTATCCTTTTTTTAAAAAAAGTTTGAGTAAATGATAGTACAAGAATATAAAGATGTCAAAATCATGATGATAGTTCGTGAGTTACCAAGTGAGAAATGTCATCCCCAGCCTGTTATGAAACAATGCATTGATAGAACAATCTGAATTAACATCTCGACTCCTGACTGGGGCTGCAACTGAGACAGATGGTGAGGCCTGAGCTGTTGCTCCTTTGCTCTTAAAGAAGAAAAGGCAATCACGAGTCTTCTCTCTAGCAAGCACAACACCCAAGACTACCCTTTTTATATCCTATGAAACTTTCAAGTCTTGCAGCCTCCAGCGTCCCTTCCTCTGAATTAACACAATAACATTTTTGCCTTTATTAGCTTTTCTGACACATTAACTCTCACATCTGAATTACTGGATAGGTAGAATCTGCCATACGTAAGCCAACCATACTGGGTGATTATAAAGCTGTGGGAGATTAGAATTCACCCTGGGATTCTTTGAAGAGATCTCAATGTTGATATGAGCCGTAAACATCCTCCTTTTCTTTCCAGCTAATTACTGAAGTGCTATCACCTCTCTGATAAGATACTAACAGTGATCGTGGCTGTGGACCTAATTAGGAAGCTCCCCAAATATTTCATGTTGTCCAGGGATGCCATAGTATTCTTCTAGACTGTGTCAACACAGCTGGGTATAAAAAGCAATGCTACTACTTCCAAACTCCCTGTTGATGGGGACAACTTGGTTTCATCATCAATAAGAATACAGAAATTGTTCAGTCCTCAATTCTTAAGACCATAACTGTCTTTTAAATGAAACTGTCACATCACCTCTTAGGATTTCTAGGTTTCTTGTTTTCTTTTTTCTTTTGCTGCTTCTGGAAATTTTGCTGAGAGGTTTGTAATTTCTTAAACACAGAGGCCGTAGCAATAAGGACTTTAAGCTCATGATAAAAAAATACATTTAAAATACACACATACTGCCAGATTGTTTTTGTTTGTTTGTTTTGATGCAGTGTCTCACTCTGTCACCCAGGCTGGAGTGCAGTGTCATAATCATGACTCACTGCAGCCTTGGACTTCTGGGCTGAAGCCATCCTGCCTCCTTAGCCTCCCGAGTAACTGGGGGTTACAGTCATGTGCCACCATGCCTGGCTATTTAAAAAAAAAATTTGTAGAGATGGGGTTCCACTATGTTGCCCAGGCTAGTCTCAAACTCCTGGGGTCAATCAATCTTCCCAACTCAGCTTTCCAAAGTGCTGGGATTACAGGTGAGAGCCGTGCTGTGCCTGCCTTTTTTTTTTTCTAATCTTACTTTGGCTTATTTAGAAAACTGATTGTTTTCCAGGCAACAGAAAATATTTTTTTTTCATCATCTTTGACTTAGGGCATTGTCTTTGCTTACCTGTACATTTTTTAGAAAAGTTGCAAGGTTTTATAGTTGACCTAGTTCTTCATAAATACCTTTCAGGCAAAATTCAGAAGTATTAATGAAATACCAAACACTCCATTATCTGAAATTTGGGAAAAAGGATAAAATACATACATTTCTGGGCAACATTTTTGGAAAAGTTGCTCTTGGTGACTGAATTTTAATCACCTGTTTAGAGATTTCAGTTTTCCCATCCCAGTCCTGAAGACCAAGAAAGTATTCCTAGCAAGCTGCACTGCCTCACATTTTTCTGAGTCTTTGTATTTTCTAAAGGACTTCCACATGTATTATAATGTTTAGGTGTCACATAGGCTGACCAAGGTACCAGTTTGTCCAGGACTGTCCTGGTTTTAGCACTGAAAGTCTTGTGATCCAGGAAACCCTTCAGTCCTGGGCAAATTGGGATGGTTTTTACTGTAGCACAGCCACCTCATGAGTTAGAGAGGGAAGAGTTTATGACCATTTTAGACTGCTAGCAAGACTAATAAAGAAGAAAAGAGAGAAGAATCAAATAGACACAATAAAAAATGACAAAGGGGATATCACCACCGATCCCACAGAAATACAAACTACCGTCAGAGAATAGTATAAACACCTCTATGCAAATAAACTAGAAAATCTAGAAGAAATGGATAAATTCCTCAACACATACACTCTCCCAAGAGTAAACCAGGAAGAAGTTGAATCTCTGAATAGACCAATAACAGGCTCTGAAATTGAGGCAATAATTAATAGCTTACTAACCAAACAAAAGTCCAGGATCAGATGGATTCACAGCCGAATTCTACCAGAGGTACAAAGAGGAGCTGGTACTATTCCTTCTGAAACTATTCTAATCAATAGAAAAAGAGGGAATCCTCCCTAACTCATTTTATGAGGCCAGCATCATCCTAATACCAAAGCCTTGCAGAGACACAACAAAAAAAGAGAATTTTAGACCAATATACCTGATGAACATCGATGCAAAAATCCTCAATAAAATACTGGCAAACCGAATACAGCAACACATCAAAAAGCTTCTCCACCATGATAAAGTGGGCTTCATCCCTGGGATGCAAGGCTGGTTCAACATATGAAAATCAATAAACATAATCCAGCATATAAACAGAACCAAAGACAAAAACCACATGATTATCTCAATAGATGCAGAAAAGGCCTTTGACAAAATTCAACAACTCTTCATGCTAAAAACTCTCAATAAATTAGTTATTGATGGGACATATCTCAAAATAATAAGAGCTATCTATGACAAACCCACAGCCAATATCATACTGAATGGACAAAAACTGGAAACATTCCCTTTGAAAACTGGCACAAGACAGGGATGCCCTCTCTCACCACTCCTATTCAACATAGTGTTGGAAGTTCTGGCCAGGGCAATCAGCCAAGAGAAGGAAATAAAGGGCATTCAATTAGGAAAAGAGGAAGTCAAATTGTCCCTGTTTGCAGCTGACATGATTGTATATTTAGAAAATCCCATCGTCTCAGCCCAAAATCTCCTTAATCTGATAAGCAACTTCAGCAAAGTCTCAGGATACAAAATCAATGTGCAAAAATCACAAGCATTCCTATACACCATTAACAGACAGAGAGCCAAATCATGAGTGAACTCCCACTCACAATTGCTTCAAAGAGAATAAAATACCTAGGAATCCAACTTACTGCGATGTGAAGGACCTCTTCAAGGAGAACTACAAACCACTGCTCAATGAAATAAAAGAGGATACAAACAAACGGAAGAACATTCCATGCTCATGGGTAGGAAGAATCAATATTGTGAAAAAGGCCATACTGCCCAAGGTAATTTATAGATTCAATGCCACACCCAATCAAGCTACCAATGACTTTCTTCACAGAATTGGAAAAAACTACTATAAAGTTCATATGGAACCAAAAAAGAGCCCATATTGCAAAGTCAATCCTAAGCCAAAAGAACAAAGCTGGAGGCATCACGCTACCTGACTTCAAACTACACTACAAGGCTACAGTAACCAAAACAGCATGGTACTTGTACCAAAACAGAGATATAGACCAATGGAACAGAACAGAGCCCTCAGAAATAATGCTGCATATGTACAACTATCTGATCTTTGACAAACCTGACAAAAACAAGCAATGGGGAAAGGATTCCCTATTTAATAAATGGTGCCGGGAAAACTGGCTAGCCATGTATAGAAAGCTGAAACTGGATCCCTTCCTTACACCTTATACAAAAATTAATTTAATGTGGATTAAAGACTTACATGTTAGACCGAAAACCATAGAAACCCTAGAAGAAAACCTAGGCAATACCATTCAGGACATAGGCATGGGCAAGGACTTCATGTCTAAAACACCAAAAGCAATGGCAACAAAAGCCAAAATTGACAAATGGGATCTAATTAAACTAAAGAGCTTCTGCACAGCAGAAGAAACCACCATCAGAGTGAACAGGCAACCTACAGAATGGGAGAAAATTTTTGCAATCTACTCATCTGACAAAGGGCTAATATCCAGAATCTACAATGAACTCCAACAAATTTACAAGAAAAAAACAAACAACCCCATCAAAAAGTGGGCAAAGGATATGAACAGACACTTCTCAAAAGAAGACATTTATGCAGCCAAAAGACACATGAAAAAATGCTCATCATCACTGGCCATCAGAGAAATGCAAATCAAAACCACAATGAGATACCATCTCACACCAGTTAGAATGGCGATCATTAAAAGTCAGGAAACAACAGGTGCTGGAGAGGATGTGGAGAAATAGGAACACTTTTACACTGTTGGTGGGACTGTAAACTAGTTCAACCATTATGGAAGTCAATGTGGCGATTCCTCAGGGATCTAGAACTAGAAATACCATTTGACCCAGTCATCCCATTACTGGGTATATACCCAAAGGATTATAAATCATGCTGCTATAAAGACACATGCATACGTATGTTTATTGCGGCACTATTCACAATAGCAAAGACTTGGAACCAACCCAAATGTCCAACAATGATAGACTGGATTAAGAAAATGTGGCACATATACACCATGGAATTCTATGCAGCCATAAAAAATGACAAGTTCATGTCCTTTGTAGGGACATGGATGAAGCTGGAAACCATTATTCTCAGCAAACTATTCCAAGGACAAAAAACCAAACACTCATAGGTGGGAATTGAACAATGAGAACACATGGACACAGGAAGGGGAACATCACACACCGGGGCCTGTTGTGGGGCGGTGGGAGTGGAGAGGGATAGCATTAGGATATATACCTAATGCTAAATGAGGAGTTAATGGGTGCAGCACACCAACATGGCACATATATACATATGTAACAAACCTGCACGTTGCACACATGTACCCTAAAACTTGAAGTATAATAATAATAATAATAATAAAGAAAAAAAATGAAGTAAAGTTGTATTATATCACTTCCCCAAAGTCACAGAATATGTCTTTTTACTATGGTCCAGTTCTTTCTCTACTGAAATCTACACTATTAATCTTTCTTTGGGTCTCTGCGTTCTTCATGGGCAGGAATTTTATTATTTATCTCTGTATTCCTGCCCTGGGACAGCTCCATGGTCTGAGGAGGCTCTCCACAAATGTGTCCACATGTTTGTTGAAAGAAACACACTGTTAAAATATTGGGGATGATGGTTTTTCTTTTTAAGGGCTACAGTATAATTAATGGAGATCAAAGTGAAACACTACAAAAAAACTGAAATGAAGGGAAAAGCTGTTATCCAGTTTGGTCTTCATCTCGCCTCTCCTACCACAGTGCTCCACCATCTGGCTGCTACATTTCTTATAAGAGTTATCATCAACCTCTTCTAGATGTTGTTTTTATAATTATCCATGTTAAATATATCAAATCCAGTCACCTGTATCTTGAGAACTTCTCTCATTTCACATCCACATCTCCATTCTTACAGCTGAATTCTTATATGAGACCTTACTTCCCACCCTCCCTCCATTTCTGCCTTCATTTTCTCTCCTTTCCAGACTCATCTTCCTAAAATCTTCCTCTGCTATGTCACTCTCGTACTCATGAACTCACAATGGCTCCCTATTGCTTACCAACCAGTTGACATTGTCTTCTTATCACCCAAACTCCCTAAAAATCTCTTCCTGACCTACTTGATCTTATTTCTCACTCCTTCTGAAGTAAGCCTTCTATCTAAATCAAGAATCTTCCTCTCAATACTCTTATCCTGCCTCTGAGCTTGAAATATTTATGAAGCATCTGACAGATAGTTGGAAAAATAGATATAAGACCAGAGAGAGTAGGAGCTGGCTCTATTCTGAGTGGTGAGTACTTGGGGTCATTGGAGTAGATGAGGTCACCCAGGTCACGTATCTAAACCACAGCTCACAAAGAGGTGGCCTTTGTTCTGAGTTCAATTTTTATTAGGCCCCCCAGATAATTTTAAAAAGAAACATTGAAGTAGTTGGTAATATTTTCAAACACGGCCTTTTATATAAAAAAACACATTTCCAACTTCGTTTGAAAGGGTTTTAGACCTGGTCACCTGCGGCCAGTCCCCTCACCTGGCCACAATTAGCTGGACATGGTTTGTATTTGAAGTGAAATCCATGATCATCGAGTTCACACGAAGTCTCCTTTCCCCTTCATCTTCTCTACTTGGAATCTGTGACCCTTTGTGTAAAAGAAGTATAAGAGAGAAGAAAGGTGGAAAGAGAAGTCAAAGAGAAAGGGGAAGGAAGAGAGAGAAAAGGAGAAAATGGGAATGGAGAAGCACAGACAGAAGTGAAGAAACCCAAGAAAAGTGGGGTGTACAGGCTTTACTGCAAAGCTCAGAGTCTGAAGGAAGGAATCAGATGCTTAAGCTGGGCCAGGAGTAAAATTCCACCAAAAAAGAAAAAGAATGATCACATCCAAGATGACATTGAAACACATGGTCAAAGACTGAGAAGCTATGAAATCAGAGCCCATCTGAAATACACACTTCCCATTACCTTTGTCTGTCTCCACCTGTGAAGGCTTCAGGCATGTCGGGCATCAATTTGCATATAAGTGCCTGCCATTAGCAGTATGCTCTGTCTTTCATTTCTGTACATAACGCTCACTCACTGTCAAAACTAACACCTTCACACCAGGCGTTTCCCTTTGTCCACATGCTGGCCTGCTGTGACCACAGCCAGAAAATCAGATCTGCTTAGATGAGGGTAAAAATCACATCTGCAATGGAAATATTGTCCCCTCCACTATCCACTCAGGTGGCTCATCCAATTATGTCAGTATCTTTCCTTCCCAGGAGGTGACCTTCAGAGCATCATGGCTGCCATAGCCATGCCCACACATACAATGCAATATTTCAAGATGCTCACAGCCTCCAAATCTAGGTTTTCTGTAACACTGCAGGCTGTTTGGAAGTTTCAGAAAAGTGTCAAGAAGGCGAGTGATTTGGACTATAGAATGTACAGGTGCAACAAGGCGATGCTATCAGACAAGCCAAGAGTTAAGACATAAAATAAATCCTGCTTCAAGATAAAGTGGAAGAGTGGCTGGGCTCTCTAACTCGTGTTTCTCGGCACAAGGCCTTCATTAAATAAATCCCGATGAAGTGATGGATTGGATGAATAGAATTGCAAACTGGATACGCTGCCTACTGTTGAAGAGATAAACAGAGTTTTCATCACCTATTTTATCCTCTAAATGTTATAGTTCGCCATTTCCAACAACCTCTGACAAGCTCTCTTATTAGCCTAACAGGAAAAATCTTGATAAACAAGTAAATATGGTTAGATCCTTTTGGGCTGTTTGCCTAAAATCTGGATTCATTGATCCATGCTCACGCTTAGATGGGAGGCACTGACTGTTGTAATCTACATGTAATAGGCATTATGAGATTTAAGAAAAATAGCTCAGCTGCAGTTGAGTCAGTTTAGGACACATCATTATAAAATTCCATTATCGCCGCTACAAGTTGGACTATTTGTCATCACAGAAGAGATGACAAGCTCAGAAATACTACATTTGTTATTATCAGATGATAAATGATATTCCATTAAAGCTGCAATACATCATCAGCAAAACTGCAAAGAAGATATCAAACCTATCAGGACTTGACTTATCATTTAATTTTCAAAAGCTGTCAACTAAAATTCCAAAGGCTAAGCATTTTCATTTTTAAAGTTCATCTTATTTATTTTCCTCATCTGTTAGTCTAATTTCTGTGATATGGCAAAAGTAACTGATTATGTGCAATGTATAATTCTCTTCTTTTGATTAGGTAATATATCAGGTGTCACTTAGGTATTAAAAATTAAATGACAGATAATAAAACAAGAGAGTTCCATAAAACACATCTTATTTTGATTTACTCACGTTTTGAAATATAACAGCAAAGGACAGGTCAATATTTGTTAAAGGCACACACATGCGGCAAAAAGCATATTTACCCATTATTAAGCACTCTTTCATGCCATCTATAGGGGAGCTGAACATGCTTTTCTATCTGGTGTTTATAAAATCTTTTCCCAGATGGACAACTATTCTTTAGTTCAATTCTATAAATCATAATCACATATTTCTTCTATATGTGCAAGTGCTCATATTTTTTCTGTTATTTTCATCACTACCAACATTAAGCACTCAAATGCTGACTGGGACAGGAACAATTCTTATCATTTTTTACTGGCATGAACATAAAGACACAACATTTCAATTTATGTGTGTCTTGCTCACACCCACAGCCTTGTAGACATACTAGAAAATATTTCTGGACCACCTGAGACTAGCTATAAGAATAGAATCAGCACATTTGGGAGCTGGAGGGCAACTTTGAGATCACCTGAAAGGCTGAGAGAAGGGAAGGAACTTGCCCGAAGTCACACCGTGAGTAAATAAAAATGATTGAAAAAGCCATGATCTTGGAAGCCTATTCTAAATTATTTGCTATAACACCATGCTGATTTTCAGAGTCCTACAAAAAATGTGATGCTTATTACTCAGTTTTTGGCTAAAAGTCTGGCTTATAGTTGGTACTCCTTAAAGATTTTTTAATAAAGTGCTCATACAAATGGATGGAAGGATGGATGGATGGATAAGTAGATGGACGGGAATGGATGGATAGACGGATGGATGGGTGGGTGGATGGATGGATGAATGAATAATTGCCTACTTCTCTAATCCACCATATGAAGGTCTTGTTCATGTAAATAAAACCTCCAGAGCCTAACCCAATCCCACCTTTTAAAAATATAGAATGTAAGATATTTTCCACAGAGACTGTGCCCATGACCTCTCAGGTCTTGTAGAGCACTCCAAGGTACTCTAAAAAAGAATCTCTTTGCCCAACACTGAGCCAATCACAAGTATATGGCTTCACACCACACAGGGAAGCAAAGGAGCTGGTGCTCAGAGGCACCTTCCACTACTCAGGGATAGTGACACAACCACATGTCCAAATACGTAAAGCTGCAGTTATATCTCACTGGCCCTGTGAGGCACTGGGGATGCCACACCTCTGTGACACAACAACGTACAGGCAAAATGAGAAAAAGAAGGGAAATAGAGAGAGTTTCCCAAAAACCAAATGAATTCATCCTCCTCCTCCACTACTTTTTCTTCTTCTTCTTTCTTCTTCTTCTTCCTCTTCTTCTTCTTCTTCTTCTTCTTCTTCTTCTTCTTCTTCTTCTTCTTCTTCTTCTTCTTCTTTTCTTCTTCTTCTTCTTCTTCTTCTTCTTCTTCTTCTTCTTCTTCTTCTTCTTCTTCTTCTTCTTCTTCTCCTCCTTCTCCTTCTTCTTCTTCTTCTTCTCCTCCTCCTTCTTCCTCCTCCTCTTCTTCTTTCTTCTTGCTGTTCTTCTCCTTCTTTTCCTCCTCCTCCTGCTCCTTCTCATTCTTTTCCATGGTACAATATACATAATATAAAATTCACTATTTTAACCATTTTTTAAGAATTCAGTGACATTAATTACATTTTCAGTGCTGTGCAACCATTGTTACTATTTTCAAAACTTTTCATTATGCCAAGCAGAAATTCTGCACCCATTAAGCATTAACTCCTAATTTCCCCCTCTCCCAAGTCCCTGAGAACCTTGAATCTATTTTCTGTCTCTATGAATCTGCCTATTTTATATATTTCATATAGGTGAGATTATATATTCGCTCTTTTGTGAAAAGGACTGTCTTTTTAACTATTAAACTGATATACATTTGTTGCAAATACATGAAGTAATATATTAATTTAGAGTAAGAAATAAATGTCTCAAACTTATCTTTCCAGCCCATCCCTTATCGTCAGATGTAACCTCTGACAAGAGTGGCGTGTGCTCTTCCCTGTGTTTTTCTAGGTTTGGACACCTAAGTTGTATCATGACTTCTAGAACAGGCTCTGGAATCAGACTACCTGAATGTATGATGCTGGGAAAGTTATTTAACCTCTTTAAAACTCAATTTTTGCATTTATAAAATGGCATGGACAACAATACCACTCTCTCAGCATTGTGAGCATGAAAGGAGATAAGGGTTTTATTTTTTTTAACATTTTTTGTTGTGTTTTTTTTGTGAGACAGAGTCTTGCTCTATCATCCAGGTTGGAGTGCTGTGGTGCCATCTCGGCTCACTGCAACCTCCATCTCCCAGGTTCAAGCGATTTTCCTGCCTCAGCCTCCTGAGCAGCTGGAACTACAGGCACATGCCACTACACCGGCCAATTTTTTGTATTTTTATTTTTAGTAGAGACAAGGTTTCACCATGTTGGCCAGGCTGGTCTCAAACTCCTGACTTCAGGTGAGCCATCTGCCTCAGACTCTCAAAGTACTGGGATTACAGGCATGAGCCATCATACCCAGCCAAGATAAGGGTTTTAAAAGCACTTTGCACAGTGCCAGGTAAACACTAATAACTTATCAAATGGTAGCTGTGTATTACATGGAACTTTGGTTTTTAAAAGCAAAAATGTGATCACATTATTCACGTTGTTCTCCATCCTGCTTTTTAAACTCCTCCTTACTGGCACATGTACGCCCACCTCATACTTTCTTAACTGCTGTATAATCTTAAAGCTCTATAGTTTGTTTGCAAATACATCCTTCTGGTATTTTAATTTTATTTTATACAATTACTGGAGCTTGGCATTCTGGAACCAGCAGTGTTCCCAGGTGGGTCAACACAACTTGAGGATTCTAAAAATAATGATAAAAAGGAGAAGATGAATCATTTAATGAATTTCAACTGTGTTCCAAGTATTGTGTTGGTGACTGTATAAGTCTTGTTTCTGGCCCTCACCACACTGTTCTGCCTCCGTGGAAATGATCTCAAAGGTGAAGGGCCCCGTCTCCTGCCTGCAAGCTGGTGGATGCTTCTGGCACTTGGAGAATTCCACCATCCAACAGCCTTTCACTGGGCCATGAAACAGTCCTCAGTGGAACTCATCAGTCTTAGTTTGCTTTGTGTGCGTGTGTGCGTGTGTGTGTGTGTGTGTGTGAAGTTTTGGTCCTGGTCCAAGGAGTGGAGAGGAGAGGGTGGTGGAAAGATGGCCAGTAAACAGGAATTTGAGAAATGTGAGTGAAGAGATACTCAGTGGGGAAACGGTGGGGTCAGGACCTCCTGAAGATGTGTTTCAGAGAAAGATAGGAGATCACTTTTTTCTTTCTCTAGTTTACCTTCTAGTTTCAACGGGGAAGCTGAGAAGCAGGGTCTTTTCTTATTAAATGAGTGAGATCTTACCCAGAAGCGTAGGCGAAAGACAGGCAAGCTTTAAAGCCTGCTGCTGTATTCCCAAGCTCCTGTGCGGAAAAAATAAAGGGTCCCTGTTAAGAGGAAAGTTCAGGCTATAGTTTCCCAGTACTCTTGCCAGGAAGCTGCTCATGTTGAATGCAAAAAAGTTGGAGCAATCGCCATCCAATAGCCCACAGGGTCCCAAGGCGGCCCTGTCTAGCAAGGGAGAGAAAAAGCGCATCTACCGTACCATGAAGGCGCGGCAGCGAGGATGGAGTTCCTACCCCATTGTCCTACTGCCCCCAAAGAGCAGGTTGTTAGGCTCTTAGGTCAGCTGAGTGTGATGGTCCTTACTATAGTTAAGAATGGTTTTACCTTCTGGGACTGGGCTGTCCACACAGAAATAACTTGCTGGTCCTTATAAAAAATAGACATAGACAAAAAACAATTACCCTCTTATTTTTTAAATATTAGATATTGAATTTAGATATTATATTATTTATATGAATATCTGTTTTGAATTTTTATGTTAAAACATAGCATTATTATTTAGTATTATACTTAGTACTATTATGATCACTATATATTAATTAATAATTAATCATATCGTAATATTAGTGCTATATTATACAGCATATATTATTATATACTACTAATATTTATTATAATATAAGATATAAAAATATCGTTATATATAGTTATAGTAATTATTTATAATACCAATTTATTGTATACTAATCCTAGTATTATATAGTATAATTAATTAATACATATTAAAATACAATAACTATATATTAATTAATATATAGTAATTATAATTACTATCTTAATATCAAATACCTATTAATATCTAAATTCAAACTCCTGACATATAGTTTAGTTGCATCAGTCAGCTTTATATTTAAAGTTTCCGAGCTTCTTCTACTTCTGATGAAAGTCTGGTGAGCAAAGATACTCTTCATAGACAGGAACATTTTCCTGGAATAGCTCAGGCCCAGGAAAAAAAAATTTCCCAGAGGCCCCTTGTCAAGAGTTAGTTTTTTAATTGCCTGGGGCTCCATTTATCCTCTTATCTTCTAAAAATTCTTCCCAATTTTCCCAGCCATATTTAAGTCCCGCTAACTCCATGAAATCTTCCCACATCTTCTCCAATCCACAGATTTCTTCTTTTGATTAATTCTCACAAATGCCATATTCTAGGAAACATTGTTGGAGCATTTACCCTTTCTCTATTAATATTAGTTTTGCTGGACTGTAAGTGCAGCAAAAACAGTGACGGTTTATGATTTTCTGTCGACATCCATTACACGACCTAGAATCATCTCAAGTGTATACACAGGACTCAGTAAATATTTGTGGGTTCTAATCTCAAGTCAATAAGAACAACAAAAATCCCTACTTGTAAAAAAAAATGCCCATTTTTTCTTTTTCTTTCTTAACCCAATAATGAAATCCTTGGGAAAATATGTTTACATAGGAATCTTAATATTGCCATGTCAGTTTGAGAAAAGGATATTCTTTATTTGGTGTGTCACTGGATTTGTGACAGTTCTTATGAACCATGACTTGAAATGAGATAGGTTAGTAAACATTTGCGAGTTTTTCTATGGTCTCTAAACAGAGCCCTTTGAAAAGAGCAAACTCAGATTCTGGCAAACTTTAGATAACTTCAGACAGAGAGAGAAAATCTCTGTCCAAAGCAGTATTTACCAAATTTATTTGGAGTTATTTGTAAAAGAAAAGGTTTTGATGGACACAGAAGGCTTGAGAAATCATGATTAAACAAAGTTATTTGTGTTTCTTCATCACAAAATTTCTCAGTACTTTTAATATGCTAATAACTTCTAAGAAGGAAAGCATTTCCCAAACTTAATGAAATCCTCTTCACCTGAGCCCTCTCCATGGAGTGTCTATGGGTCTATTATTTTGCGAGTCATTTGTTTTTACCTCTGCTCACTCATCTGTCACTCACTTGGTACACAGCCCTCCATAGAGGCCTTTTGACTAAGCACAAGGGTGCCCTGATTTCCATCAAGACACGAGTAATGCTAATTCCCATCCACTCCAACCCCATCCCCTATCTTTGTAGAATCCTCTTTTGTAATAATGACAGTGTGTTTAGGAGACCTTTGTTTAGCTAGAGAATTTTTTTTACTAAGCTTATTTTGCAAATTAATATTTTTCTTTCTTCTTTTTTTTTTTAAACAGACGTGGTCTTACTCTGTCACCCAGGCTGCAGTGCAGTAGCATGATCATAGCTCACTGCAGCTTCAAACACCTGGGCTTAAGCGATCCTCCCACCTCAGCGTCCCAAGTAGCTGGGACTACAGGCATGTGCCACCGTGGGTGGCTCTGTAGATTGATTTTTTGATGGCATAGCAAATCCTATTTCTCAATTGTCATGATGGTATTTATGTGTAGTAAATATGTCAATATGAAGTTATTATACAATAATCCATCCAGTTGGCATATAAGACATGTGTTTAGGCCTGCCAAAAATGTAACTGCTGCTCTCAGAACCAGCTGCCCAAGTACAGAATGGGGAAAAGGGGTGATTAGGAGTTGACAGCAAAACAGTAAAAGCCTACAGTTCTCCACTGAGTTTAAGGTAAATTTGTGCCACTATGATATTACTAAAAACAAATACAAATGATGACTGGAGGCTAAATTAACATGTTTATATGTAGAAATTAAAGTACTTTTGCAGATCACTCAGGTACCAAGCAAGAGGAGGGACTGCCCACTCTATGCTGGTCAGACCACTGATGCAGAGTTCTGTAATCAGTTATGAGTCCTATATTCTAAGAAGCCAAGTGACAATTGTCAAAGTATAAAGAGGAAAATGAGGGCAATCAAAAGGCAGTTGCACAAGGAACATTAGATCTGGTACAATGTGGACATTTGTAAGGCTGTCAAGGGAGCTGCCTTCGGATCTCAGTGCTAAGTACAAAGTCAGAGGGTGGATGTTACAGACAGACAGCTTCTGACTGCACACAGGAAGATATTGTCAGAGGCATAAAAAAAAAGAAGGTATGGCCTCTCACATTCATAAACATCTCATCATGAAGGATATTTAAACAACTCCTTGGCCTCTACATTTGAAAGTAGATTTAATCATAAGGTAAAGATGGAACCAAGGCCACTAGCAATGTATTTAATGTAAAACTCTTTGCAGCTCCTCTAGCAAAGGCAGATGTGCCAAAAATGTTCGCCCAGGCCCTGTTCTGGCAGGGTGGGAAATGTGTACTTGGTTCCCCCACTACCTGTGTGCCTTGGATCAAAGGAACTTGCTCCAAGGTTCTGTCCCAGCTCTGAGGTCTTTTAACAAATATATGATAGACTCCTACCAGCTTGTCATGAGGTCACCTAGTCATGACCTCGAGGAAGTCCCATCTTGTCTCTGAGCCCTGATTTACAACTCTGTGAACCGAAGACGTTGAATTAGATGAGCCTAAGATTCCCTCCTGTTCTGACATTTTGTGATTTTATAGACATGCATGAAGCAGAGCAGGAGAAAACCTTAGAAACCCACTTACTTTAGCTAAAACAATTTAGCTTTAAGAATCCTCCACTGAAAAATATACCATTTTCATCCATTCTCAGTTCAAAGCATCAGAGTACAGATCAGGGTTTTTTTTGTAGTAAACAGGGATTCAAGGAAATAAAACATATTCGGGAAGTTTTATTTTATTTTATTTTTATTTTTTTGGTTTGTTTTTTGAGACAGGGTCTCACTCTCTTGCCCAGGCTGGAGTGCAGTGGTGCCATCACAGCTTACTGCAGCCTCAACTTTCTGGGCTGAAGTGATCCTCCCACCTCAGCCTCCAAAGTAACTGTGACTACAGGCTTGGCCCTCCATGCCTGGCTAATTTTTGTAATTTTTTTTCTTTTTGGAGATGGGGTTTCGTCATATTGCCCAGGCTGGTGGTTGAGCTCCAGAGCGCAAGTGTTCTGCCCACCTCAGCCTCCAAAAGTGCTGGGATTACAGGCATGAGCCACCACACTCTGCCTCAGGGAACTTTTACAAAGCAAGATGGGAAAGATGGGTCAGGGGCCTGGAGAGCAGGATATGAGCTCTTTGAGGAACAAAGGATTTGGGAATGGGAGTGGGGCTTGGAGGGAGAACATTTCCCAGTCAGTCCCAGCAAGGGTCGGAGTCCACCAAACATAACCCGAAGGAAGTGAATAGAAGAAGCGGCATTCCAAAGCCATTTCTGGGCTGCCTCTTAACCATAGCAGGAAGCCTTCTCTGATAACCATTCCTCCTCTGGCTGAGTACCATTGTGTGATGTCTCTGTTGCTGACACTGTTTCAATTTCCCTAGCTGGACTAGACTGTCACTTGTGACCAGTTTCTACTCTCTACAACTCTTGGATGTGATGGGGAAGGCAAACCTGGAGTTTGGAGTTCCAAAAGATACATGGTGAGCTGGATTTTCTCTACCATCCACCTCAACAAACTAACCCTAGACTTCACACCCACCCCCTGTAGCTGAGCTGAATGGGTCCTGCCCATTCTCAGGGACTTACCCAGGAGCTAACATGTGCATAGATCCCACCTGTAGATCCTGATGGGTCTACCCGGGCTTGAGCTCAGGGCTAGCTGGAAATGGGAGCCAGTACCCTTCCATGAGCAGCACTCTACCAATTTAGGAAAAGAGCTGCTGGAAGATGGACCAAGGTTTGCTGGCCCCTTAGGTCCCCTTGCAGTGGTTTCTTAAAGGGTTCCAAGTGGGTTTGGGCCTACCTATCCACAGCAATACCTCATGTGTGACACTCTTCATTGGCCCTTTTCCTTTCCTATCATGTGAGACTCCCTAACAGTGTTCCTTGGAATCAGCTTCCAAATAAATTACCTGTTCGCAAGTCCCCATCAAGGGGGCTACTTTTAGAAGGACCACAGCCTAGATGCCCATTAAACTCCACAAAGGCCATTTTGGATCCTGCTGGATGCAGCTATATTGCTAAGTCCCGTTTCATGGAACTTACAAGGGAAAACAATGGCAGGGCCCCAGTGGAAGTTGCTGTGAAAACTATAGCCCTGGGCACCATGTTCATCCCCCCACCCCCATCCCATGCATTCATCTCTGTCTTCTTTTTCAAATTTGATTTTAAATATTTACAGCATCATACATCTTCCCCCACCAGATATTACTAATGAACTGTTATTGTCTGCAAAATCTCCCAGATGAGTGATGGCCAACTTAAAAAGAGCATCAATGTTTTATTCGTAAAATAGAAGCTGGAAACAGAGAATGCTTATGCGCTTTTAGGCCTTTGATCATTATTAATATTGATACTTCAGTACAAAGAAGGCACTTGGGCAATTAGCAAAATCAAACAGAACTGAAGATTCTATATAGCAGCAATAAAAATTATATAAATATGTAAATGCTTACAAACGTTTAAATCAATAAGTAGGGCACATTTCAAGAAAATGTAAATGTTCAACCTGTACATTTCAAGAAAAATGTGGAATGCGAAATGCCTTTTCTGAGGGTGAATATCTCAATGGCAAAGAAGAAACTCCAGATACTGCACTATCCTGCCAGAGAGAGGGCTGTGCCACTGTGAAATTGTATTTCTGGATTGCAATGAAATTTCAGAGACCCTCATGGCCATTAACATCAGCCTTCTGGAGTTGACTTGCATTCTGTCCCCATCTGCCCTGCCTTTCTTCTCTTACTGCTTGTTCACAATGTGAACCCCAGATGGAGGTTCCTCTTCTGATTCTGACAGGCAGCCTGGTTTAGCAGACAGCAGAGGGTGCCTCTTGGTGACTGGATTCTGGGAGCCACAGAAATTAGAGTGAAAATCTTAGCTGGCCTTTCCAGCTGTGTGACTTGGAGCACACTAGTTAGTCTCTCTGAATCTCAGTTTCTTTATCTTTTAGGTGGAGATAAGAATACCAACCTAATGCAGACCACATGCTTAGTGTGGTGACTGGTGCCTCATAAGTGCTCAGTATGAGTGGCTATTCCCTGCCCAGCATACAGTAAATGAGCACAATTTCTACAGATTCTGCAGGCTCTGCTTATGGCAGGACCTGCATTTTTAAATGGTTTGTCTTTGCCCAGTGAATCTGTGATCCCAGGTATCCAAGCCTAGATGAGATCACAGCATTCAAGTAAGCTAGAAAATTCTCATCACCACAGATTTAAGGCTTTTACTGGGAATAGTTTCCTTCTAGGTCGATAGGCAGTGGCTGAGAGCCCATGCCCACCACTCAGCCTCCTTGAAGTGGCAGCCAGCACAACTTCTCCAGATGCCATTTTGCTAAGTAGGAATTCAGGAGGATGAAGACCGTACTGGGAAAATGAAGCAATGGAGAAATACTAGAGGGTGGGAGTCAAACCCTTGGGTTCCCCTCCCAGACCCACCACTCATGGCTGTGTGACCTTAGGATAAAATAAGATAGCCAGGGTCTCTAAAGAGTGAACCTGGCGTCTAAAAGTCCTGGTCTAGAAACTCAGCTTTACTACATCCTTATCTGTGTGTCTTAGGGAAAAAGGCCTATCCTTTCTTGGCCTCAGTTTCCTCATCTGTAAAAGTTCAAAATGCCTGGTATATGGAGAGTGCCCCGGGCAGCAGCAGACTCATAGAAGTGTTCATAGCCATTATTGCTCGAGCCTTGTTTCCTCATCTGTATAATAGGATGGTCATCTCTTGCCCTGCCTACCTCAGAGGCCTCCAGAGAAACTCTTCATAGGCTAGCTCTTCATAGGATGAAATCATCTACAGCCTCAAATGATGATTGATGTTCTTACTGTTTCTGCAGCAGATTCTGGATTACCACTTGAAAGATCATGCTTCAAATTAGCACTCACCAATTACAATAATGAAAGAACACACATATATGATTTCATTTAACTGTGTCCTAGTTGAGGTCATTGACCAAGTTATGGAAACCGATCATCTTCTGCCCTCATGACAAGTTCATATCTCTCTATTCTTCCATTTTGCTGCAATTTTCTGAAACAAGAGGCCCAGTCCTCTCCAGAGGGAAGAATCTTCAGCTAGACCTTGGGAACAGTAAGCAGAAATACAGGCATCCTGGGAAATGGTCAGCTTTCTGCTGGGATGGGGTAGGAAAGGAAGGTGGTGATATTCCCAGTGCTACTGTGCCCTTCCTTCCGGGTTAGGCTGATTATAAAGCAGCTAGATTCAGTCACCAAGCTTAACAGTGTGGGTGACAGAATAATTTAATGTCTTCTCCAGGAGGGCTAAGTAAGCCCCAGCATAGACTTTTCACAATCACTGTGCAGACAGAGCCTGAATGCCCCTGGCTGTTGAGCATGTCATGGGACACAAGAGGTTGGCTATTTGCTAGATGCTCTCAGCAACTAAGAAATTTCCACCCTTCTCTGATTTTTTCTAGGTCTACCTTGAGACTGAGTCACTTGCCTCTGTGTCCCCTAAAACAGAGCACAGTATGTGGCACATATGCATAAAACAAGTGTTTGTTGGTTGAAGAAATAAATTCATGTACTGGTGGGGGATGAGTATGGCAGAAAGGATGAATGGATTGATGACTCCTAGGCAGAAAGCAACAAAAATAGAAAAAGAATATACTGAAATGTCTTGGAATGTAGTCTAGAGGCAGTGCTCCTGGATTGCAGATCATGTACTAAGCTAACTGCAAGGAACCCTGCAGTATTTGGCTACACAAGAGGACCAATTCTATAGAAGCTCCAGCAACTGGATATAAATGCTGCCATGCCCCCTCTGGTCCATCTATGTGCCAAAAATCTGAGGCAGAATGAGATGTTGGGAGTAGGATGAGGGGCACAGGATGCATTGCTGACTATCACTTTCCAGCCCCAAGCACCAGGCTCCTTCTCTTCTGCCCTCCTGTCCTTACTGCTGCACAAGTGACTCACCTGTATTGGACCTCCAGGGCAAGGCAGAAGTCATAGAAGCCCACTCTGTCACAAAGATAGAAAATTGAAATAATAAATGGGGGCTTTGAAGGGAGAACATAAAGAGGATGAGTAGAATTGTAGCCTCCACATGACTTCCCTGTTCCAGCTGTACCTCCAAGGAGCCCCAGGACCCACTTCCTCTTTCCACTATTCTCACCAGGCTTTGGCTCAGTCAATTCCCATTTGCAGCAAAGGATGCTTGAGTACCACAAGGCACAATGTTCCCCTTTTAATCTGTGTAATTCTCAGGGTTCAAAGCAATCTTTAATAAGCTAGCTATTGGTGCTCTTTTCTCCTTGGAGAGAAAATAAGTAAATCTCATAAAGATATTTGCCTTCTAAACACCTGATCTACTCGTTTCTCTGGAAGTATTTAGCCAAAACCTATTATATGTCTTCTCCTTTCTCAGCGAGCTGGATAAATGGACTTTGCTAAGGACCTGGATGCCAGGAGAGAGAATTATGGAGGTGATGATTAGCATGCTTCCTCATCCATGAGGCACTCTGTGCCTCCAAGTGATGGGTACCAGACATCTAGATCTCCACAGTGGGTTAGGAAATCAAAGGTTCTCAACCATCACCACCACATACCCCAGTGAACCAGCTACCCTGGTAACTAGATACAAATTCTGTCACAGTCCCTTTGGGGTTTAATTTTCACAGGTCTCTGGTTACAAATCATCGAAATTTGAACCAGTGGCAGTGCACATACAGTTAATTGAGTCATTTTTTCCCAGGATGTCAGCTTTTGTTGCTATTTCTATTCTGAAACACTGACTCACACTGTTAATTTAAACTGTGTGTGTAACCGTGGAGATTTCATTACCTTTGGCATTCTTTTTTTTTTCTGTCCTAGAAAATCTAATTTCAGAAAAGAGAGTAGGTAAAAGTCACTTCCATACCCTGCACTCAAATCTTTCATATACACAAAAGTTTCCATTGGTCTACTGGAAGAAATCCCCACTGGTGCCATTTTCTACTTTGTTGCCTAATGAAATAAGAAAGGTGTGGCTCTGAGAGATGCCAGCCGATGTGCCATTCCTGCCAAACGAGATAGAAGAGCCAACTCTGCAGCAACCTTAACTCTGAGCTGTGGCTTACCAGTCCATAAGAGAAGAAAGTTGAACCAGGTGATCTCTAAGGAAATTTCCTGCTTGGACATTCCAGAAAAATCACCCCATGGTAGCCTTTTCCTGAATGTGCATCACAGAATACTGGTTTAGTCCTTCACTGGGCCATTCAAAAGGTATTTACTGAACACCTCTTTTGGCACCATGGGGTGTCTAGACGCTTGTAAACTGCAATGGTCAAGAGCATGATTCTGGTGTCAGAGGTTTATGTCTGAGCCCTGGCTTCACATCACTTACTAGCTGCATGAACCTGGACAAGTTCTGTGCCTCAATTTTCTTATCTACAAAATACAGTAATCATCATATCTGCCTCATAGGGTTATTGTAAATATGAATGAGTTAGTTCATTTATTATAAATATGAAAGAGTCATGTGTCAAACTGCTTAGAACTATGCCTGGTCTGTAATAGGTGTTGCTTTTTGTTGTTGTTATAACACTGGTGAGCAAAAGCCAATGCAGTCACTCTCTTCATAGAGTTTACAGTCTTATATGGGAGACAGATATTTATCACACATTCATTCAAACAAAGATAAAATTGCAATTATGGCAAGTTTTATACATGTATATTTTGCTATAAGAGCTTATAATATGGATATTTTGACCCAGGGAGGGAAGGTTTCCCTAAGCTTGAGCTTAGATGCAGAGAATAATACAGGAGTTACTTCAAGGAATGGAGGGTGTATTTTAAATATGGGCAATATTGAAAAAAATAAAAGAATAAAAGGAAAGGCATTTCAGGCAGAGGAATCAGCTTGTTTAAAGGCCTGTGGAAGAAGGAAGCAGGTGCAATGTCCTGATGTGGATTCTCTGTCCTCCTGGGTACCTAGGTACCTGCTGGTATTGCATGTCCCTGACTCTGTGAATGTGGATGTGGACATGTGACTTTTTCTGCCCAATGCAATGGGAACATAAATGTGTGTGTATGCACACCATGCCTGCATGGAAGCCTCAAGAGCTAGCGTGCAATTGGCTATGCTTTCTTCTAGTGCACACACACTCCTGCAGGGTGCCACTTCTAATACATACTGGATACGTACTGTGAGCAATAAATGAGCCTTTGTGCTTTTAAGATGCTGTGATTTGGGGGTTGCTTGTTGCTGCAGCTTAACCTATCATACCCTGATTCATAGAGAAGGTAAATAAAACTGGCAATAAGAGAGTAAAGAGGATGAAGGGGTAAGGTAAGATAGGGCAGTGTTTAGGGTCAATAGTCAAGAGCTTTGTTTGTCAAGTTAAGGAGAGGTGATGCCATCCTAAGAGCAAAGGCAAGTTACTGAAGGATCTGAAATGTGGAGAAATGATGGGAAAAAGGGCAAAGAGTAAGGAAGCAGGAATAAATAGACCTGGGGAGTCAACTGCATGGCGCAGGCAAGAGACCATGATAGTTTTGCTATAGCGGTGGTAGCAGACAGGAAGTAGTGGATATCTTTGAGATCTATTTGGGAGGTTGGAATTGATGGGACTTTGGTGATGGACTGACTACAAGCAGTGAAACAGGAGGAGGCTTCCATATTGCTGGCTTGTCCAACTGGACAAATGATGGGGCCACTTACTGAAATGGCTCATAATAAAAGAGGAGCCAAAAGCAGGGTTTCAATTAGAAAACTTTCTTGTGTCCAAGAACAGTTTCTAGCAGAAGGCTTATGCCAACATTAATTCATCAGCAAGAAAAGAGTTAACTTTAACTGACAGTGCAGGTATTTCTAAAAACAATTCCAAGTACTCTATCATGCAAGCAAAGAATGTGCTTCAGAAAAAAAATTTCTCCCCCAACAACCCAAAGGAAAACATCCAGAAAAAATATTATTCCTGTCATTTTTGTAGAGGGGGGGATTCTTCCTCATGATATATTATGATAAATATATCATGCCTATTAAGAGTCCAAAAAGGGAAGTAAAATTTGTTTGTTCTATTTGACTTTATTGAAAGTAGTAGAATCAACACGAAACTTTCAGTCAGAGGAGCCTGTGTTTGAACCCAAGATTTTCCACTTATTAGCTGGGTGAACTTGGGTCAATTATGACATTTCTATACATCCCAATTCACTCATCTGTACTACTAATACAGAGAATTAATGTCCATATCTCAGCTGATTTTATCAGATAGGATAGTATATATGACTTGCTGAGTACCTATATCCTTAGGATACAGAGGCACTCATTAAATGTTAACCTCTTACTGGAGGGATTATCTGATAGAGTTATTAACAGGGGGTTTGTAATAGAGGTGTGAGACCTGGATAAGACCATTCACTTCTCTTTCCCTGTGAAGATCTTGTTCAAAGAATTCTAAATAGAAGATACAGTAGCTAATTGGGATTATGACTTCTGCTTCAATTCCTTCATATAGAGGTTAAAACTGGGTTGAACCACATTGCTTAAGCCAAAAAACTAAAGTAGGGCTCTGGCTTTCTGCTTTTGCTTTGAATCTGAGGTGGCTAGTAGTCACAGACAGCAGAGAGGAATAGGAAGAGAGAGAGGGTGGCCAGTCCTGATTGGGAGGCTGGCTCTTTCCAGACGTTCCTGCTTTGTGCAGACAGAGCATGCAAGAGGAAAGTTGTATTTCCCTTTGATCCCTTACCTAAGTGAGTCTGTTACCAGTAACACACAGGCCAGTAACATTAATAAGATCTACTGGTTAATCTAAGAGCTACTATGATTTTGAAATGCCATTGAGCATAAATAATTTTTCTCAAATCCCTGAGGTAACTGTAATATAAAATGAAAATATCAGGGATTTCTACTGGTGAATACAATCACATGTACCATTAGTACCATTGCAGTTTGTTATGTACATTCACAATAGAAGATTACAATTCTAATAGGTAGAAGTTAGCAGAGGTATTTTTTTCCTCATCCAAGTTTATTCCTGTACCCTACTGGGATTCTACCCAGGTACCTACCTGCTTCCCCACCCCACCACAGTGTTCAGTGCCTGCAGAAGCCTGTTTTTTTTTTCTTTTTTTTTTTTTTGAGACGGAGTCTCACTCTGTCACCCAGGCTGGAGTGCAGTGGTACCCTCTCGGCTCACTGCAGCCTCTGCCTCCCAGGTTCAAGGGATTCTCCTGACTCAGCCTCCCGAGTAGCTGGGATTACAGGCACCCACCACTATACCCAGCTAATTTTTTGTATTTTTAGTTGAGATGGGGTTTCACCATGTTGGCCAGGCTGGTCTTGAACTCCTGACCTCGTGATTCACCCGCCTCAGCCTCCCAAAGTGCTGGTATTACAGGTGTGAGCCACTGCGCCCAGCCCATTTTTTTAATGTAATAGTTTTATTCAGGTGTAATTAACATACCACACAATTCATCCATTTAAAGTATATAACTCAGAGGTTTTAGTGCCTTTCAGAGAGGTGTGCAACTGTCACCACGATTTTAGAACAGCTTTATCATCCCCAGATGAAACCCCATACCTGTAGCAGTCACTTCCTCCCCACTTTCACCCAGACCTAGGCAACAACTAATCTACTCTACAATTTTGCTATTCTGGACATTTTATATAAATAAAATCATACAGGCTGGGCACGGTGGCTCACACCTGTAATCCCAGCACTTTGGGAGGCTGAGGTGGGCAAATCGCTGGAGGTCATGAGTTCGAGACCAGCCTGGCCAACATGGTGAAACCCTGTCTCTACTAAAATACAAAAATTAGCCAGGCATGGTGGCAGGCACCTGTAATCCCAGCTACTCAGGAGGCTGAGGCAGGAGAATCACTTGAACCTGCGAGGTGGAGCTAAGATGGCGCCATTGCACTCCAGCCTGGGTGACAGTGAGACACCATCTCAAAAAAAAAAAAATTGTATAATATGTGGTCTTCTATAACTGGCTTTTTACACATAGCGTGTTTTCAGGCTTCACTCATGTTGTGGCATATATGAGTACTTCATTTCTCTTTTTTTGCTGAATAATATTCTGTTATATAAATACAACAATGTGGTTTATTCATTCATCAGTTGCTAGACATCTGAGATGTTTCTGGTTTTGGCTATTATGAATAATGCTGTTATAAATATTGGTGTACAAGTTTTTGTGTGGACATAATTTTCTCTTGGGTCTGTATCTAAGAGTGGGATTTCTGGATCATGTGGTAACTCCATGTTTAACTTTTGAATAGTCATTCAAATATTTAAAGTGACTGTACCATTAATTATTCAAATATTCAAATAAAGTGACTGTACCATTTTACATTTCCACCAGCAGTATATGAGAGCTTCAATTCTCCACAACTAATCTAAGACTTGTTTTACCTATCTTTTTATTATAGCCGTCTTAGTGGGTGTGAAGTGGTATCTTATTATGGTTTTGAAGAGCATTTCTCTGATAGCTAATGGTCCTGCACATCTTTTTATGCACTTATTGGCCATTCGTTTGTCTTCTTTGGAGAAGTATACATTCAAGTTCTTTGCCCACTCTTAAATTGGACTGTCTTTTTATTATGGACTTGTGTATGTTCTTTATATATTCTAACATAATTTTTTTATCAGATATTTGATTTTCAACTATTCTCCCATTCTGTGGATGTCTTTTCATTTTTGATAGTGTGCTTCGAAGAGCAGGATTTAATTTTGATGAGGTCTAATGTATCTATTTTCTCTTTTGTTCCTTGTGCTTTTAATACCATAGCTAAGAAAGCTTTGCCTAATCACAGATCATGAAGATTTACTGCTATATTTTCTTCTAGTAGTTTCATAATTTTCACTCTTATGTTTAGATATTGAGTTACTTTGGGTATATAGTATGAGTAAGGGTCAAACTTTATTCTTTTATCTGTGAATATCCAGTTTTCCCAGCACCTTTCCCTGAAAATACTGTTTTTCCCCATTAAGTTATCTTGGTACCCTGATAAAAAATCAATTGACTATAAATGTAAAGGTTTACTTCTTTATTTAAGACTTTGTTTTTTTCTAGCTTTATTGAAGTTTGATTGACAAATAAAATTGTATGTATTTAAGGTATACAATACAATATTTTGATATATGTATACATTATGTAATGAATACAAAAATCAAGCTAATTAGGATACCCACCATCCCACAATCTCACATATTTTTATAGTAATCTCATTATTTTTATAGTAAGAACACTTAAGATCTACTCTCTTATCAAATGTCCAGTGTACAATAGGTATATATTAATTATAGTCATCATGGTGTGCATTAGGTATCTAGAACTTTTTCATCTTGTAACTGAAAATTTGTACCCTTTGAACAGCATTTCCTCATTTCTCCCACTCCTTTGCCCTTGATAACTACCATTCTACTCTCTTCCTACGGGCTCATTTAAAAAAAATTCAACATATAAGTGAGATGATGCAGTGTCTTTCTGTGTCTGGCTTATTTCATTTACCATAACGTCCTCCAGCTTCATCATGTTGCAAATGGCAAGGTTTCCTTCGTTTTCAAGACTGAGTAATATACCACATTTTCTTTATCTGTTTTTCCAATGAGAGATACCTAGGTTGCTTCCATATTGTAGTTATTGTGAATAAAACTGTAATGAACAGGGAAGTGCAAATGCCTCTTTGACATACTGATTTCCGTTCCTTTGGGTATATACCCAGACACAAATAAATTATTGCTGGATCATACGGTATTCTATTTTTAGTTTTCTGAGAATCCTCCATCCTGTTTTCCATGATGGCTGTACTAATTTACATTTCCACCAACAGTACGTAAGGGCTCCTTTTTCTTTTCATAGTAACCAACACATTACCTTTTGACTTTCTGATAATAGTCATCCTAACAGATATGAGATGATATCTCAGTGGGATTTTACTTTGCATTTCCCTGATGATTAGTGATGTTGAGCACCTTTTCATATACCTACTAGTCATTTGTATGTCCGCTTAGGAAAAATGTCTCTCCATGTTCTTTCTCATTTTTAAATTGAGTTATCTGGAATTTTGCTGTTGAATTGCTTGAATCTCTTATATATTTTGGATATTAACTCTTATTGGATATACAGTTTGTAATCCATTTTCATCCATTACATAGGTTACCTTTTCATTTTGTTTATTGTTTTCTTGGCTGTGCAGAAACTTTTTAATTTCATGTAGTCCCTCTTGTTTTTGTTTCCTGTGATTTTTGTGTCATATCCAAAAAATATCATTGCCAAGACCAATATCAAGGAGATTTCCCCCGTGTTTTCTTCTAAGTGTCTTACATTTAAGTCTTTAATTTATTTTGAGTTGAATTTTGTTTATGATGTCAGATAATGGTCCAATTTCATTCTTCTGCATGTGGATGTCTAGTTTTCCCAACAACATTCATTGAACAGACTATCCCTTTCCCACTGTGTGTTCTTGGTGCTTTCTCAAAGATTAATTGACTATATATGCCTGGGTTTATTTTTAGGTTCTCTATTTTGTTCTATTGATCTATGTGTCCATTTTTATGCCAGTATCATACTGTTTTGATTACCATAGGTTTGTAATATAATTTGAAATCATTATGTGTGATGACTCCAGCTTTGTTCTTTATGCACAAGATTGCTTTAGCTATTCAGGGTCTTTGTGGTTCGATACAAATTTTAGAATCTTTTTGTATTTTTTCTATTTCTGTAAACAGGGATTGCATTGAATCCATAGACCACTTCAGGTAGCATGGGCATTTTGACAATATCAATTCTTCAAATCCATGAACACAGAATATCTTTCCATTTATTTGTGTCTTTTTCAACTTCCTGCATCAATGTTTTATAGTTTCCAGTGCATAGATTTTTCACTTGTTAAATTTATTATTTTATTCTTTTTGATGCTATCATAAATGGGATTGTTTTCTTAATTTCTTTTTCAGATCTTTATCTTGTTCCTGATCTTAGAGAAGTTTTCAGGTTTTCACTGTTGACTATGATGTTGGCTGTGGCCTTGTCACATATAGCCTTTAGTATGTTGGTGTTCACTCCTTCTATACCTAAATTATTGGGAGTTTTTACATATGTAGGTTGAACCATCCTTGTATCCCAGGAATAGATCAAGGAATAGATTCCACTTGATCATGGACTGTGATCCTTTTAATATGCTGTTGAATATGGTTTGCTACTATTTTGATTAAGATATTTTGCATCTATGCTCATCAGGGATATTGGCCTATAATTTTTTTTGCAGTGCCCCTGTCTAGATTTGGTATTAGGGAAATGCTAGCCTGATAACATAAATTTGAAAATATTCCCTCCTCTTCAATTTTTTTTGGAAGAATTTGAGAAGAATTGGTAGTAGTTCTTGTTCAAGTGTTTGGTTGAATTTATCAGGAAGACATCTGGTCCTGAGATTTTCTTTGTTGGGAGATTTTTGATTATTGATTCAATTTTCTTACTCATTATTGATCTGTTCAAATATTCTGTTTCTTCATGCGTCTGTCTCTGTAGGTTGTATGTTTCTAGAAATTTATTCATTTCTTCTAGCTTATTTGATTTGATGGCGTATAACTGTTCATAGTAATCTCTTATTATCCATTGCATTTCTGTGGTATCAGTTGTAATATCTCCTCTTTTCTTTATAATTTTATTTATTTGAGTCTTTCTTTTTTCTTGGTAAGTTAAATAAAATCTTGTTGGTTTTGTTTATATTTTCAAAAACACAACTTTTAGTTTCATTGATCTTTTCTATTGTTTTTCTATTTTCTATTCCATTTATTTCTGCTCTGATCTTGTTATTTACTTCATTCTTATCTAGTTCTTTGGGGTTTAAAGTTAGATTTTAAAAAATATTCCTTTATTCTTAATGTATGCATTTGTTGCTACAAACTTCTTTTTTGAACTGCTTTTTCTGCCTCTTATGTTTTGGTAAGTTGTGTTTCCATTTTTGTTTCTCTCAAGACAGTTTTTAATTCCCTTTTGGTTTCTTCTTTGACCCATTGGTTGTTTGAGAGCGTTTGATATCCACATATTTGTTAATTTTTCAGTTTTCCTCCTGTTATTGATTTATAGCTTCTTACTACTTTGGTCAGAAAAGATACTTGATATGATTTCAATATTCTTAATTTTTTTGAGACTTATCTTGTGGCTTACATGTGATAGATCCTGGAGAATGTTCCCAGTATACTTGAGAAGAATGTATATTCTGTTTCTGGTGGTTGTCATGTGTGTATGTCTGCTAGGGCCATTTGGCCTAAAGTGCCATTCAAATCTAATACTTCCTTATTGATTTGCTGTCTGGATGATCTACCCATCATTGAAACTGGGATATTGAAGTCTCCTACTGTTATTGTATTGTTATTTATTTATCCCTTTATATCCGTTAATATTTGCTTTATGTAGTTATATGTTCCCATGTTTGGTACACATACATGCATAATTATTATATCATCCTGATAAATTGGCCTCTTTATTATTATTATATAATGACCTTCTTTTGTCTCCTTTTACAGTTTTTACTTAAATACTATTTTGTCTGATATAGATATCCCACTCTCTGTTTTCATTGGCATAGATATCATTTTCCATCCCTTCACTTGCAGCCTATTGTGTCCTTAAAGCTGCAGTAAGTTGCTGAGGCAGCTTATATTTGGGCCTTGTTTTTCTTATCTACTTAGCCTTTTTATATATTTTGATTAGAGAATTTAATCCATTTATATTTAAAGTAGTTGTCGATAGTTAAAGACTTACTATTCTAATTTTGTTCATTGTTTTCTGGCTATTTTGTAGTTTCTTCATTTCTTTCTTCTTCTTTTACTATATTCTTTTGTAATTTGATGATTTTCATGTCACAGTATGCTTTTTTTCCATTATGTTTTATGTATCTACTATAGGTTTATGATTTATGGCTATCATAAGGCTTACATAAAACATCTAACAGTTATAACAGTCTATTTTATGCTTAAAACAAGCTAACTTTGATCACATACAAAACTCTATATTTTACTTCGCTTTCCACATTTTATGCTTTTGATGTCATAAATTTCACATTTCTAAATTGTGTATTCATTAACAAATTATTGTAACTATAGGTTTTTTTAAATAATATTGTCCTTTCACTTTTTATTTTTTGATACAAAGTCTCAGTCTGTCTCCTGGGCTGGAGTGCAGTGGCACAATCATAGCTCACTGCAGCCTCAAACTCCTGTGCTCAGCCACCCATCCTTTAACTTTTATACTAGTTTAAAAGCAATTTACATACTGGTATTACAGTATTAGAGTATTCTGATTTTGACTACATACATACCTTTACCGGTGAGTTTTATATTTTCTTATGTATTCATGTTACTAATTGGTATACTGTCAGTTCAGCTTGAAGAACTCCCTTTTATTGTTTCGGGTCTAGTGGTGATAAACCCTCTGAGATATTGTCTGCGAAAGTTTTAATTTCTCCTTCATTTCTGAAGGACATCTTTTCTGGGTAAAGCATTCATCCTTGACAGGTTTTTTTTTTCTCTTTCAGCACTTTGAATATATCATCCAACTCTCTCTTGGCCTGCAAGGTTTGTACTGACAAATCTGATGCTAGCCTGTTGGAGAGTTCCTTGCATGTGACAAGTCTCCTTGCTCTTACTATTTTCAAAATTAATTGTTTTTTGTTTTTTGATAGTGTGATTATAATGTGTTCTCTTTACAATTAACCTGTTTAGAAATCTTTAAGCTTCATATAACTAAATGTATATATTTCATCCCCAAATTAGAAAAGTTTTGTCATCATTTTTTCAAATAAATTTCTGCTTCTTTCTCTTTCTCTTTTCCATCTAGAACTCACATAATATATATTAGTTCTTTTTATGATATTCCATTATCCTATAGACTATTTTTTTATTCTTCTTTGTTCTTTTTAATTTTTTTTCTCCTCTGACTGGATAATTTTAAGTGAACTGTCTTCAACTTCACAGATTCTTTTTTTGTAGCTTGATCAAGCCTGCTCTTTATGCTATTTATTGCATTTTTTATTTTATTCATTGTATTCTTCTGCTCCAGTATTTCTGTTAAGTTCTTTTTGCTTTATAAATTCTATCTCTTTGTTGAACTTATAATTTTGTTCATGTAGTTTCTTTATTTCCTTCAGTTTTTTATAAAAACTATTATTTTTAAGTCTTTATTAGGCTATTTGCAGATCTCCATTTCTTTGGGGTCAGCCACTGATTATTGCATTCCTTTTGTGATGCTATGGTTCCTTGATTTTTTTCATGTTTCTATTTTTTTTTTTTTTGATGGAGTCTCACTCTTGTCACCCAGGCTGGGGTGCAGTGTCATGATCTTGGCTCACTGCAACCTCCTCTTCCCGGGTTCAAGAGCTTCTCCTACCTCAGCCTCCCAAGTAGCTGGGATTACAGGTGCCCATGACCATGCCCAGCTAATTTTTGTATTTTTAGTAGAGATGGGGTTTCACCATGTCGGGCAGGCTGGTCTTGAACTCCTGACCTCAGGTGATCCACCCACGTCAGTCTCCCAAAGTGCTGGGATTACAGGTGTGAGCCACTGCACCCGGCCACTTTTTTTCATAATTCTTAAAGTCTTGTATTGCTGTATGCTCATTTAAAGAAGCAGTCATCTCCTCCAGTCTCTACTGACCAGGTTTTAGAAGAGAAACAACTTCCTCAGCCAATCTGCCTAGGAATTCTTAGGTTCTCTAAGATATTTTCTATGGGTGCACATGCTTCACACTTCTCCTCTTTTGGATGGTAGTTCTTAAGATTGTATTCCTTTTCTTGATGCTAAAAGATCATGCCAGGGTCTAAGAGTCTCCTGTTTGTTTTTCCTAAAGAAGTGTCCTGAAATGCTCAATTTTGTATGCATTCTCCAAATCCCACAGAGTCAATCTGGCTGCCTGTATGTGTCCACAAGATATCTGAAAAAGCTCACACTTGGCATCTGCAGGAGTGCATGCAGGGGGCTGGCCACAGGGGGAAGGCATGTGTGAGACACATAGAGCATTGGGAATCTTTGTGGGTCAGTTGGTGGGGTTGGCCGACTAGACATTCCAAGAGACTGGTGAGCAAGCTCCCTGATGGAGTCTGGGATCCACTGCCGTTTGTTGACTTCTGAGCCCTGGTTGCATTGAGAACCTGCCTCTCTTCCCTATTGCTAACCTCTCTCAATCACTCAGCCATGCCAATCCCCTCAGTATTCTGAGTGGAGCAAGAAATAAATGGGTCTTTGGGCACAGTGTCCTGCAGAACTGAGGAAGCTAGATGCTTACTCACTGCACTCTAACTTTCCTCCCCAGGAAAAACTGCAGGCCAAGGGGGTGTCTCTTAACACTGATCTGTGCAGCCTTGGGAGAGGTGATACAGATAAAGTAAAACTGTTTTTCTTATGCTCTTTAATATATCTATTCTTGGAGTTTTTTGCTTCAATAGTGTGCTAAACTTCTCCACTGGACTCCTATACTCCCACAAATGTGCTCTTTTTCATGAATGGTTATCAAAAATCTTTCTATACGAAGATAACAGAGAAAACTTATATTTCACCATTTTGCTGACATTCTTCCACTTAAAGAAGCCAATTTTATCCTCACAACAGTCTTATGAGGTAAGCACCATTATTTTTCTCATTTTCCAGAGAAGAAACCTGGTTCAGACATGGTAAGTTATTTGTTAAACATCAAATACCCAGAAAGAGGTGAAGCTGGAATTAGAACCTATGCATGTGTCGCTACAAGCCCTGTGCAGCTTGAGATTCAGCAATAGCCTTGATTCTGGCCATTCAGCCAATCAATAGACTTAGGCTTGATTTCTTTCAGAACCGAGTTCTTCCATATGATATACAGGTAGAGGAGTTCGGCCTATCAATATTTCAAGGTACTTAATGTCCTAGAAATATTCAAATGTTGTTGACACATTGAAACGTGTTTAAGCATGTTTCAGTGGGGAACTAAAACCTCATAAGAGCATTACTTTCTCATTGCCAACCTCAGTGTTAGCCCTTAACTGCATTTAGCTGTCCAGTGCCAATAGACATAAAAGCTCAAAAAGATTTCAGCAGCAGAAACCTCCCTCTTCCCCAGGTGCCTACCCTCAGGTTAATGGAAAACAAATTTTTAAACTGGCATTTTCAAGGACTTCTCTGCTTGATTTGCTATTTGAAATATCAAAATATTGTAAACTTTCAAAGGTTGCTTTTCTGATGACAAGCACAGAGATTAATGGATTTTTTTTTTTACTTTTTTTTGTTGTTGTTTGAGATCTAAAGGGTATTTTACATCCCTGAGAAATTCCAAGTTGCCCTCCAAGCTCTTATCTGACATCTAACCAATCTTTGAGTTTGACTAGGCTTATCCAGGATATAACTATAGATTGTTCATTGTCAGAGGAAATATTTTTGCCCCCAGAAGTATATATGTATGTCTCTCAGAGGATGCTAGAGCATAAATGATCAATCAGAGAGAACTGTGTGCTCATTCACAAATGCCAGTGCATACTTTTTCTCTAGCTGACTGCCAGGTTTCTCTCAAAGTTAAAGAAGAAAGGAAAGTTATAAGTTCTTACCTTACTTGGAGCGTGGCTAAACAGGGGTCATAAAAATATACTGATAAATTAATACCAAATTTCCAAATATCTGTGATATTCTTGTTTATGTTCTTGAATTATTATTAATGGTATGCATGGCTTAATTTCCTATGGAGTATAAAAGCATAATTGTTTTTATCATAGGGTCATAATTATCCATTGTCACATTGCCTTAGTTTATCAGATTAGCTCTTATCACACCTAGGAGATAATAAAGTAAGAAATGTTAACAAGACTAGGAAAATTGTGTTTGCTTATTCTAAGATGAAAGGAGAAAAGAAATGTTCATTACCTTGAGTATTTTCCAAGTGGACTCTTGCAGATGGTGCTCATAATTGGGAGACACTGGAAAGTTAGATATATTGAAGAGACTAAGGAATATAATACAGGTAAATCCTGTAGCACAGTGCTTAACTGTGGTAGGTCTTGGTAATTAATTGTTTTCTTTTTGGCTATACATAGAAAATATTTGCCAGAGCTGAGCCGGTTTGATCTGGCTTGTCCCAGGGAAGATAATTGTCAAGAGAGTTCTAAAGATGCCCTTACATTGATGCCATGTTGCTTCCCTCCCAGGAGGTGTGCAGAACCACTTAGGGCCATATAGTTTTCTCCTAGACTATGTAACCTACAAGGAGATTCCATTAAGGGGTACTTCTTAGACCTTCTAAGCTCCAAAAGGTCAAGGACAAAGTCTCTTTTTGCTCGCCATTGCATCTTCTACAGCACCTGGCCCAAAATAGGTGCTCAAAAATATTTTTTCAATATAAGAATGCTGAGTATGGACAAATCATATTGAACTGAACTTCTGGATCAGATGTCACAAGATAAACTATGTGCTTCATTGTCATGTGCAGGGGAAATTTATGTTTGGGTTCTGGGACAGTCTCATTCTTCTTCAATTAAATGGCAAGAAAGCATACCACTCATTCCTAGTTCTTAGGAGACCAAGAGTTCCCTTCAAAAAGGAGCTCTCCTTAGTGGTGTTTACCGAGAATTCCACTGATATCATGCTTGATAAGACTCTCTGACAGCAGAGCTTCAAGAGATCTGACCATAAAATCCTCCAAAATATGCAGATATTAAGCCCCTGACTCATTCAGGCAGTGGAAGCGTAATTTCCACCATCTTGACTCTTCCTCTCCTCCCTAACCTAGGGAAGGTTTGAGGAGTTGACTGGGAGTAAGTAATTTGAAGCTATTGATAGCATGGAAGGGAGAGGGAAGAGAGGCATCTGGTTCTATTATTTTCTGTCCATGCAGAAATTCTCTTAGACACAAGCCACCTTCCGCTTTTTGGCCATTGTTCCACATAGGTCTCGATTTTCCCTTTGGCTCATGCCTCCTTCAGGTTGGGTGGCTCTCAGGCTACTTGAGACATGCTTAACATTGTGAGATTTATTTTACTTCTTCCATGACACTGGGGCATGGTTATCTCTGCTAGCCTGTTTCAGGCCCTTCTTTGAGTTATCCAAATCCTCCCCTCTGTGTCCTCCTTGACCCTCACTTCCATTCCTAGCCCAAGGAAATTTTACCTAATCTAAGGAGAAGCTGACTCAATGCACTTTTTTTTTTTTTTATAACATTTTGTCTTCTCCGTGTTTCTCCCACATCCTAAAGGCTTAGTCCCTTAAAAGAAAAACCTGGAAGACATTCACTTTTCTTCTCTGCTTTCCACTCTTTCATTTCCTCTCTTCTATGGCTCCTTTTGGAGCAGAGAAAACCTAGCTTCTCGAATGAGGTGGGGTGATGTGTTTAGGGTGGGTAGGGGGAAAATAGAGGGAAATTGTGGTAGATATTTTTTTGAGAAGATGGCCACAATAAACCTTTCCATCCCTTTGCCCTGTCCCCCTGCAATGTGACTGCTGCTCCCTCAACAAGAGGTAGAATCTATTTCCCAACCCCTCTTGGATCTGGGCTAACCCTTTGTTTTACTTTGACCAACAAAATGTAGAGGAATTGATATTGTGTGATTCTCAAGGCTAGACCTCAAAAGTCCTTTCAGCTTTCACTTTCATTCTCTTGGCATGCAGTGGCATGATGTGAAAAAAACCAAGCTAGTCTCCCTGAAGAAGAGAGAATGAGTGAAGAGAGAAACTCAGCTGATGGCCAGCACCAACCGCCTGACATGGGGTGAGGTCATCTTGGACTTCAGCCCAGTTAAGCCACAAAATCACTGAAGATGCATGAGCTCACCTCAGGCAAGACCAGCAGAAAAACCCATTGCTGAGCCCAGCCTATAAGGCTTACCCACAGGATTATGAGAACACAAAATTACAGTTATTTAGGCCGCTAAGTTGTTGCACAATTTTTTATGAGGCAAGATACTTGATAGAGACATAAACACCAGGAAGAAAAACATTGGGTAATGTCTCAATGTATTATTACAGTACAGCTATGCCTTAAATTTTACTTCCAGAGATTTTAGCATTTTCTAATGTCACACTTATGGATTATATGTTAGGAAAGTTTACAACATTTAGAATTGGGGTTTCCCCAAGGACAGTGGGGAAAAAGGCAGAGGGTGGAAATGGCAGGGATGACATAGAAGTAGCAATAGTTTCTGAGAAGTGTAGGGAATAATGGTCAACTCAGCAAGAATATAACTGATATGCCTAGTATATGCCCATGTCCATGGTACTGGGATGCCAAAATAATCCCATTCATCAAAAATTTATAATCTACTTGCTGGTAGGGTGACAAATATTAAAACCAGTTTTCCTTCAAAACCAGAGTTACATCTTCTCAACTAATTGTGTATGTATGTTTCATGTTGAGAACATGTCCCTAGGGGTCTGCCTGACAGGGCACACACTGCCTCTTCTATCACTTTTGGTATATTACTGTAGCTCCCAGAGAAAGAGCTATCATCAGGAAGCATTTATAATACGTTCGTTGAAATATACCCAATAATTTACTTTCTGTGTAACTTCTATTGATCATGAAAACTCTTATGTGATCTGTTTGTTAGGTCTGGGCTTCCTTGATGATATTGATCAAGTAGATTCCTTTGTGAAAACCTACATTGATTAGTTTCCTGACAAGCTGTTAAGGCCACTTGCAAAGCTGTCACTGGTGATACTTGCAGTCGGAAGAGTGGGGCTCACCCATAATGTCTTTCTGAAGGAAGATTGAATGGAAGATAGATGAATGCAGACAACATTCTCTGTGCTGGGTAACCACTCAGTGATTCATCTCCCAGCTCCTTTTTCTATGGGGAGAAAATTAATATCCAGGCAGTGAACAATCTCTACAACAACCATGATTTGCAGGTTTGCTGAAAAATCCACATGAAACACAGAAGGCTAAGGGGAGACAGGTCTGGTCATTTTTAGCTGCCTTGTTCAAGCATACCTTTGGCAAAGCCATGCTCCTCTGCTCCTCCTCAGAATGGCAACTGCTCAAAACCCCACAAACAGCACTTAAAATCTGGATGGAAGACAATAAATATGCTTTGTCATCAGAAATTCAATGTGAACATGGGAAGGGTTAGAACAATAGGCCTCAGTGCTTTTTGACAAAAGAACACCAGATCACAAGCACAATGGACAGTTGGCAATGCTCATTTCTTTACAACTGAAATTAATTAATAACTTGTGCACTCAAAAGAGAACAAGAAGCTATATTTAAGTGCTGCATGTTACAAGAGCTAAGCAAGGGTCTCTAGTGTTGAAGGACAGAGGGAGGAAGAGGGTAGCTGGTAAAAGAGTCTGACTCTAGCTGGAGCAGCTGTTCCCAAAGCATGTGCTTTAGAACTTATTCCCCTGAAATGGTCTTCAACAGGGTTCCATGACTGACTAGGTTCAACAAACGTTGGAATTCCTATTAGTTTATCTGAGAAATCCCAGATAAAAGAAGTCTTCTTGGCTTACATGGGGTAGATATTGGTTAAGCTAGTTGTCCCTTGGGTCTAGTTGATAGAATTATTAATTCAGTCAGTGATCATTTCATTAACTCTG
Source organism: Homo sapiens (assembly GCF_000001405.40). NCBI lineage: Eukaryota > Metazoa > Chordata > Mammalia > Primates > Hominidae > Homo > Homo sapiens. The sequence goes on from NC_000016.10 coordinate 52,052,418, forward strand.
TGTTAACATAGTTTAGGTTGCTCACCTAAAAAGAATGACTGAGGCCCTAATTCTGTCACTCACTAACAATGTGACCTCGGGCAAGTTAGGTACTCACTCTGAGCCTCTGTTTTGAGGATTAAATAAGAGAATATGTGTATAAGTGATTATTCACCTGAAGATAATAGATTAACATTGATTATTAATTCTAAAAATGAACTTGTGCTTTCAAAGATGCTATTTTAGTATGTAGAATATTCCTGTTATTAAGGCAATGCCTCTATCTTTAAGGACGGAGCAATTGTATAAGCTAGGATGCTTAACCAATGATGGGACAAAGAAACAAAAAACAGATTGCACATCTAAGTAAAAACTGAAAGTATTACAGAAAGGGATTATTTTCTTGTTGATACCCAGTGGACAATAGATACAGCAAAAATGAAGTCAGAGCTGTTGAGTTAGTGGTTTTGTTTTTATCATGGGCTTGTTGACTGCTATAATAGAGGAGACCATGGGAACACTTAATCTTCACCTAATAGGCAAGAGGCCTGAAATTTTCTTCTATAGGTCTGTAGAGTTTTGTCTGACAGCAGCCATTCTGAACTTTGCCTTCTGTTACACAAACACCAGAGGCAGAAAGACAAAAAAGCAAACATTATTTCCCAATGGGATCCTCATCTGGGAAAGCAGTAACTTTTTCTTTTTTTTTTTCAAAAAGAAGGTAATCATACAAATCAATAATTTCTATGATAAATTATCATAGAGAATTGAGACTAGTAGTTAAATTCCAAATTTGTAAAAACTATAAAATAATTTTACAATCCCTATGTATTACATAAACCTCCTACTACTGTCCTGGGTGGGATCCGATAAAAAGGCATCTCTGTGTCCACTCCATAGCTGACAAATCTATGATTAGTAGTTATTTATCCAAGGTCACATAGATGGTACCAGAACACTCAACTCAAACCTGTGTCATGGACCCACCAAGTCTAGTCCTTTTATTAATCTCTAAAAAGTATAGCAATAACTCAAATTCAGAAGGCAGCAGAAGGAAGAGAGGTTAAAAATTTGCTCTGAAACTGTTGGGTTAGAGCCATCTTAACCCTCAGTGGGTTAAGTGATAGATGAGTCACCAGGGAAATGGGTGCAAGGGAGAATCTATCTCAGGAGAAATAAAGGTAAAGTCACCACAATCCAAGACTAATAGCTCTAGGATTCTCCTCTTCCAATTTGGACCTAACAGCCTCTCCCTTTCCTGAATTTTCCCAGCTCTCGCCCAAATTGACTATGAGCAGAACACTGCAACAGACTGTTCTCTGTACATGTGTGCAGCTCCCAAAATATCTGACATCACAGTTTTCAAATAGAGAAATAACAGTTTTACTTGTCTACTTGTTTTATTTTTAAAAATCTTTTTGTCAGATGAAATCTTTTGTCAAGTTACAAAATTGACATGTGTCTACCACAATCCTTAAAACCAGTGAAATAATATAAAACTATGTAAAGAAAATGTTAATCATACTTCTACCCCCAACAAGAGTAAATAATATGGCAGTCTGGTGTCTTTCTACTTAAACTTTTTTATTTTTTGTTTTGTTTTATTGAGGCAGAGTTTCACTCTGTCTCCCAGGCTGGACTGCAGTGGCGGGATCTCGGCTCACTGCAACTTCCGCCCCCTGGGTTCAAGCAATTCTCCTGCCTCAGCCTCCCGAGTAGCTGGGATTACAGACGCCCACCACTGCACCCAGATAATTTTTGTGTTTTTAGTGGAGACAGGGTTTCACCATGATGGCCAGGCTGATCTTGAACTCCTGACCTCAAGTTAATCCCAAAGTGCTGGGATTACAGGCATGAGCCACCACTCCCAGACACATCTTTTCACATTAAAAAAAAATTGAAATAAGGGATTTGGAGTTGTTATTGCCATTTGATGCCTTTCTCACATGACAATGCATTATCAACAGTCCTCCAGGTCAATAGAGAGAGGCTTATCCATTTCAGGAAACATTTAATGTTCCATAAGAGGATTATACCAGACTTTATTCAGTATCTCCCTCATTAATGTACATCCATGTGTGTGTGTGTGTTTGTACTTGCCTTGACAAATAATGTGATAAACATCCTTGTTTATTAAAGTCCAGCTGTTGTTTCATTAGGATAGATTCCTATAAGAGAGTTTTCTGCGACAAAAGCTATGGATATATCTTAAATTTAAGATATGTTGCCACATTACCAAAATAAAACCCAGGAGGATTAAAGATTTAAATTTTATACATAAAGTAATAAAATCTTAGCTACACAGAAGGGCTACCACCAGCTACTTGAAGCCTCTGATTATAAATCCTAAGTAAATGTGAATCCATATGAAAACAAAGATGAAATTCTATCCTTGAACTAAAATTAGACTTTCAGATGAGTTAGGGAGATTGGGGGAGGGAGAGAGAGAAAAAGGAGCCCACAAAACCTCAGGCATTCTACTTTAATTATGACCCAGTAGAACACCAAGATGCAACGAAGTACCATCATTTTGGGTTTCTGGGATGAAGTACCAAAAAACTTAGATTTATTCTCATTCAAATTTTGCTATATTCCTATAAATCAGCAGATCTAGTGTGGTTATCTGGTCTGGTGGTCCCAAAAGCTGTGTCTGAGGAACAGTCAATGGCCTTGTTCAGTTATCTACAAGGACTTTGTTATTCAGAGTAAGATTTCCAAAGTGAGGGAGAATCTGAGTCATTCTAACTTATAGAGAAAAGTCTAAAACCCTGTATGGGGAAAACAGAAAGGAGAAAAAAGTGACCAAGCAGATGAGAAACCAGAAAAGAATTGAAAAACAACAAAAAACATGCTGTTTTTGCTGGAGAGTGATCAACATGACTTGCTGAGTTTTCTACAAAACCTTCAGAATACTCTACTTTATTTGCTATTCTTTAGAGTCTGACCTGTATTGGAAGAAGGGCAGGAGATGGTGGGAGAAATAGGAAGAAGTACCCACTCTCGTCTCAGGGTGGGCAGGAGCTTCCCAAGGGAGACTATCACATTTGGCCAGAGTTTGAAGTGTGGCTCACAAGTTGGATTAAAACTGAAACCACATTCCAATCTTAAACCCCTAAACCTCTCAATTAATCATAGTTTACAAAGAATCTAAAGAGAGGAAATTTTTAACCAACTGATCAAAGCAGCACTCAGAATGGAACCACTGATTGAATATTGACCTCAGCAGGCACTGTAATTGCATCTTATTGGCAAATCATTACTAGTTTATCTTAGTGATAGAAAGCACAGATTGAAAGTAGAGAAGCACTTACTTCTCGGGTCAAGTGAATAATTAGCAGGGAAAAATCTCTCTGGCCTTTTAAAACATGGCAGAAGTGTTAGGTAAGGGGGTGAGGACTTCCTTGCTGGGAAGATTAGAGGTCAGTTTAGCCGGCCTCCCTGTAACTGTGATAACAGTATCTCCACTACCATCTGAGTCCTCACCCTCTCTTCAAAAATACAATTCTAGTCACATCCTCCACAACAAAACTTCCTTGACATCCCTGACCCTCATCCACCCCCGTCTCCCTCTATATTGTTCCAGCACATTACAGTGTACTGGTCAGGTTCACGCTATGCAAAATATTCACTTTTAATCTTCACAACCACTCAGTGAAGTGCGTATTAATAATATCACCACTCTATCACTGTTTCTGTGCTGTTTGGCTAAGATCAAGTGGCATAATACAACTACCCTAGAGATGAAGAAATTAGTGCATAGAGTTGGCTAAAATTAAAAATAAATGTAATAAAAATAAATATATAGAGAAGTTCAAATACACCTTATAACCCCAGTACGTAAAGATGCACTTTCTAAGAAGTATGCAGTAAACTTTGCCATCTACTTCTTATAAAAATTGGCAAACTTTTTCTATAAAGGGTCAGATAGTAAATATTTTAGGCTTTGCAGATCAAAGAGTCTCTGTCATAACTAATCAACTCTGTTGCTGTAGGGCAAAAGGAACCCTAGACAATAATGAAATGAATGGGCATGGCTGCATTCTAATAAAACTTCATTTGCAAAATCAGGCGAGAGGCCAGATGGGACCCATAGCCATAGCTTGCTGACTGTGTTTTAGATAATAGACTCCTTCCAGGCTCAGCATTATTTCCAACAGGTATAAATGCAATCTCTAGTAAATGCAATCTGATTCCAGAATGTAAGTTGGTCATGACCTTCTATAGGAAACAAGACCATCTTCTGCTCCTCCCCCAAGCATTAACTAGCTCTGCTAGATGATTGTTCAGCCACAGCTCAAACATCTCTAGTAACAGAAAGCTCATGCCTGCACAATTTACTCATTTTCATTAAGGGACAGATGAAGATTTGGAGCACTTTTGTATTAAGATTTCTGTTTGTTTGACTCATATAACACTAAATTTATAACTTTCCAAATATTGAAATCTTAATAAAGTGAACACCTTCTGTCCAAGAAGGCACTTGAAAATTTTTTTCTACTGAGCAGGCTTGTGTGGGGTATCCTAAAAATATTCATACCTGTGAACATATGAACGTTCAGACTTTAAAAAACTCTCACCCAGCTAGAAGGATTAGTAACACTGATTTTATTTGCATTGCTCCAGTGAAAAAGCATGTATGAAATACATATGCATGCATATGGCAGGTATGCCTACTCAGACTATTTTTTCTATTGTTTCCTTAGAATAAGAATAATAACCAGAGAAATTAAGTTTACCTTGAATTTCCACAGATGGTAAAGTTTCCTACAACAACACCTACCCATCTTTCTTTTTATCCAAATAGTCCCTCAACACATATTTATAAGCATCTACATTGTGCTTGATTCTGAGAAAGAAACAAATACACATACATATTATAGTGTGACCTTAACATCTAGTTGGAGAGACAAAGCATAAAGTTGCAAAAATTTTCAAACCTGCATATGGCCTCTTGGTCCCATGCCAGTCAGAGCACTTCTGAGAACTTTTGCTGAAACTCAAGTGCTAATCAGCTCTTAGAAATGTTACTAGTGTAAAAGGCTGTATGATGAATATATTTTTATTTTGGCCAAACATAATAATGATGATTTGCATTTATATATTGCTTTGTAAACTTTTAAGTCACTTTAATTTGTATTATTTTTATATATCCTCCTTGTAGAAAAGAGATATGGTAAGCAATATTATCCCCGCTTTATAGATCGGGAAACAGAGATCCAAAAGGGTGTTTTTGCCCAAGGATGCAAGGTAAGTAAATGGTAGTACTGTAACTAAAACATATCACCTGATCTCTAACTATTAGCCATTCCCATTAGACAAAGCTATCTCTCTCCTGACAATATAGATTAAACATTTATGAATGCTGCTGGAGTTCCAATAATACAGGCTTGGGTTCTAATCAAGGCTGGAAAGAACAGGAAGTCTCTCAAGCTAGCTCAAATGAAAGATGGAATGTATGTAAAAGAACCACTTGGAGCAGAAAAGCCATAGGGGCATACAGGTTTTATAGACATGAAAATTCTCAGTAATAGAAGAATCTCGCTTCATCTCTCAGGGTGGCCTCTCCCATTTCTGCTTCTTGGTCTCCTCTATCTCTCACCCGCCAGCTACTTCTTAAAAATGGCCTGACCTGGCCACCAGCCACTGACCTGAATCTAGAGGCTCTGCTGCCCAGGCTCTCCTTCTATGACAATTGCCTCTAATTATCCTCGTTCAATTACTGGGACAGATAACCTGGAACTTCACCAAGTCTTTCATGGTGAAGGGTTGAGCGTGAGGTTTATCCTGCATGTCCTTACAGAGGCTGCAGGCAGGTTCAGCAAATTGACCTTCTTCATGGGTTTATTGAAAAAAGTAAATGAAATGTTCCAACTAAGGCACTTACAGCAAGAATAACAATAGCCTGAGACATAGCAAAAGGCCAATAAGTAATTACTCCAGTCAAGTTGCACCAAATATTTATTTTACTTACATGAATTCAACCATGAGAATCTTGCACTGGAATGGAGTTGTCCAGGGAACACAGAGGCAGACTATAACAAAGATGGAAGAGTCTCGTTAATCACTCCAAGAAAACAGCTGGTAATAGCCAAACCCCTTTTAAAATTCACCCCTCCCACCCCCTCCCCCGACCTCAACAGGAATAACTGAAAGTAATTAAGAGTGGATGGTAAAATAGAAAGGAGATTCAGGGTATGTGTGGCTGTAAAAGTTGGGTTAATGGCCACAGATGTGAAGCTCTCTGCTTCTTCCACCTCCTCTTGATTTCTCCATGCCTGTGTTGACCCATCCTTATTGGATATCAAAGAAAGAGCTCTAACTTTTAACCACTTCCTAGTGCCTGGCACACATTTAAAATAAGTGTATATTCAATGAAAAACAATGAAATGAATGAATGGACAAACAAAAGAGAAGTCCAGGGCTCTCTGCCATCATTGTATAGGATGCCTGCAGGAAACTTTCAGAGTCATTCTGACTTTAGAAAACCTGAAAATATGAGGGAGTTGACACCCCACAAGGCCACCCTTATCCAATGAGGGACAGAAGCTGGTGGGAAGATAAACCTCCCCTCTGAGGTGCATTCCTCATGGCTCCTCTGTGCATCTCTAAGGGATCCACTCCAGTTGTTCACAACAGTGAAGAGCTTGATAATCAGCTTTACTTAGCTTTTCCTCCTTTCCTTCCACTCCAAAAATGCCCCACTCTTGTTCTTTGAGAACACTTCCCAAAATAAACCAACTGCATGGAAACAACTGTGCTAGGCTCTGTTTTTGTTTGTTTGATTGAGGCTTTTTTTTTGTGGGGGGCATTATAGGGGGGAAGGGGATGGGATGTATATCACACTAATGAAATTATTTGCTTGAATTTTCTCCTCTCAGTATATACTCTCCCTGGGTATTTCATTCTCTCCTGTGGATTTACCACCAGCTACATTCCATTGATTTCCAAATCTATAGCTGTAGCCAAGACCTCCTTGCTGAGTCTTAGACAAGTCAACTAGGTTTTACATAAGAAATTTGACTTTAATATGTGTAAAAGTGAATGTTCCAACTCACCACCTACTGTCTTCCTTCTGCTATAGTACACATTTCTATCCAAGGTATCATCATAAAGCTTATTATTTGGATTAAAAAATGCATACATGCTTGTATTTTCATTCTCCCCTGTATTGACTGTATGTTCCAGCAGTGAGCTCAGGCTAGAGGGAGGAAATGAGTTGCAATTGCAATAGACAAGTCTACGGTTCCAGTACTTGAAAAAGAGAGCACAAGCATATTTGAGATAGATTTGGGGAATAAATGTTCCTGCAAATGGGCAGAACAAAGAAGACTTAGAGTACTTACACAGTTTTTTCCTACTCACATAGCAAGATCATGGTTGAGAAAGTTTGGAATCCTGGATTGCTGACTACTCTCTGGTCCAATATTCTTTTTACTATACAATTCTCTTTTGTCCTGAATTTTTATAAGTTTTTTTCCTAGAAATTTTAGAAGAAGCTCAAGGTAGCTAGGAAGCTACCCTTTTGGAGTAGCAATTATATCAAAGTACAATCCAGTTAAAACCCATTAGATTGAAAAAAAGCTGGTCAAGGAAGCAGAGAGCAGGACCCATCATATCTGCAGAATGGAGCTATGAACTAAACCGTTTACAGACCCTCGTGAAAACCAACTGTAATTCTTGCCCTTGAGCTCCAAAAGATGCCCTCATATCCTACCAATACTGTTTATGTCCTTTCTTTGGAATCAGAGCTGAAATCAAAGAGGCCTCTTAAATCCTGACCTAGTATATTTCAAAATGCCATAGTTTCTTTTTATGACATTCAAATTAAATCCCTAAATTGAAAGTTTTGTAAGGTGCTAATTACAGCTAGACACTTATTATTTTGTTTGTATGAATTTATCTAACTTGTGGCCCATAAAATTATCCTGTATATGGATATCAAAGGGCAAATATTAATCTTTGAGTACATATAACAATAATGAATATATAATAGACATCTCCTACATAATAAATATGTTGAAATGTATAAGGTGTGCTGCTCATATGAATCTAACAACTTTTCAATTATTTCATGGAAATCCTAATAATGAGAGAGTTAAATTATTTGAGTTGAGATTTTTTTCCAGTTGGTCTATTTATCTTTTTCAGAATAGGGTACACATCTTCCAACCCCTCTAATGTTTATAAAAATCATCCAGTAACATATTGGATTACATTCTTTCTTATAACACCTTTGGACAACTTTCAACTTGGGCTGTTTTAGCTAAAATGCAGCTTAAGTTATTTTAATAGAGAAGGGTAACTTGCCATTGGAGCAGTTAACTGTTACTCAATTTGTCATAAATTGAATAATTGGGAAAGTGTTTAACATATTTTAAAGGAAAAGAACATTTTAAACAAATTAGTAGCAAAACTAACATAAATATGCTAACAGCAAAGAACTCCTACCTGCTTATTAGGTGAGTTATTAAAATATTATTGCATGTGCTATCCCCAAGTTAGCACTTACAGAATTTGATAACATTAATATTCTACCTTAAAGTGCTATGCTTAGCACTTTGCAATTTATAACATGATGTAATCTAATAGTGATATTAATAGAAGTTAAAATTTGGTTAATGCTAAGTGCTTTACATGAAACATCATTAGATCCTCAACAGCACTTCATGAAGTATGTTTATCATTATCCCTAAATTATAAATGAGGAAACTACAGCTAAGAGAAGGTGAGAAACTTACTCATGTCTGCCAATTACAAATGTATAAACTCTTTAATTCAACAATCCCACTTCTGGGATATTTTCCTACTGATACTTGCAAATATGTAAAATTACTTATGTATAAGACCATTTACCTCCACGCTGTTTGTAATAGAAGAGACTGGGAACAGTATTGTGTTCATAAATAGGTTAAACAAATTATAATATATCCATATAGATATATCTCACAAGTGGAAAAAATAAAAACAATGAAGGAGCCTTCTATGTGCACATAGAGAATGGACTTCAGGATACATTTTTAAGCAAAAAAAGAAAAGTGCAATATGATGTATATAAAATGCCATCTTTTATGTAAAATATGAATTTCTATGTTTTGTCTTCAATTTCATAAATCTGGAATATACATAAGAAACTAAGAACAGTGGGTACCTATGGGTGCATGTCACAGGGAGGGGATGGCAGGGGGAACTAGGCAGATATATGATAAAGTTAAGACAAAGACGTGTCACTGTTTGAAATTTTTTAATAAATTATTGAGTTTTAACACATATGAGTGTATTCCCTGGCAAAATTTGCATGAAAAAGGAAAGGAAATAATAAATGGAGTGGGGAAAGTTAGGCAGGGTAAGCAGGAGAGAAATTCCCCAAAATGACACAGCCAGCAAGGACCACAGCCAGGTTTCAAACCCTGCAGGTCACCCTAAAGCCCTGCTTTCAAGTACTGTCGAATAGTGACTCTGAGTTCTCACAATAATTCCATGAGATAGCATAAAAGAACAAACAGAACCTGAAAAAAAGGTGTTCTCAAGATTACACAAACATTAAAACTGCAAATATTGTTTTCTTCCTACTACACCACAGCCACAATAATGAACATGACAATTATACTGTAAAAATATTACAAAATTTTGACTTGGTACTAATTCCAACTCACTTTCCCTCCAGTATGTTTATTTCACAGGTAATTGTAGAAGACCAAAAATAAGCAAGGGGGTTTTTAAAGGAAGTATTAAAGCAGACAGTCTGTGTGTTAGTTTCCTGTTGCTGCTGTAACAAATACCCCAACCTCAGTGGCTAAAGCAACACCAATCTATTATCTTACACTTCTGAAGTCCAACATAGATCTCAACAGGCTGAAATCAAGGTGTCAGCAGGGATGCATTTCTTTCTGGAGTCTTTGGAAGAGACTCTAAAGGGCTCTCAAGAAATCCCTTTCTTGTCTTTTTCATCTTCCAGAGTCTGCTCACATTGCTTGGTTCATGGTCCCTTCTTCCATCTGCATTGCCAGCAAGGGCAGGTCAAGTTATTCTCACATCATTCTGACCTGTTTTTATTTCCATATGCCTTTCTCTGATTCTCTCTTCGGCCTCCCTTTTCCATTTTTAAACCCCTGTGATGACATTGAGCCCTTCTAGTTAATTCAGGATAATTGCCTTATCTGAAGTCAGCTGATTAAAAACCTTAATTCCCCTTTGCCATGTAAGATAACATATTCATGGGTTGCAGGGATTAGCACATGGGCATCTTGGGACCATCAGTCAGGCTGCTACAGCCCCTTATGCAACTTGAAGGAGAGAAGCATGCCTGCATTGAGCCGTGTATTTTATGGGATGTTAGTGGATAATACCTAAAAGTAACAGTGTGTTCCCTTGTCAAGTATGTTTGGGGAAACTGGTTTAAACCAAAACCAGGTTGCTTTACTATAGGACTGCAAAATTGTTAATATGTTAATGTGCATGGTGAATCACCATTTTCTGAAAATATTTGATGTGGAATTCTCCTTAATAAATTTCAAAATACTGGCCCTTTCTAAAAATTTTAGAATAAAATGTTAAACATATATATTTTTTTCTTTTAATACTTGGCTGTATTTTCTTTGCTAAAGTTGTATTAGATGTTTGCATTTACATTTTTAAGTAAGGTTAGGTTATGGCTTTCTTTTAGGGTGTAATTTCTATTCGGTTTTGGTATTTTTTTCAAAGGAATTTGGAAGATTTGGCTTCTTGAAAATATTCTTGCATTATCTGGATAATTTAGGTGTTAGCTGCCCTTAAACGTTCAAAAAGAGTGCCCTATAAAACCATTCATCCATGGTATCATTTTTAAATTTTTATTCATTAATTATATATATATTTTACAACATATAATTTATACATATTAAAATTATTAGACTTCATTTTAGAGCAATTTTAGGTTTAGGGAAAAATTGAGGAGAAAGTACATTGAGTTCCCATAGGCCCCTTCACTCCCCAATACAATTTTCTCTATTATTAACATCTTGCATTACTGTGGTATATTTGTTTCAACTCAAGAGCCAATATTGATATATTATCATTAACTAAAGTTTGTGGTTCATATTAGGATTCATTCTTGGTGTTGTGCATTCTACTGGTTTTGTCAAATGTATTAATGATATGTACCCACCATTATAGTATCATACAGAATAGTTTCACTGCCCTAAAAATTCAGGGCTCCACCTCTTCATTCTCCCCTCCCCTCCCTCTGCACAAGACCCTGGCAAATGCTGATCTTTTGACTGTCCTCATAGTTGTGCCTTTTCCAGGTTGTCACATAGTTGTAATCATACAGTACATAGCCTTTTCAGATTGGCTTATTTCACTTAACAATACGCATTAATGTTCCTGCACATTTTTTTGTAGCTTGGTGGCTTATTTCGTTTTATTGCAAAGTAATATTGCATTGTATGGACTTCCCTTCATTTGTTTATTCATTCATTTATTGAAGGACATCTTGATCATTTCTGTGTTTTGACAGTTACAAATAAAGCTATACAGACACTAATGTATAGGTTTTTCTGTGGACATAAATTAATCTATTCATTTGGCTAAATATCCAAAACAGCAGTTGCCGATTGTATTGTAAGAACATGTTGAGTTTTGAAAAAACTGCCAAACTGTTTTCTAAAGTGGCTGCAGCATTTTGCATTCCCACCAGGAATGAATGAGAGCTTTTGTTGCTCCACATCCTCCTTATCATTTGTCAGTGTTTTAGATTCTAACCATTCTAATTTATAGATGAGTAGTGGTATCTCACTATTGTTTTAATTTGCAGGTCTGTAGTAAACTATAATGGTAAGCATCTGTTTGTATGCTCATTTGCTACCTGCATATCTTTTTTGGTGAGACATCTGTTCAGGTCTTTTGCTCATTTTTAAATTTGGCTGTTTTCTTATTGTTGAATCTTAAGAGTTCTTTATATTTTGGATACCAGTCCTTTATTAGATATGTTTTTTGCAACTATTTCCTCCCATTCTGTAGTTTGTCTTTTCATTCCCTTGACAGTGTGTTTGTAGAGCAATTTTTAATTTTAATGAAGTAAGTCCAACTTACCAATTTTTTTGATGGATCACAACTGATGGATCACAATGTTGTTTTATGGATCACTAAGAAATCAGTGCCAAACCCAAGGTCACCTAGATTTTTTGTTGTCTTCTAGGAGTTTTATAGTACTGTAGTTCACATTTAGGTCTATAATTTATTTGAAACTAATTTCTGCAAAAACTGTCAGATCTGTATCTAGATTCGTTTTTTTGCATGTGATGTTCAGTTGTTCCAACATCTTTTGTTGAAAAGACTATTATTTTTTCATTGAATTGCCTTTGCTCTTTTGTCAAAGATCAGTTGACTACCTTTGTGTAGATTTATTTCTGGGTACTCTATTTTGTTATATTAACATATTTGTCTCTGTTTTCACCAATACCACAGTGTCTTGACTACTCTAGCTTTATAGTATGCCTTGAAGTTGGGTAGTGTCAGACCTCAAATTTTGTTCTTCTTCAATATTTTTTGGCTATTCTGGGTCTTTTTTTAATAATCTGCTTGTTGACAACCATAAAATGATTTGCTGGTACTTTGGTTGGTACTGTATTGAATATATTGATTAATTTGGGAAGAACTGACATCTTGATGATGTTAAGTCTTCCTATTCATGTACATGCAATATATGTTCATTTATTTAAATATTCATTAATTTTTCATCAAAGTTTTGTCATTTTCTTCATATAGATCTTGTATATATTTTATTAGATTTATACCTAACTGTTTCATTTTCTTTTATAGTGCTAATGTAAATGGTATTGTGTTTTTAATTCAAATCCCAACTGTTCTTTGCTGGTATATAGGAAATCAGTTGACTTTTGTATAGTAGCCTTGTATCCTGCAACATTTCTATAATTGCTTAATAGCTCCAGGAGTTATTTATTTATTTATTTACTTATTTATTTATTCTTTTAAATTTTCTACATAGACAATCATGTCATCTGTGAACAAAGAAGGCTTTCTTTCTTTCTCCAAACCTTTATATATTTTATTTCCTTTTCTTGTCTTATTGCATTAGCTAGGGGTTCCAATATGATGCTGAATAAGAGTGGTGAAAGCAGACATTATTACTTTGTTCCTGATCTTAGAAGGATACCATCTATTTTCTCACCATTATGATGTTAGCTATTGATTTTTTTGTGGAACTCTTTATGAAGTTGAGGAACTTCCCCTTTATTCCTAGTTTACTGCGAGTTTTCATGATGAATGAGTGTTGGATTTTGTTAAATGATTTTTTTTCCACAACTACTTATTTGATTTAACTGATTGTATAATTTTTCTTCTTTAGCCTATTGATGTGATAGATTATATTCATTGACTATTGAATGTTGAACTAGACTTTTATACCTAGAATAAATCCCACTTGGCTATGTGTATAATTCTTTATATTGTTAAATATGATTGGCTAATATCTTGTTGAAGATTTTTGCTTCGATGTTTATGAGAGATATTGGTCTTTAGTTTCCTCTTTTCATAATGTTTTTGTCTAGTTTTGGTATTATGTTAATGCTGGTGTCATAGAATGAGTTAGGAAATATTCCTTCTGTTTTCTGGAAGAAACTGTAAAAACGTAGTAGCATTTCTTCCTTAACCATTTGAATTCACTAGTGAACATGCAGGTCTGGTGCTATCTGTTTTGGAAGGTTATTAATTATTGATTCAATTTGGTTATAGATATGGGCCTATTTAGATAGTCTATTTGTCTTTGTGTGAGTTTTGGTTACATCATTCACAAAGTTGGTTCATTTTCTCTAGGTTATCAAATTTACATACAGAGTTATTCATAATCCTGGTATCTTTTTAAATAGTAGATCTTTGACAAATATTTACATGTATTTTCTGGTTATTGAAATAGTATGGATGCTTCCTCGGTTTATCTTTGTTGAGCCAATTTTAACAATTTATCTCCTTAGGAAGTTATTATTTTGATCTACATTTTTAAATGTATTGGCATAATGTTGCACAAAATATTTCTTCTAGCTCATCTAATCTCTTAACATTTATATTTCCAGCTTCTGTTTTATTTTAAAAGTTGTAGTTCTCTTTCTTCTTGTCTCTTCTTTTAAAGACTTTCAAGGAAGAGGGGGTAATTTTAATGCTCTGAAGAAGTTTTTGGTTATTAATTGCATTTTGTTTTCTAATTTATTAAATTCAGCTGTTATTATCATTAGTTATATAATAATTATACTTGGATTGTTTTGGTGTTATCTTTAGTTTCATAAGTTAAATATTTAATTTATTTCAATTTTTTATATCTTTCTTGTTTAATAACCAAAATATCCACAATGAGGCTACATACTTTTGTAAATGATTTGTAACCTTGGGTTTGAGTTGTTGTAAGGTTTGTATGTTATAGGATTTCTTAAGATTTTCTTTATGGTAATATGATAAATATTGACAAATGTTTCCATAATAAAAAAGAATATGTATTTGCTATAGATTATTCAGTTTTGCATATATTTATTACATGTGCTGGTTAATAGTTTCCAATTCTTACTCTGCTTTCTCTTCACTTTCACTACATTTAAAGATCTAATTCTCTTCACTTTCTAGAAACACTTTTTAGAGATTTTTTACTTCAGAAGTCTAAACCCAGAGGATCCAGACATATGACCAATCACATTAGATTTTCAAAGTTTGTCCTAGCTGCCTTTCTCAGATGGAAGAATATGTGATTGTTCTGATGGCCACTGGCAGTTTCCTGCCAAGGGAACACAGACTGATTGTTTACTGTATAAACGAGTTGCTGGGACACACTGAATTTTCTGGGGTAGAATTTGATCTCCACACAATATAAACAGCAAAGCAGAGAAAAGGGAAAAAAATTATTTTCTTCTGTGTTTCCAAGGAATGAGATTTCAAAGGCGGCAATGTAGCCATCCCATGAAACAGCCAATAAACACTCAACAGCCAACATCTCATCTAGATTTGTTCTCTGTAATATCCTCATCAACCTACTACTCTGCATCCCACCATCATCTCTGGTCTGTCTCAAGGTCTAATTAATTCAGACCAGGGCCCATGTAAGAACTTCCTAACTGATGGTTCTGCTTTCTGTCTCTGTTCCTTCCTGTCATTTAACCCCAATAACCTATATTCCTAAAGCACTACTCTGAGAACAGCTTTCCCTTAAAATCTCCCTAAACAATGAAGCCAAAACTTCTTAGACACCAGATTTCCTTGAGAATAGGACCAGCCCTCCTTTCTAACCTTTTCAACCTACCCCTTTCCATTAACCCTCATGATATCCCAGTCATAAACTCATAAACTGCATACCCATTTTTTACTTTGTCATCACGAAACATTGTCAAGCTGAAAATCTTTTGTTTCCTACATTAAAAATTGGGATACCTAAAGTCATAGTTCCATAAGTACCTTGTGATGTACTAGGCATTGTAGTGAATGTTCTACATGTATTATCTTCACTTAATCTTCACAACATTTTGATGCGATAGGCATTGTTATTATCACTGGCCATTTAACACACAAGGGCATGGACACTTAGAGCAGTCAAGTCTGAATCCAATGCATACTTGGTTAAGTGTTACGCTGTACTCTTCCTTAATTACCCTGCCAGGACCAAGAGAATCCTTGCAGTCTAGACTAATGACTCACATAAAGTAGGCACTCATTATATAGTGAATAAATGGTTGAATGACTGAGGAAATGTGAAAAGACATCTTAAAATGCTTTAGAAATGGTAAATTACTATGCAAATATTATATGTCATCCACAAAATCACTATTATTAAGCTGCTTTTATGATGAAAGTTGATACCTTTTTTCATTTATTTCTATGCCTTGTATTAATATTTGCTAAGTGAAAACATTGATCTAGGTTTTTGTCAATTGTTTTTCCTCTAAAGCCAAGCAGAAACTTCATCTTCCATCATGTGAACACCTTGTCCAATTGGCAAATATTGACAGTAAGAAAACATCATGTTGAAATTAGCCTTCTATTCTTGTATATTATTGAAAAATCAGAAGTACAAGACCATAGGCTGTAGAGGAGCTGTGTGCACCCACCTGTGTGTGTGTGTGTGTGTGTGTGTGTGTACGTTTGCCCAACATTTTCAAACATTTAGTTTTACTACATTTACTCTTTCTGACCCGGTACAATCTCAAACTGCATACAAGCAGCAGATGTCAGTGTTGTGCAACTTTCAGGCTGACTGCTTGCAGAGGCAAGCTGTTCTTTGTCGCCTAGAGACAGAATCAACAGTCATTTGTACCCACAAACAAACACCCTTAGGTGCTAGGTAAATCGTAGAGGTCCCCCATAAAGAAACTGTAATTTGAGAAATTACACAGCAACTTATAAAGATGTAGTTGTGATTCAAAGGTTGCAATGGATGGGCACAGCATAAATAGTGGAACCTATCGTGTTTTGCTGGCCGAGAAGGAGATAGGGACACCCAGAAAGCACTGGTTTGGCTCCTTTGTCACAACTGCTGTGAGCCAAAGCAAAGGAAGGTCAGACTAAATCGGCCTCGTTTGATGAAAGAACAGTGTTTTCTATTTGCAACCCATGTGGTCAGATGGCCAAACTCCTAATATGTCCTCAAAGCCCAACATAATCTGGTTTCTGACTGCTTCTATAGCTTTCTTGGGAGCCACTCTTTCTCCTTTTTCTCTGCTGCAGCCACTGCATTCTTCCCAGCTCACAGGCTCTGCTTGTAATGCTCTTGCCACATGCCCCTGTCTCTCCTTTAGTGTCTACTCTTCAGATCTCAGCTCAAATGTCCCTTTATCCTGAAAGGTCAGGCTCCATACATCAGGTCTTTCTTTTATGGTCTCATAGTACCCTTTAATGCCCCTCCATAGACTTATCACAATTTTCAATTATATATGTGTCTGATTCTTTAATTAGTATCTGTGTACCCAGCTCCAATAAAAGTGCCAATTCCATAAAGGTAGATTATGTGGCTGTTTTGCCCATTACTGTTTCCCTAGTACCTAGCATGGTACACGGCATATGGAAGATTCTCAACATATAAATGTTAAATAAAAAAAATGTTAAGAGGATGAATGAATGGATAAATAAGTAAATTGGTGAATGAACAAATACGTGAATTGATTCCATCTACTCTTCCACTGAATAGACATCCATGTACCAGTGAGCGAATACAAGGTAGGCTGGCTTAAGAAGAGGAGAGTATCTCAAATACCTGGATATAGAGTGATCACTGTTGTTCCAGGATTCTGAGAATAACTCAGCAGGTTGAGAGACTGACCTGCACAAATGGATTCTGACTTGGGCCTACATTCTGGTGGCAGAGTTCGAGTTCTCCCCTGCAGCAATGAATTTCTGTCTAGCACTTCTGAATGCAACCATCACATACTGGTCTCCTATCAGTAAAGAAAGGGGATCAGGTTGCAAATATGTGAGGAATACAGGCCTTTCTTCAGAATCGTGTATTTGGGATGTATCATGTGACAGAGAAGAGCTTATAGACAAAGATAAAGAGAGATAAATGGGTTGATTTTTTTCTTCTAGGGTATACACCCAAAGGGGAGAATAATCTAGCTATTTTTCCTTCTTCCACAAGATGGGGCAATCGGAATGAATTTAACTACAAAGGCGGACTCACCAGTAAATGTCTTTTCCATGTTAAACAGCCCTATTCGGTCAGACCAGAAAAATGCAGCTGGTTTTGAACTTGTTTATGCAACTGTGTAGCATTTCCTGAAAATGGTAGACCTGGGGTAGACAACAGTTAGGCTGGAGGGGAAAGCCTAGGGCACTTGCCCACTCTATATTGGAGTCAAAGGGTGCTGCCCAGCTTCCAGAACCCCCAGCATTCCAGCCCCAGGGAGTTGCAAGGGTCTCTGGCTCAGAAACAGCTGCTGCAAAATTGAGCAAATTTACCATTCAGAAACATTTTCTTACATTAGAAGGAAATTCTAGATGAGATATAATGATGTCTACTTTGAAATAAATTATTGTAATATAATCAATCACAGTGTACAAATTCTAATTCTTAATATTAGTCTGCTGCTTACAGTCTGCAAGATGATTTCATTCAGTGGAATATTCCACAATGCATTAAATCAGGCCGCACATAAAATAATTATGACACTAGAGTTTTATTATTCTACCTATGACCTATGTGCACATAACCCTTCTTGCTTCTTCCTGGTTATAGGTCTATTACTAGATCATTATAAATTTTTCTTTGGAAAGAAATTAGTGGAAATGGGCTTGACAACAATTTCTAGATTAAATTAGCACTGTTCAGAAAGATAATTAATATTGGTATGGTACTTTTTTGATCATTGTCTCATTTGATTTTCCCGACAATCTGTAGGCTAAATATTACTTTCATCATCACTCTTTCACAAATATATGACATGGGATATTTACTTATTCAAGTGTCAATATGGGATATTTATTTACTTAAGTAGGCACAGCAGGTAAAACCTGGAGATAGCCATGAACATGGCCTTCAGGTTCCAGTTCTGACAGGTCATGGAAGAGAGTAGGGAAAAGAGAGAAATTAGAGAAGGGAACTAGCACATGCTTTTATGAGGGCTAAATACACATTGTATAAGGTAGGAAACCCAGCCAAAGTGGCTTAAACCTCAAAAATAATGGATTGGCTCCCATAATAGAAAAATCCAGAAGTTCTAGTTCCAAAAGATGTCATCATGGATCTAGTCCTTGAGGACAGCTAGTTTCACCTGATATTTTCAGTTCATCCAGGTTATTTCCTTGTGGTAACAAAATAATCTAAGCAGGTTCGTGTCTCATAGGGTCCCACTGAACCACATTGTTCTGGGGAAAAGAGTGTCTCTTCCTGAAGTTCTCTCACCTGTGACTCACCCTGTCATTGGCTCAAACGGGGTTAAAGGTCCATTCCTGAACCAATCTCAGCTGGGAAGATAGGCATGACTTATCGTCTTAACCCAATCAGAATTCCTACGCTGAAGCCAATTGCACTCAAACTTTCCTTGCTAACAGTGGGAGAGCTGTACATTATACAAAAAGAAAGCCAGGAGAAGGAGAAAATGGAGAAATCATAAAATATATCTACATTTTTTGGAGTTTAACAAATTAGAAAACATTGTCTCTTTTAATATATAAAAATTTATAAGAGTACTAGAACAATCCTGGTTGATACACAATTATTTTTTAAAAGCAATAAACCATTGTAAAATGTTCTGAAGAAGGCCTTAAGCATTAGCTTTAGAAAACTTAAAAACTAAATTTATAGATATTACACTAGCAACACCTGATGCCTAAAAAGCAGAGGATTGCTCAGTAACCCTGGAGAATTCAGACATTTAGAGCAGGCAAGTGTTAAGAGGTGGGAAAAAATACCAAAAACAAAAACATCCACTTAGGTTGAAAACTTGCTAGGTCCTTTATATAAACATCTTCAAGAAGTACTATCCAATGAAACCTCCAAGGGCACTCTGTCTCCTCAACCACTAATTTTTTCAAGCACCTCTGTCCTCATTACTACAAGCGTTTGGAGTGATAAGACCTCCCTATCTCACAGGGTTTTGTGACAAATAAAGGCAAGAATGTGCATAAAAGGCTTTGTTAATGTAAATGCTCACAAATGTAAGAATTATATTGATGAGAATTTTATGTATAGTTTTTAAGATGCTGTAGAAAAAAAAGACATACCTACCAAAAAACAGGTTCTACATTGACCTTAACAAAATAAATGGATGTCAGTTACATATAGCTCGCTTGCACCAACCTCCCATTTTCCCACTTCATCAATCTCAACTCTCTCAGATCTTCGCCTAATGCACTCCACATAGTACACTCTGAACTTTTTGCACAACCCAGATGGTATACATGGATCCATATGCCTGTTTTCAAGATTGGCTAATTGGCCTCATTTGCACAATAAACTATTAAGAACTCTCTAATAAAAGTCGACAATGTTGCCACACTTTGTTAAAGAGCTAAAGGTTCTGAAATGCAATGCCTATCATCACTTTATAAAAGAGCTGAATTTGAGAGAAAAAGCTCTTACAAACCCTTATTGAAGGAGAATTTTCCCAATGGACACAGTCTTAGGAACAGTTGGGACCAGGGACTCCAATGCCACCAGGATTCTCTCTTTTTCCCAACTCTGCTTCTCTGTTTGCTGGCTTCATTCTTTCCATGCAAACCAGCTTTCACAACATAGTGAAAAACATGGCTGTCTAAGCTTCCATGGCTATAAACTTCTATCTCCTATTTCCAATTTGAAAAATTCCAGGAAGAGATTGGCATACATTGGGTTGGATGTCCAGCCCTTTATCAATCAATCATGTCCAGGGTATAAGGTCTGATAAATGCATTGTAACTGTAAACAAATATTTGTAGTTGGGAATGTAAGAGCTCCCCACCAAAAAGAGGGCCTATTTTTACAAAATAAATGAATAGTTTGTCCTGGTAGTGGTTGTCCTGGGTAGGCAAAAGATTAGTGTCCACATAAAAAGGCAGAGTTAGTAAAGACATGAGTCTGCCCCTGTAAAACAGTACCAGTCAAACATTTCCCCAGGTCCGAGATTTGTTTACTCTATAATAAGAAGAATAAACCTGCCCATTCCACCAAACTGTGGCAACAATCGCCTGAAACGTGAGTGCATAGTAACTTCAAAAATATTACAAAATTTCAAGGTATGACTGTTGCTATTACTATCTATATAGGTTACTAAATTTCCCATTTTTCACACTGATGCCTGGAGTCAGACTGACACAGCAAGTAGTTTGAATAAACTGAAGCTCATCTAACATCACAGGCTGTGAGTACACTCCTTCTCAAGCCATATTGCCGTCCAGCTGTGTGTGGTTATTATGCCAAGTTCATCAAGAGATATTTGAGCTTCTCAGGGAGCAGGAGGAGGGGAAGACAGAATGAGACTCAGATGGAAGGAAATAACTCAACCAAAAAACCTCTGATTAGTCTACTTCCTAGAGAACTTCCTTCTACTTTCCAAACTCTTAGTCACTGTTCTATCTTCCAGACAATTATCAGCTAATTAATTTCCATGCGGACAAAGATCGCTGTTTAATAGGTCAGCAGTGTATCACCTTGAAGTGAAAATCAGCAAAGGAAAGAAGGGTAAATGATAAAAGGCATCAATAGTATGATGTCTGTCCTAAGTCAACACTGGGAATAGGGATTCAGTCACTGGGCACCAACTTCACTGCTAATGAATGATGAGTGACTGACTATAATACTAAGGCTTGTTATTTCTGTGCTACCCTTCCCTTTACATAATATCAAAGGGAAAGTCCCCAAATAATGACAAAACACACCACTTATATTGCACACTATAATTTCCTAGGCATGTTCCCATATGCCATTTATCGAAAATGGTGTACTTACAGTCTATTAGAAACATTGCTGAACTTGGGAGCCTTAAGTACTTGCCACTTAACCAGTTTGGTGGCCTTGGGAAAAGTCTTGACTTCCATTTCTTCATTTGTAAATTGGGGATAAGAGTATGTTTTTCAACATCTTAGCATGAGGCTTGACTGCAAGGATTTATAAGTTATCTGTAAAGTGTGACATAAATATGAAGAGTTTTTCATAAGGCCTAGTGAAAATCTCAGCAAAGGACGCAATGAAAATAAAGAAAACCTATGTTTGAACTTAATAAAACTCGGATTCAAACGATGCCAAGGAGTTGACCCGAAGTCACCCACAGGTAGCTGAAAGGTACAAGTCTTCCAGTTCCAAGCCCTCTTTCCTATACTGCCTCACCGATGATCCACCAGGGGTGAACGTCAATATCTTTCCTCTGAAAATATATGTTTTATTCTATTATGTAAGCTGGGAAAAGAAAATGTAACTGAAGACATAGAATGAGTCATCCAGCAATTAGTTACCCTACATAATGCCACTGATAATACATAGAACAATGGCTGTATTGCTTCAGCACACAATCTGTCTCAAGCACCAGACTAAGGAATTTACATGCATTAAATCATTTAATCCTCAGAATTAGCCTATAAGGTAGGTATGATTAATGTCCCCATCTTGCAGATGAGGAAGGTGAGGCACACGGGAATTAAGTATCCTGCCCCAAGTCACTTAGTGAGTGGCAGAGTGAGTATTCAACACAGACAAATTAGCTTCTGTGTCTGTAATCCTACCATTATGCTAGGCCATCTCCCAAGGACACCAAGCCTAGTGCACCATCTGATTCTACCTTTTAAAAACTCAAACAAGAGAAAGATGGATTTTATCCAGAGTTTTGAGCTGTATCTCATGTATTTCCAGAGGTTTTCCCACCAGTTTCTGGCTTCATACTGTCCAGCATTGATCTCAAATATCCATCTTATCAGCATTGATCTCAGGGGTTTAAAATCATTTTGAAGGTGATAAAGTGAAGCACTTGTCCTTCTGGACAGCCCACCTCCTGTCTTGCTTTGTTAGTTTTAGTAAATGTGTGTTCAGGCAAAGTCAAAGGCCCCGAACAGAGACTCACCAGGCTCAGCACCATCCTTGCCTTTCCCATGTGGGAAGAATGCTTCTCCAGAAACAAGGTTGGCCTCGGAAGTTGGCTGTTGCCCAAATGGCAGGAGAGAGCGGCATAAGGGAGTCACACTGAAAGTGATTTTAAATTACACAAATTCAGCAAATACAGAAAGAGAAAGAAAATTTAAATCAATGATACTAGACCGTGCTATACATTAGAATCACCTGACAAAGCTTAAAAAACAACTATCAAAACTTGGCCCACTCTGGAACAGCTAAACTAGAATGCTTGAGGACAGCACCTTGCTTTAAATCCTGCAGGCATTTTCTACACTTGGCTGGTGAACTTGAGATGGGAACAACGCTCCCTTTGGTCTCAGTTCCCAGGGGCCTTTCACAGTATGACCATCTCGCTGCACTGAGTGTAATTCATAATACAGTGTAAAATTGTATTTAGCATATTAAATTATTATATGCTAAACATTACCGAATATATTATACATTTATAAATATATTTAGGTATATTAATTTTTTGTTTTGTTTTGATTTGTTTTTTTGTACCAGGACATCAGTGAGTACAGGCTTAAACTCAGAAGTTGCAATAGGCTTTGCTACTGTTATCAATTTAGCTGAAGGACAAATAGAGGAAATGTACCTAGCACACCATCTTAAGCTAAGTGGGAGGCTAGGCAACCACCTAAATACACATCTTTTTTTGTCCCCTCATCTATTCAGGACAAGTATAGCTACTGCACATGAGTACCAATGTGAGTTCACCATCTTTATATGGAGAACCTGCAGCCTCAGTTTGCTGCCAGTCTTTAGCCTTTCTGGTCTCATGAGTCATCCCCAAACTCATTGTTGTCCCTTTCCAGGAATAGTGTCACAGATGGGAGTTAAACAGCACACAGGTAGACATACCAACTCTGTAGTTTCAAAGAGCTGGTACTGTAAGAAGACCTGGTAGCTTTTGACTCAGTTCTATCTCTATCTCTATTTTTATCTATCTCTATTTATCTCTAAATCTATCTATCATCTATCTATCTATCATCTATCTATCTATCTATCATCTATCTATCTATCATCTCTATCATTTATCTATCTATGAAGAGAGATATTACCAAGCAAGTAGGCTGTGAATACCTCTGTATTTGCAATATTTTGAAGAGTACTAGCTGCTGTGAAACCTAATCTCTAAGGGAGTTGCAATTTTGCAATTAAAATTAAAAATTTAATTCTGCCAGTTAGTTCTACTGAGATTCTATCAGTAAATTTAGCCTTCAGCCTGGCCGACGAGAGGTTCTGATTTAATTGGGCAATAGCAAGATAATTTAAAGATGCATGAAGCACTGTAATGCTTCTCTGGGGAGCACATGCGATTGCTTACTTCTTTGTGCCCATTACACAGAGGCATTCGGAAAAGACCGGTCAGAGTTTAAGAGAAAGGTGGTGCTGCAGCAGATTAAGCACTACCAGCACCGACCTGACTAGGGGCTTTGCTGGCCCTGTCATTAAGGAGCAAGACCTACACCTGGGCTCCTGAGGCTTCCTGGCCAGGAAGATTCCTAAGACTCCTGCCCTGGGTTTTGAAGGCCCCAGCCAGCCCTAGGTTCTTACTTGTCAAAGGGCACACATAAGGATCTCAGTCCTTCACACTTGGCGGTTACTGTGGCTGTGTGTCTCGAAGATGGTCCCTGCTCGCCGCTGGGCAAGAGGCCCTTCCTAAACGTCAGTTGTCAACATGAAACCAGTTTTGTTATGGGCAAAATGGTGTTTCCTTCTCCCAGTACCAGCACTTTGCTAAACCATATGTCCACAGGCCACACAAGTCTTATTTATTTATTTGTTTATCTTTCCAGAAATGAACTCAATGGTTCTGCTGAGACTCAAAGGCCAAAAAAAAAAAAAAAAAAAAAAAAATTATAAAAGCTGTAGAGTACAAATAGTCCTGTTTTAAAAGCAGGGGGGTGGGGCCCCGCCTGGAGAACAAAGCCCTACTTTGAAGACTTAGCGATTCTAATTTGGAGCCATTTCCCACTCCCAATTCCAAATCTGCATCATTAAACCATGAAAGAGTGAAGAGTAATAATTGTGAGCACGCTGAGTATTTCTTAATGATTTTCTGTCTTATACCCAAAGCAAATAAGCCAAATGCTTACTCAAAGCCTAGAGGGGGAGTAGGGTGGGACTTGGTTTTGCAATTTCTTTTTTTTTTTCTATAGTCTTTCTTCTTCCACTGAAAGTGTCTATAAAATTTTTAAAGGAAAGTAGGTTGCTAAAATGTACTTAATTTGCCATGATAGATTGAGTCCATGCTTCAGTGACTGTAATTGAATCTGTGACCTATTTCTTTAGTAAAGTAGAAATAGTCTCTGGGGTTTTTGTCACTACCATCTTTTAATGAAATTCAAAAAGACTGTCAAAATGTCTACACTTTTTCTACTGGTTGTTAATGTTATTACTTTACAATTTGTTACTTTTTAATTAATCTTAATAAATGTGTACACACTCTACCTGGTCATTGGAAATGCTAGACATTGATTCTTCACTCTTTTAAAGCCAAGCAAAATTAACAGGACAGAAAAGGCCCGGCAGCCAGGAAAGGTCTTCATATATATTTGGTTGCGCTTTTAAAAATATTTTGAGGCATCAGTTTAAGGATCTGCCTCCAAGAAGAGGGGGTTGTGGAGAGTCAACAGCAAAAGGCTGAGGGGCTCTGCCTGTGGCTGTCCTCTTGATGCCACCACTAACTGCTCCCACTTTGCTTAAGGGCTGCATATGTGGCAAGCCGACAGCCTGGGGGAGCAATATTTTATTGACAAAATGTAAGAGAAAATATGTTCGGCTGCTTTTAAGCAGTGGTGTAGGAGGGTGTTACAGAACCAGATGGTCTAAGTTAGTCTTTCATTTGCCAGGATGATGGGAAAGCACTGCCTTGCTCTGCAACTGAAATGGTGGTGGCCGCTTTGCCAATGGACGGTTGGCTGTGATTTCCAGGGACAGTTGTTCTTCCAGAAGCAAAGTGCCCAAGGCTCTGGGTGAGCTCTGAAATTCATCTCCTACGGTGTCTGGGGTGGGAGTGGGGAGAATGCCTTCAGGTCTTTGCCATGATGGTGTTAAAAGGGAAGTTTTGCAGCAGTTCTCAAACGTGGCCCCAGATCACAGCATCACTTAAACTATTAAATCTGAAATCTGGGGATGGGGCCCAGCAATCGGTGGCCCAGCAATAGTTCTGTTGATGACTCTTTTGTGAACCATTAGATTAGAGAAAGGAATTAAGGTGGCTGGAGCCTGGAAGTGGGGGTAATGGATGGAAGATGAGTCACATTAGGGTCAGATTGTGAACTATCAGGAGTGCTCATGTTACCTAACTATACTCAGGACTTTGCTATCTCTTTGCCTGTGATATTCCTTTGGCTAGAAAGCATCATCTCCCACTTCCTGTTTACCTCTTCCCTATCTCTATTTTTCAAAATGTTAGCCATTTTCCAGTGGCATTTGGAGTGTCTCTTACCCTGTAGACTTTTCTGACTACTTCAAGAGCATTTGGGCTGTCTCTTCACTGAAACCCCAAGGCTGTGACTTTTCTTGCAGCACCTAGATTTTGCTTTGTTTCTCTAGAAAACAAATCTTTTGAGGGCAGGTGGTCTGCCTGGTCATTAGTGGATGCTCATAATGCCTATTATGATGCAAGCAACACAAGAGATGTTAAAATGACTTTTGAAACATAGAGATTTTTATTCAGTTGAATATGTAGACAACCACCAGCTAATCTCTATTGGCTTGGTAAGTACTCCAGTTCTCCCCTTTGTCTGGTAATCAAAGTAGACTTCCACTCATGAACCAATGAATGGATCACATGGTCAGAAGGTTCTAGAAACACAATGGTTCAGTTTGACACACACTTACTGAGTAGGCTGCCAAGTCTAGTGCTAAGTGCTTGGAGATAAACAAAATACAGTCCTTGTCTTTGTAAAGCACACATTTCTAATGGAAAAAGAACACATAATCAGATCATTTCAATGTCCTATGATAAGCAGAGAGCTACGCACAAAGACTGATGTGAGCACAAAGCATGACCTCCCTCAGATACCACTCTGGAATTACAAACAAAGGTTTACTGTAAAAAAAAAAAGTATGAGTTAAATCTTGAAGAATGAGGAAGAATAGCAAGGAAAAGAGAGTATAGAAGGAAGTTCTAATAAAGAGAACAGCACAAAGGCATGGAGGTGTAAACAGTGTCTTTGTAAGAGGGGGAGGGCCTTATGAATGGTGTGTACTCTGGCATTGGTAGACCATAAATTTCTAGTTGGAGACTAGCAGAAGGCTATGTTGCAGAGCAGGGAACCAGTCATAGAGGGTGTTGTAGTCCATGCTAGGAAATTTGGAATTTATTCTGGAAGACTTAGAGAATAACAGGAGTAGTGGTTAGATTTGCATTTTAAATAGATCATTCTGGCTCCAGAGGGAGGAAGGGTTCAAGGGGATGAGGCTGGATGGTGACAAGAGAGGACAAGATGAGCCCTGGGCATTTGCAGATTTCCCCAGGGACACAAAGTAGCATTCACTCTCAAATCAATGACAACAATGAGTTCTTTCTCATTAGGAGGAAAACCTAAACAGAGTACAAGTCTGAGTGAGACGCGGCAGGCCTTGCTCCTGGTAAATAGAAGGATAGCCAGGCTGGTTTGGATAAGAATAAGCTCATCTTGTATGAGTGGCCACTCTGCCCCACCTCATTTGATTAACAAGAATTTCCAGCCTGTGGACTTGAACCTAACAGACCATGATGGCTTGAACAGGCATTCATCAATCACTATATCTCCCCAAACCTCCAGACAGACTGACTTGGAGTGATAACAATTCCCTCTCTCATTCTTGCCATCTACACATTTATAATTTCCTAGTACATTTCACTTGATCAGCCAAATAGCCATTTTTTTACATACTTTCCTATAGCAAATGCTGGAAAGAAAAAGAGGTGTTTTCACCTGCCTGTTCTTCATAACTACATGCAATAATAATCACAGCACTGGCATTGCTGCTGAGTAATTTAAAGTCCCAAAGGCAGTTTGTTCCCATAATCAGGCCCCTGAGGTCCTAGGTGTGTGGAGAGAGAAAAGAAAAATCCTGAAGAATCTCATCACTCAATGGAAAACTAACATTTAAAATGTTTCTTATAGGATTTTGTGGTTTAGAAAATACTCATCACCTGCATTGTCCTAATGATTTATGATGAGTGGGATCATAATTTGTGAGTGCTGGTGTCCTCTGCAGGAACACAGGCTTAACATCTTGTTCAAGGGTACCAGTTGGTAAGCTCCAGAATTTAAACCTAGGACATGGATTCTACTGCCTTACTCTGCTCTTCACGTCACACTGGAGCAGAATAACTTGACTCAGGATGGTTGGAGAAAGAGAGGTGGAAGAAGGCTGAGAAAAATAGTGAAGATGGAAGACTTTGTTTTGGGATCTTTCAGAATCTCTACTCTCAAGTGGTCCATTTTCTTGGACTACTATCCAGAGATAAGATGAGAATAAAGAGACAAAAAAATTGACTTCCTATTTAATCAGTGAGAAACCCCACTACCTATTCAAATTCTAGTTTAGCTTCAAGACCTAGCACAGACTCGTAAACCTTCTTTCACTATTAGAGCTTTCAGTCACTTACTTTTCCTTAGAACCTATGGAAAGAGATGGCAGACAATCCAGCATTTAATGACATCCTGCCACTTGCTGTTTACTGTTAGCTGTGCTTCATCAACAATACTAAAACCTCTGCTATACAGAAAAATAAATCCACCAGAGTGGTTGAGTCTTCCAGATAACTGATGGTTTTCTTTCTTAGGCCCGAGCATTTTTAAAAGTGCAAATATTTTGGCAGGAAGCACATTTATGGTATATCTTATACGTCTCTGTCTTTTTAAACATGTTATGCTAAGCATGTTTTTGCCATCCATTATTGCACTGTGCCTTATTACTGGGTATCCCTGTACTTAATGCCCTGATAGTCTGAAGTGTATTGTCTTTTATCTATTTGTTTTTCAAATCTCCTCTTACTGGGGAGGCTTTCAGCCATTACTGTGCCTCCAATGGGAATCTTATTTTTTTTTTCCTTCACTCTGACACGATCTCAGCTCACTGCAAACTCTGCCTCCTGTATTCAAGTGACTCTCCTGCCTCAGCCTCCTGAATAGATGGGATTACAGGAGCATGCCACCATGCCGGGCTAATTTTGTATTTTTAGTAGAAATGGGGTTTCACCATGTTGGCCAGGCTGGTCTCAAACGCCTAAGCCCAAGTGATCCACCTTCCTAGGCCTTCCAAAGTTTTGGGATTACAAGTGTGAGCCTTCGTGCCCAGCCTCTAATGGGAACCTTCTCTCACCTTCCAACTCACTGCTCCTAAAGCATCATGAACTGGGAAATCGGAAAGTCATGATTGTTAAACACATGGGCAAAGTATGAGTAAACAGGTCTCCAGTCAGGGCCAGAGGAACAATTTCCATTATTTGGGATGATCAAAGGTTTGATCAAAGATTCATATCTCTTAACTATTTTTAGTTGGAGAAATTTCCTGAATAGCTGAGCTCTGAATAGGGGAAATGTTTCTGGCGGTAAAATTCATCAGGTAATGTTTTTACAGTATCCAACTCAGTGCCGAGGGCACAGCAGACACTAAACAAGGGCACAGCAGACACTGAACAAGTTACTTGGTGACTACAGTGTCCTCAACTGCAAAAAGTGTCCAATAATGACCAATAGAGTATTTGCATCACCTGCTATTTTGATTGCCCTCAAGATTTCAGGCAGCATCATTTTGATATGGTATCTTTGTAAGCAAACTTAAATTCTCTTTGGAACATGAGTACGTGTAAGCAAAATGATGTGGTCCAACTAACTTTGAATAAATAGTGCTGCAACATCCAAAGACACAATGGATTGAGTAACCTCTAAATCAACTGCCCTTATAAATGAAGATAGTCAGTGTTAAACTTAAAAAAATCTGAATGAATATGCATATTATACTTAAGATTGTTCTGGTTAATGTAAAGAACAACTGAGGAAAAGAATGAAACTGAAAAAAGAAAATGACATCCAAACCTTTCTTCAGACAGACAACCTCTGTGTCAGTTTTCAGGGTTCGTCATACTGTTTAATTTCAAATCTTTATGGAGAGGATATGGGGGGAATATCAATAAATGGCTCAAGAATAATTTTTCTTGTTCTGTTTTACTTTATTACATCATTGTATCAAGCGTAGGGTATCAGTGAGTTTTGGAAATTATGCCACCCAGACAAACCAGTGCAGTGATGACGATGGAGATTTCTGGCTCCTGTAGTCTTTGCCCACCCTCCTCTGAACCTGCTTTTTAGAATTTTAGAAGAATTGAGAGGAACTCTAGAAACTACAGCTTTGACCATTCAAAGGCTATCATCTGGGAAGTTTTAATGGCTACATGGCTAGACTATCATATTTTTGCCCCAAGCTACTAATTGAGTCTCAAAGGTAGCATTCAGCATCCTTTCCTACCGAGATCTCATTATGCACGTGTAATGTGAGTAAACAATGAGATTCTATTAAATTACTTTCCTCCCCTTAAATTAGCCTTAATACAGAAAGGGAGGAGACAGTGTGCTTATTCTTACAGAGATCAAGTAATTAATTTTGTAGGTTCTATGAAATATTGAAGGAAATCATGCAAATGAATTTGCAAACAATTAGAGCAGAAACTACTCAAATATGTGTATTTATGGAAAAAAGATATAAAGTGAATACAGATCAGTTCATTAGTCTCATGGAGTTTCTTCATCATGGTAAGAGTGTTGTACATGTGACTAAAGTGCTAAATAAAATTTTAGATAGATGTTTATTAATTGCTAGATGTTGACTTTTACTTTTAAAATCACTTTCAGAAATTCTAACATTGTGTTCGGTTACCATTTTAGTCCAATCTCATACCTAGAAGAAATTGTGTTCATAACCATAATACGCTCCCCTCCTTTATTTATATAGAATTTCAGGGTTTTCAACTTACTTCATAATCCAGGGACATTACAAGCACCTCAGTTAGAAATGCTATATTTTTGCAAAGCAAAGCTTGAAACAAAAATATTTTGTGGTTAAACATTCATTAACTAGAAAATGTAACCCACACAAAAAGCACAAACCCAGAGCATATCAGATAATCAAGGTTTAATCAAGGTTTATTGTAGTATCTATTATTTAAAACTAGAAGCTAAATACATAAGAGCATCTCTCTGGTTTTGTGCTTCAAATATTTATACACGTGTTTCCAAATGCTCCAGCATTAGCATTAGGGAAATATAATTTACAGAAGGAAATATCTACATATTGCTCCTGTCAACTTCTGGGTATTTTCCCCACAATCGTTTGAAATCACTTGAAATTAGTCTTGTCAGCATCCAACCTTGACCCTAGGACAGGGTTTCTTCTCCTTAGCACTATGGACATTGTGGACTGCATAATTCTTTGTTGTGGCAGTGGCTGTCCTGGGCATTGTAGGATATTTAGCAGCATCTTTAGCCTCTACCCATAATAAGTCACTAGCATTTCTATAGGTGCCAGTAGCATGTCTCTAGATATTGCCAGATGTCCCCGGAAGAACAAAAATTTCTGACACAAAATAATGACTAAAGACATGACATCAGAGATCTATGGCACAATAAAGAGAGCTCCAACATGTATAGTGACTGGTAGCTTATGGCGTGGGGAGGGATGACAGAAAAAGAAATTAAAATACATGATTAGAAGATTCCTGAATTAAAGGAAAGAAACACTTAATTGAGAATAGAAAGGCCTGTTCACATCCTGAAGAAACACCAAGATGTAGTTTGGTAATAAACTTCAAGGATTAAAACAAAACAAAACAAAGATACAAAGGAGAAAAATATTCTGCCTCAGACTTAACCAAATAAATGCGATAAGATTATCAAAAAAAATTTCTGTTTATTTGGGTGAGTTACCAAAATGAGGCATTCTTCTTTGCTTAAGAAGTGGGGCCCATGACACAGGGGGAGACTCTACTTTGTTAGATCGCTGCTCAAATTCTGGACCACAAACTTGGGCATTGGTGGTCGTTTTCTATTCCTAGTGGATACCCCCAGTGGATTCACTCATTAGAGGTTGTCTGAATGCGTATTATTTCCCAGGAGCATGTCAATTACCCCACTCTCTTACCAACAATGCTTTTATATATGGCCGGAAGTGTCCATTTTTATCTTCAATAAATTTTAATATTTACTAAGCTTGTATCTTCACTCGTTAGGAAAGAGCAGGCTTTTGTTGATTAATTGCGCATTCCTTCTTCTTATATATTGCCTCAGTGCATGTTGCCCATTTTCCTACCATTTTCTTTATTTTTTAAGTTGGACTGCAGTTGCTCTTTGTGAACTGTCAGATGCGTTGAGAGAATGGGCTTCTCCGGAGTGTATTTTATCTTTTGAATTTGTTTCTGGTGTTTTGCTGAACCAAAGGTTTTCATTTGAACGCGTTCAAATCCTTCAGACTTCTCCTTCACAGCCTCCGGGTATCTCATCTTCCTTGGAAAGGTCTTTATATCACTCTGGGATTATGATATTCTTATACTTTCAGTATTAACATGGCTGAACCGCAACCGATGACAGGAAATCGGATGCTTCTGACCCAGTGAGCAGAAGAACCCTGGGAAAAGGATGACATTTTTTTCAAAGGGCTAAAAATATAAAACATACAGACCAAACAGCAGAAAACTGAAAATCCAAGGTCTAAGGCAGCGCTTCTTGCCTACTTGTAATTTGTGAACTGATAGAAAGGACACAGAAACATACCTTAAGGTCCACTATCAGTTATGCTGCCTTATGGTATATTATGCATGCGTGTCTGCACATGTATATACACAAAGTTGGCAAGTTAATGATGTAAATAGGCTCTTCTACATGCCTAGAAAGAGAAGAAACTCTGACTAAGCCCATAATTCTTTCCAATTTGGCATTCTTCTAAGTACCCAATACCAACATCCCATGGTATTCATCATCAACTGGGACTCTCAGATTAAACTTTTTTGATTCTGAAATTTTATAACCATCTACTCTATTCCCCCTTCTTTCCCCAATAGTCTAGTAAAAGCCCAAAATAGAGACTTTTCTAAACTACTGCTCCTGATCTCAACCCCCTACCCTACCTCCCTGGATTAAGTTCCTCTTGATTGATGGAGTTTGGTTGTCTGGATTCTGCAAGCTCAGCTGTCCCAATTTATAGTCTGGCTCCAAGCCCCACCCACTGCTGAATGACCAGGGGCAGTGTGATGTTGAACCTAAAGGTCTCTATTGTGACATACGTAGCTGGTACAAAAGAATGTTTGCTTGCCCTCTTGAAGGTCTTGAACACTGCTGGAAGCCTACTAGATATTTAATGTAATCACCATGATAATGGCTAAGATTTATTAAGCATCTGCTATGTGCTTTATGGTGCTAAGAACTTCTCATGTATTTACTCATTGAATCTTCACAAAAACCTTATGAAGTAGGTAAAATTATTATATTATCATTCCCCAATTTAGAGTATAAGTTAATGAAAGTCCCAAATAAAAATAACTCAAAAAGCCTTTTCCAAAAAAAGGGAGAGGATCCATTTGATCCATTGTAAGAAATTCTGTGATAGTTATTTATGTTAAACTTGGCTACCCCAAGCAATGAATGACACAGTGATAAAACAGACTCTTGTCTGGAGCTTTTCAAACTGTAAATGATTAATAATGTTCATTTCTTACTAAATGCCTTGAAGAAAGCAGTGCCCCTTCATGAGGGAGATAAGGTATACATAGAAAGGAGCAGAGAGTGGAATAAAAGGCAGGGTAAATCACTTTAACACTTGCAAATAAGAGAATTCACCAAGGAGGGCTTGGAGGCTGTTAAGATTTCCTCTAAGACAAGTCTCACCTTACATCACCACTGGGTATTTCCTAAGGCAGGGATTTCACCCATTCCATCTTTGGACTAGCAGTGTCTGTCTCAGGGGAATGAAGAAGAGTGGGAGGGATGATCCCATCTCTAGTCTTCACATGGACTAGAAATAAGTGTTGTGACATAAGAGCTTGTGAAATTTCTTTAATTCCCCCAATATTATCACTGTTTGGTTCATGTTCTTATACTATGCTAATTTTCCTATAGGAAAAAACAGTAAGACACTCAAAAGAAACCATTTGCTGGTTTTGAGAGGCAATAGAAAGGGTCAGGTAGATAATTCTGTATCTAGTGCCTTCATTTTCTGTTACTACATAATGAATGACTACAAACTTAGTGGTTTAACACCATAAATTCATTATCTCACAGGTTTTGTGGGTCAGGAGCCTGACATGTTTTAGCTGGGTACCCACAAAGCTGAAAACAAGATGTTGGTCATTTACATAATCATCTGGAGACCAACCAGATAAATGTCCACCACCAAGCTCCCCCAGATTGTTGGAATAATTTATTTTCTTGTGACTGTATGACTGAGGTTTCCATTTTCTTGCTAGTTGTTGGCCAGGGACTTCTCTCAGCAGCTAGAGGTTGCTCTCAGGCTCTTGTCACTTGGCCCTTTGCACAGGTAGTTTAGCATGTGACTGTTTAATCCTTCAAGACAAGCAGAATTTCTGTTTCTTTCTTTATAAATGTCCTGGCCTTTGAAGAACTCATTTGATTAGATGAGACCCATCCATGATAATCTTTCTTGTGATTAACTCAAAATCAACTTCTCTGGGACCTTAATTACGTCCACAGAATCCCTTCACCTTTATCATAGTATGCAACCTAATCATGAGAGTAAACAGCGCGAACACTAGGGGGGCAAGAATTGTGAGAGGCATCTCAAAATTCTGCCTACCATGGCTGTGGACCCAGAACTTTATTAGGGATTAGAGGATGCACCATGAGAAAGCAACTCAAATCCTTGAGGAATGCAGAGAGAAGGCATAAGGACATAAGGGAGGTGGTGGCCTGGAATGAGACAGACAAAACTGTGTTTGCCTGCCAAAGGTGTCCCTGCTGTATCTGGAATGCTTCACTAGAAGCAGAAGGAGGAGGGAGCTGCAGGAAAAGTTGAATATTTATAACTTTCAGACTAAGGTTTTCTTCTATATCTGGCCACTCATCCTAAGAAGAGGAACCACATCACTGGCTGAGCCCAGACCTAGGAGGGCAGGTTATCTTATCTTGCATTGCAACTCTGATCAACTGATAGAGTCTGCATGCAGTGTCACCTTGAGAAATATTCTGAGACTGTGTTGTGGTTCAGCAGGAAAGAGTGTTGTGCTTGATTAGCTATGTCTTTCATGAACTCTGGATGGTGAATGGAAGTATGTTGAACAAGTACTGGTTATTCATGACTTAGACTGTACACATCACCCGAAGACATCTCAACAAATATTAAAACAAAATACAAATGCTTAGGAATATACACTGTATAGAAAAGAGATGACCTTTATAAGATTGTTTTGAGGACTAAGCTCTGATTTTTATTTTATCTTGCCCAAATTCCTATCTAAGGGGTCTGGGGAGTCATGCCCTACAAACCATGAATTCTCATCAGATGGGTTTTATTTAACCCTGTATATTGTAATTTACTTTCCAATCTGACTCTGGCATAACAAGGAAGAAAATCAAAATGTTTTACCCCAGAATATATTTCCTTGCCATACCTTGAAATTGTCCTGCAAAGTCTCTCGTAAGAAAAATCCACATTCTCTAGAGAATCCCTTTTCCCCTTTGTTTTTTTTCCCCTTCCTTTCCAGATCCAGGAGACAATCAACTAAGAGCTAGGCACCCTTTTAGGTCCGATAAGAAACATTTTACAACCTGCCCTCTCTGAAGTCTGCTATCTGAGAGCTTCCTCCTCACAATAAAACTTGGTTTCCACAGTCCTTTATCTTAACCTGAACATTTCCTTTGATTCCAGATCTTCAGATAAACTCAACCAATTGTCAACCAGAAAATGTTTAAATTTACCTATAGCCTAGAAGCCTCCACATTTTTTCCCACCTTTCTGAACAAAACCAATGTATTTCTTAAATGTATTTGATGTCTCATGCCTCCCTAAAATATATAAAACCAAGCTTTACAACGAACACCTTGGGCACATGTTCTCAGGACCTCCTGAGGACTGTGTCACGGGCCATGAGCATATTTGGCTCATATTTGGCTCAGAATAAATCTCTAAAAATATTTGACAGAGTTTGACTCTTTTCATCAACAGTTTCTTTGCTTCTCATCCCCCAAACGGTCATTTTTTCTACTTAAAGTCTCCCATTGGGAGGTTGTTTACTTATAGACCCAACCCATACACGATTTCTTGGGAAATACCAGGTAAATGTAAAAATGTACAGACCTCAAAGAGTGATGAAGTCATAAAACAGAAACCCTTCAATGTTTGAAAATAGTTTTATAAGAGTGAACAGTCTATCGACTCACCATTATGCCACCAAAGCAATATGTAAATGTGTATCTTATTTCCCAGTGCTGCTTAGAAGCCACAGAAAGAAGGAGGTGCCCATATTAAAGAAAGGATTCATTGAATGACTTCCTGAAGAGTCGGATGAGCCACATCCCATTTAGCAGATAGAGAAATTCAGGGTCATGTCTGAGTCTGTAGGCCTCCACTAGATCTTCTCATTTGATCAGATCAAGTCTCCTGAGCATTTTAATATTGAGAACATTTGCAGTCCTCGTTGGAGTAATTTCTGCTTTCCCATTCCTTGGGGCTTGGCAAGAAGAAGTCACCTGATTTTTACAACTTCGTGGCATTTTCCCAATCATGAAAATGCCCTCATGTTTCTCACTCATACAACAAACAAAGGCAAGAAAGCAAATCCATCTGCAGAATAGTGCCATATGAAGCTAGATTAAAATGCTAACGGGTGAGCATGCACAGAGAAAACAGCACACTGCCGAGGGTTAAAGAAACATGGATTTCATCCAGAAAGGCCCTTTGCACCACAGTCTCTACTACCCAGCTCTGTCTGAGGGGCTGGAGACAAAGAAAGTAAGATAGAAGTGGATACCAAACTTTTATGCCTCCTAGTCCCAGTTATAGCTCCTTTCAACACTTTGGTTTGTTTTTTCTTGGAATGAGGCTATGTAAACCCTGAAGAAACAGCGCCTGGCAATGCTTTCTCACAGAAATTTCGCCCCTTATATTTCTTCCCCCTCCAACCCTTTATGTAATAGAACTACTTTGGTATAGACAATAGGTTGCAATTATCCTTCGGAACTGAGCAAGGAAAGAATGCACCAAGATGGGCACGGGAGCAAAACTAAACACATACCCTTAAAATACTAAGCAGAATGCATGCCTCTGATATTCTCATCACTCCTGAGCCAAATTATTTAGTTTATAGCTATTAGATGCATCAGGACAGTTCTTCTGATCCCTGTGCTATTCCTTGGGTATCGAATTTAGCAACAACATATTGGTGAATTAATTTCAAAGATCTTTGGGAGAAAACAGAATTGAATCCAGTGAACTCAGGGATGAATAATATCCCTGAATTTGGAAATGAAATGTGTTTCCATTAAGAAATTGCTTCAGAAATGAAGTAGAACAAGATACATAAATTCCAAGTATCTCTCTTAACAGAAAGACTTGAGAAATGTGTTTAAAGAAACATATTAATTATCTGTAGCTATTCTAAATGCTTCTAAAAACAAACAAACAAAATGTCTATGCATTGTGCCATTGTGTGTTTATTGAGTAAGCCCAAGCTCTTACTTAGTGTGCATTGATTCTTTGGTTGCCATGGCAGAGGGAATGGTTTCTGTGATATGACAGCAGTTGCCATATGTTCAGCTTCAAGCCAACTGATTCCATCACAAAAAGAAAAGAGAAAAGAAGGAGATGTGCAGCCTCACCTATTCCAAGGGTCCTAATAGGACCAAGTTGTCATATAAGCTTCTGTTCCGGGCCTGACAGTGAATACATGCCATAGCCATGTCCTTTATGCAACATATTTGCAAAAGATTTTTACATGGAAGCCACTACTCCAGTATCCCAATCAGCATCTAACTCAGATACAGTCTTCTATAAGTTAAAACATGGCCTATGAAGCGATTTTTTAAAAGATTTGTAGTCAAGAAGAGACACATTCTTTGGGGGAGGATGAGGCAACTGGAGTCGCCAATGACCTTAGAGAGCTGGAACTTGAGACACACAGAGGGAATGTGTGAATTCTAGGATCACCAATGGAATCAATAAGCTTTTACCTGTAGGGGATAAATCCTGGAAGAATTCTAGAGTTTGAAACTGTCTGGACCATTTGAAGCAGCATCTCAGAGGGTGAGTTGGGCATATTCTTGCCCAACTCTCTCTCTCCATAAATAATTCCAGGCTGAGTGTTTCATGGTCTGACTCATTGTGACTATCATGTATGTGGTTATGTTGCCAATTAGGATGCCAATATTCCCACTGTCAGAGCACTAATGAGTGTTTTTAGTATTCAAGAGATTACTTTTTGGTATTCTTCCAAGGTCCTGTGAGTAAGTTGGCTATTCACTGATAGAGAAATTTATTTTTTTCTGGAACTTTATGGTATGCATTATTAAATCCTTGCTACAACAATCTAAATGATCCTTGAGGGAGTCAGAGCCCTTCCAACTGCAAGCAAAGGACTTTTGATGTTGAGATATGGCCCCAATGGTGCTCTTCAGTAATTCCTATTTTCTTTACTATGGAAACCTGTAAGAATATCCAAACTAGCAGACTTAAGCTAGGCAATCTACACTAATAATGGTTTTGTCTTTACCATGGTTAAATTGTGTAAAAGTTGCAGATGGCAACGCTGAGCACTTTGTACATATACACAATAACAGGGCTGTTATTCTTTTATCAGGTCACCAAATCAACCAGACAGCCCACTCCACATATGGGCAAATGGCTTGAAGAGACACATTACCAAAGAATTCCCAACAGTCAAAATGTGTTTAATCTTATCCACATACATATCTCAACATATCTTAATATCCATATCCATATCTCAATAAATCAAAAATGTGTTTAATCTTATCCATATCCAGAGAAATGCAAATTAAAACTATAGAAGGATACCACTATGCACCCACCAGTTTGGCTCAAATTTAAAAGTTCAGCAACATCAAGTATTACTAAAGATGTGGGGAATTCAGAGCTCTCATATGCTGCTGGTAGGAATAAAAGTTGCTGCCGACACTTTGGAAAACAGTTGCACATTATCCAATAAAATTAAAGAAATGCAAAAATTCTTACCTAACAATTATACCCTAAGGTGTGTGTACAACTGTCTATTTACACCAATGAGGATGCTCCCAGCACCATAGCTTGTAATAGCCCCAAACAGAAATTTCCCAAATGCCTATCAGTATTATTGACAATTGGCCCAAAAATCCATTTATCATCATTGAAAATGAACAAACTCCAGTTACACTTAAGGACATAGTAAACTTGATAGGGTGGGGGGAGAGAGTTGCTATCAAGAAGAGTAGGCAGTTGGTGGCCACACAGATTTTTATTTGTTATGTGTACGTATAAGTTTATATCTGGATTTCATTTTGTTTGGTCTGGCGACAGTATTTGTATTGTCTGCCATAGTGAATGAAGTATTGGACATCTAACTGTTCTTATCAACCAGATCGTAAGCTCTTGAAGAAGAAATATATATGTGTGTGTGTGTGTGTGTGTGTGTGTGTGTGTGTGTGTGTATGTATATATGTATATATATATACACATATACATATTTCAATTTACTCTCCAGTAAGTTATATTTTCCAGTTTAAAAGAAAAATCAGTATCCAACAGGGACCATATGTTCAGCTTCAAGTCAACTGATTCCATAGCAAAAAGAGAAGAGAGCAGAAGTTGCTGTGCAGCCCTACCTATTCCAAGGGTCGTATTAGCACCAAATTGTCATATGGGCCTCTGTTATGGACCTGATAGTGAATACTTCTTGTGATAGTTTTCACTTCTTGTGAAAACTTTAACTAAAAATTTGGAATGTAATTCAAATAAATCTCAGTAGACACATAGGAATGTAGTTTTCATTTATCTATTCCAACCCTTATTGGATCTGCTTGTTTGTGTACCTAACAATTCTTTGGGGTAATGAGTGTCACAGAGACACATGTAAAGAAAAATTGACCAAAAGACAGTTCCGAGAGCTAGGGTTCTTTAGAGAGGTAAAGAAGAAGAGAAATGTTATTGCATCCTTCTTCTGTGAGGTGGCAGTAACTCGAGAGTAGAGGATCCTCGTCAAACCATGTGTTTCCTCTGATGAAGTCTTGTTATGATAATTATTATCACTCCAGAGATGTTGATAATTATATTTAGACAGTTTTTAAAGCAATATTGTATAATATTTTTCCCCATTTAACACCAGCATCAGAGCTGATGAATACTCAGTCAGAAGAAATGCAGGCCTGCAGGTTTGTCCACAAAGTGTTCCCATCAACCGTGTAAGTGAGTTTGATAATTTATACATTATATTAGGGGGGAAACACACTCTTTTGCAAAGGACTGGTTCTTGGCGCATAATCAGTTCCCATTGAATTTAAATGACTTTTGGTCCTACACCAATGCTGATAAAATACTTTCAAATGTACAGAATATTAACCAAATGTTTATATTAAACAACTCCTTTCAGGTGAAAATGCGCTCGGCGAAGCATAGCTCCCTGGAGCAAGTTAGTGAATATTAATGTTTAGCACATTATAAGGCTCTACAAGTACTCTGATGTTGGAGGCCAAGGGGGAGATAAACGAGCAAGGTTGGTGCGTGGGCCCTGCCAGGGGAAGGTACAATCACATTGGACATAACCTCACCGAGATGGAAATGGAGGTTGAAATACATGCAATAGGGGCTGCTAGGAACTAGGAGGCAGATATGGACTGAGAAGGAGAGTACCAGGCTCTCCTGCGTGTTCCCCACTCAATTCCCCCGAAGACCTAGTCTGGTTTCAGACCTGCCCAGGGTCCCATCAGCAGAGAGATTTATGGGGCATGCCTCATAATTAATACCAGCCAATTTCCAGTTAATCATGGCCCTCGATTTCAG
Source organism: Homo sapiens (assembly GCF_000001405.40). NCBI lineage: Eukaryota > Metazoa > Chordata > Mammalia > Primates > Hominidae > Homo > Homo sapiens. The sequence goes on from NC_000016.10 coordinate 52,092,937, forward strand.
GTAAGTGAAGGCTGCTTATCATGAGAAGCATTCGGACTTAGTTAAGTGCTACAGTATTTCAAATCTGCCAAAGCACACCGGCCATTTCCAATGATCATTGTTTATCTGCAGGTTTCAGGAAATCATATAAATATGCAACTCACAGTGCATATACACATATTTCAGGGGGGAAGACAGCTGTTATCAACCAGGCTGAAGGTCAAAACGAAAATTCTTTTGCATATCTCTTGGTGGGTAAAAGGCCAGACTGGGGACCTTGAGACCCAGGGACAATGCCCAGCTCTGAATAGGACATCGGTGGTATTTCAGTGAGCTAGCTCACATCTTCACTTCTGTTCCTCCATCCATAAAATGAGGATATGAATATTTCAGGTAACCAAGGTGAAGTGCTTTAAACAGCTTGGAAGACCAATGCTAAATAAGCATATGGTATTATTTTTTAGTCTTGTGTTAATAATACTTTAGAATTCAATGCATGTTCAACATTTTGTTGTTGTGGTTATAGTTTAATTTTATATTTTAGTAGCTACTTTTAAAATTAGTAAGGCTAAATCTTCTCAGATTTATTGAAGTTCCAAATGAATAATGATAAAGGGAAACCAAAGTTATTATTCCCATTTTACAGATAAAATAATATCAGGCCTGAAAAATCTCTCTCTAGAAGATGTTGTATGCATCTTATAGCCTCTGGAATGGCTCTCATATAAATCATCCTAAAATATTGGTTCTAATTTTCAAACACTATTTTCAGAAAAGCAGAGTACAGAATTTTCCATAAAATTCAATTCTAACCTCTCTACCTGTATCCATATCTTTTTTTTTTTTTTTTTTTTTTTGAGACTGAGTCTCACTCTGTTGCCCAGGCTGGAGTGCAATGGTACGATCTTGGCTCACTGCAACCTCCATCTCCCAGATTCAAGTGATTCTCCCTGCCTCAGCCTTCTGAGTAGCTGAGATTACAAGCACCCACCACCACACCCAGCTAATTTTTGTATTTTTACTAGAGACATGAATTCGCCATGTTGACCAGGCTGGTCTCGAACTCCTGACCTAGGGTGATCCGCACAGGCGTGAGCCACCGCACCTGGCCTCATATCTATTGAAGACTTGTAAACTTGCAGATCCTGACACCATAGAACCTGGTCACACAGTAGCCATGCTTGGCACATGAAATAAATGTTAGGGCCTAGAGAGGGTAAGTGACCAGCTCAAAATCAACACAGCTAGGACCTGAGCCAGGATTACAACCCCCATTCGAGTGTCTTCCTTACTATGTTAAACCCCGTAGAGTTTGTTCTCAATCAAGAATCCACCATGGCTTCATGCTTTGCTTGATTGCAAGGCAGACACAGGACAACCTTCAGCAAATTCTGATTGAGTAGCAATGTGAAAGCTGGAGTAGAAAAACAAATAAGTATAAGATATTCTCCCTTCTTCTTAAAGAGTTTACAACTTGGTTGAGAAAAATGTTAGGTGTTCAATACTTCATTCACTATGGGAGACATTACAAATACTGTCACCAGGCCAAACAAAATGAAATCCAAACATGTGGGAGTAGACTAGTGATTTCCAATGTATGTTTTGAAAAATAGTCCCACAAGATTGGCCATGCCTAAGTAAGTAAGTAAATAAAAGTATAAATACCTTTTATGATTAAATAAGTTTGAGGCATCACACACATTGTAGAGTCACAAGACGCAAATGGATTCAAGTGCTCTGAGATGTCCCACAGTAAAGGAACCTATTGAATAATTTCCAGTTTTGTGTTTCTCAGACTCATAAAGCCTTTTCAAAGCTTTCAATTGACTTGGCCTTTTCTTACTTCATCTATGGAATTCTAACCTCTAACTGAAAGTGTAACTATAATTTTATGTGCTTCATGTCCTGGTCATCTTTTAATCATTGGCTCTTAATACAATGTCTAGCATGTGGTCCCTTGCATCTATTTGTTGAATGAATACATAGCCTGCTTGGTGCTGTGATGGAGAACAGGATCACTAAGTCATGTTCTTTGTCCTCTAGGACGGCTCTCTCAAATGTTACTGTCTATATGAATCCACCTTGGGATATTAGTAAAATGAGTTTCTGATACAGAAGATCTAGAAAGCGCCTGAAATGCTGATATTCTGTCTCCCAGGTAAATCCAATATTCCCAGCCCCAGGGTCACTCTTTAAGGCCATAGTAGATATGAGCTCTCACTCTAGCAAGAGATGTATGCCATGAAAAGATGTGACACTTGTCACCATAGTTCAAGAGCAGTTCTGGCCAGGCACGGTGGCTCACGCCTGCAATCCCAGCACTTTGGGAGGCTGAGATGGGCGGATCACGAGGTCAGGAGATCGAGACCATCCTGGCCCTCATAGTGAAACCCCATCTCTACTAAAATACAAAAAAAAAAAAAAAAAGAAAGAAAGAAAATGAGCCAGGCATGGTGGCACGTGCCTGTAGTCCCAGCTACTCAGGAGGCTGAGGCAGGGGAATCGCTTGAACCCAGGAGGCGGAGGTTGCAGTGAGCCAAGATAGCATCTCTGCACTCCAGCCTGGCAATAGAGTGAGATTCCATCTCAAAAAAAAAAAAAAAGGAAAAAAAAAGTACAGTTCTATGGGAAGACCAGGGTAGACATGATTTATTCTGCCTAGGCGGGTAGGGAGACAGTGGAGGAGGATCTTGTGAATGTCATGGGAGGGGTGCTTTGAGATGAGCTTTAAAGAGTGACTGGCATTTTGCCAGGCAGAGGAAGGAAGGACATACAGGTTAGTCAACAGCATGAACTAAGTGGCAGAGCAAAGTACTGTGTCCTACACGTTCAGGAAGCAGTGAGGTAGGAGCACGTAGTACTGAGGGAGTCAAGAGATAAATTGTAGAAGGGACATTGAACTGAATTGTGTTATGGTTTGGATATTTGTCCCCTCCAAATATCACATTGAAATTTGATCCCCAGTGTTAGAGATGGGACATAATGGGAGGTGTTTGGGCCATGGGGGTGGATCCCTCATTAATGACTTGGTGTGGTCCCTGTGGTAATGAGGGAATCCTTACTTCTTTAGTTCATGAGAGAGCTGAGTGTTTATAAGAGCATGGCATCCCTTTCCTCTCTCTCTTGCTCCCTCTCTCACCATGCTACACACCGGCTCCTCTTCCTCCTCTACCATGATTGGAAGCTTCCTAAGGTCCTCACCAGAAGCAGATGCTGGTGCCTTGCTTCTAATACAGCCATACAGAACCATTTTTCTTTATAAATTACCCAGCCTCAGGTATTCCTTCATAGCAACACAAAATGAACTAAGACAGCATTGCATTTTAAAAGTCCAAATGTTGAATAGTAGAATTCCAGAAATAATAAACTGGCAGGAAAGAAACTTTGATAAGTGGGTAGAAATCTTCTTGCTGCCCTTTCATGAAGCCATGTGGCCTGCATGGACACTATCTGCTCCTGGATTTAGCCCTGCTTTCAAATTTTAATGGGATGTCAGTGAGGTTTTCAAAATGATTGATAAGACATAATCAACCCCTTTCACTGGTTGAAGATTATGCTGTTTTTAAAAAGCACTTAGCATTTCAAGGGTTGTTTTATAGGCATCTGCACAAACCTATGAAGCAACAAACTTTATTTAGCAGTTATCGACAGACTACTACTGCTTACAGGGTTGTATTCTTCCATTCTGTTTCAGATTTTAGCCCAGCTGTTCTGGGATCTTTTATTTCAAAAACTGGAAAACCAGGGCTATTAATAGAGTCAGGCAGCTAATTTAAATCTGATAATGTGCTGACACTTGGCTGCATACTTCAGCACAGATGCCCATGTGTGCAATGTGTATTTATTTCTGTACAAATGTGTACATGCATATGTATAAATAACAGCAAATACTATGAAGTCAACACTTATTATTTAACAGGACCACCTGGGAGTTATCCTGTGCCTCATAAATAGAACACTATTTGACATGTAAAAATCTTCTACAAGGTGATTGAAGCCTGCAGGTTTAAGGGTCAGAGTTATTATAAGTGGGAGCATTACAGACACACACAGTACTTCTTCTGGATGGAAGAGAGACCCATAGAAGACCAGAACATTTTAGCTAAACTTTACTTTCCTCATATGCCTTATACTGTAACCAAATTACTTACTATTGTCCATACATAGTATATAGTTTTCTTCATCTTGCTTATGTTATTTTCTCTGTGAATTAGATAAGAATCTGGGCTTTAAAATTAGCTTTGGGTTCAAGTTTCAGCTTTGCCAAATTCTAGCTATGCGATTTGGAGCAAATTACTTACTAAACCAAGTCTGGCCTCTCATCTGTACAATGGAGCCATTCATTTTATTTACATTGAAGGGCTTTTATGAGGATCAAATGAGATAATGCAAGTAAACACTCAGCACAATGTACAAATCTGATTCATGGTGACAGAAATCAGAGTGTTTTTCTGGAGTGAAGGGTCATGAGGTTTCACTTGGATAGGGACATAAGGAAACTAAAGCAATAAATATCTTGTATCTTAATGGGGGTGGTGGTTACACAGATATATTTTCCCCATCTAATATATAGGTGTGATGATGATGGTGGTGGTTATTATTATTATTCTCCCATCTCCATATCTAAATGCTATTTATTTTTCAAAGTTTAGCTCAGGAACCATTTTTTTTTTCATGTAGTTTTCACAGTCTCCGTAATTGGAAGAGATCTCTTTTACTTTGAACTTATTCTTTGCATTTCTAAGATACAGTCTTCCTGGTGTTAAGATTTAGCTCTTTGTATGTGTCTCTTACCTCCACTAGCTTGCCTGTCCTTGGTAAGGTGTCTCTGGATGGTCTTGGAATCCTGCATAGTATCTAGTAGAGATCTATTTACTCTTTATCCTCCCATTAAATCATTGTGCAAAGGGTGAATTCAGTGTAACCCTACATAGAACTGCCTTGAACTTCATTCTAGTACCTCAATACATCCAAAGCCTTCTCCAGGGTTTCCACAAGCAAAGTTTCCTCCTGGCTTTGGCTATAATTTCCATGTATGTTGACTCTGTTACCTTCATCCAGTCATAAAATTCTATGCTACTTTTTATAATTTACACAAGCACATATATTCACCTTAGGCACGTACGTGCGAAACAAACTTTACTGAAGAGGTGGAGAGTAGGGTTGCAAAGATGTGGGACTCATGCCACAGCAGTGCCAAGAGCAATGAGCAAAGCCAGCCTGTTCTCACACATCTCCCAGCCTCTCTGCCACCAGAGGCTTTATGTAGCTCTTCAGCCTTGTGCTGCACCCAGATTTCCACCATCACCCTGTCTCTTCTCTGTTCCTCTTTGTCTTTTCTCCTTCCTCTCAGGAACAGAAACAAATTCCTTTCTTTGTTGCAGGTGGAGGAGTTCAGCTATTACCTTGACTTTGCCGAAGTCCTAGGCACTCCCATGCCCTCAGAGTCTCATTTTGAATCCAGGCACTTAGGGATGCTATTTTTCCACATCAAACAGCTTCCTCCCAGCCAAAGAATTCTGGTGACAGTAGTGAAGATAATTTTCACTCCTGCTTACAGAATGACAAAGCAAAAGCAAAGAGGAGAAGAATGAAGTAAAGACAACCAAAGGAAAAGACTGATGGCTCCTTAAGAATGATCTTGATAAAGGAATGGTGGCTGAGGGGTCCATCTCCTAAACCACCCACCTTACTGACTCCCTAGAGCAATGCCATACAGAAAGCTGCACCTTGAGGGGAAGACACAAGAATCCTGGAGTGGAAAAAAATTGGGTAATGATGACAGCCTTCGAGGTCTTGAGAGTAAAGCAGAAGCAAAAAAAAAGTGTTATTTTTATCTTTTGAAGATGGTTCCCTCTTAAGACTTTTGCGAATGATTAAGATTTCAATTATGTTCCAGGAAAAAAATAAGATTTTTGCTTGACAAAAAAAATTTTTGTCTAGAACAGGTGGGAAGGAAGAGATAGTTTAGCCACATCCAAGAGACCTGTAAATTGGGTACAGTGAAGTGAATGGTGTACCAGTCATAAAAGAATGTTAACTGGAGAAGTCTCTGCTGTCTTCCTGTAACTGAGGGGGGTGTAACCATCCTTGTGGAAGCGTCCACTTTTATTGAAGATTGGCTAAATAAATCTGTGCCTACTGAAACTCAAGCCATTTCAAATTGGTCTGTACTTATTTAATTTATTAAATCTTTAATACATAATATTGAGCACATATTATGTTATTGACACTGAGTACAATAGAGAATGCAGTCAGGAAATGAAGCAACCTTAAAGACCAGAGGCTGTCAACCTTGACAGCATATTAGAATCACCTGGAGAAATTTTATGACCTTGATTCCTAAATCACACTTAAGTTCAATTAGTCAGAAGCTAGGGGTGGTACCTAGCCATAAGTAGTTTTTTTTGTATGTGTTTTTTGTTGCTGTTGTTTTTAATTGCAACTCAGTATTGAGAAAAAAAAAACATGGAGATAAGAGATGACTACATAGCCGTTCACTGTCATGATGGAAGATTGTCTAACAAGCCTACCCAAAGACTATCTAATTCTTTAGGGGAATGTACCTTCATTTATTTTACTATTTAGTAGGATATTTACTTAGGATATTACACAACTCTGTAAAAGCAGATGTTGCCTTGCAGAACAAACAGAGGCCCAAGCTTATTCAAATAGAATAGAGCTTGTGTTTGTGTAATTCTAACAAGTTCTTGGGTGATGCTGACACGTGCTGAAGTTTGACAACTATTGGAAAAGTCTGATAGCAATGCAATAGATTCTGGTACAATAACAATGCAAATACTTTTTTCACTAGTAGAGCTGCAAATAATTTCTGTCTAATTCCAAGATTACAGGGTTTTTGCTCCATAGAACATTAACCAGTTTTGTATCTCACCTAGCAATCTTATTTCAGCATTCTTTCAGGACCTATGTCTACTTGGTCTTTCTAGTTCTCTTTGAACCAGTTGAAACTTATCCTGCTGGCTCCCTCCTTAAATGAATTAAATAACTTTTTGGCAAGTAGTCATTGTACATTTGTATGAGATTCAAGCTTTCAACTTTTGAAAATTATACTTTGACACCAGGTGATACCAATGTGCATCCAAGATTGAGATTCACTGCTCTAGAGAGAAGCCAAAATCCTGGAAGGCATCCAAAGAGAAACCACTGTTTTCTCTATCCCAAGCAGAATCATATAATTATTCTTGAAAACTTTTATGAGTCCCACCTGATAACAATAAAAATTAATATTTACTGAGTGCTTACTAGTGCCAAGCACGCTATTCTAAGACCTTTACACCCATGATTAAGTCCTTTAATCATTACACAAGCTTATAAGAGAGGTTCTCTCATCTGCATACCAATTTCATAGATGAGAGAACTGAGGCACAAAAGTTTAAGCCACTTGTGTATACTGACACTGTTGCTAAGTGACAGAGCTTGAGTTCATACCTAGGAAGTACTGCCTGTGCCCTTCAGGGCTAAGACATACCGTACTTCAGGGATTGAGGAGATCTACCTTTAGAGTTATTTATCCAGATTCATAGACACCCACAACTGGATACCTGAATTACTGAAACAATCAAAGCCAGCCAAAAATGCATACTCTTTTTTGTCTTTTTTTTAACTTAGATTTTTAAATTTTTCATTTTTATGGATACATAGTAGATGTATATATTTATGGAGTACATGACATATTTTGATACAGGCATACAATATGTAATGATCATATCAGGGTAAATGGCATATCCATCACCTCAACCATTTATCATTTGTTTGGGTTAAAATTTTTTAAGTTATAATCTTTCTGTTATGTTAAAATATACAATAAATTATTGTTGACTGTAGTCACCCTGTTGTGCTATCCAAATACTAGGTCTTACTGATTCTATCTATGTTTTTGCACCCACTAGCCATTCCTACTTTTTCCTCCTCTCCCTGCTCCCCTTCCCAGCCTCTGGTAACCATCATTCTACCCTCTGTCTCCATGGGTTCAATTAACATTTGTTTTAACAAAAATTTACACTCAAAGTTGGTTTCTTTGGCAGGGCTATCACGTATCCACTTATTCTTTATCAAACCCTCATATTAGGAATCATCTTCATTAGGGCAGGTGACTAACATCTCCGCATGAGAGTATATAAGTAAATTAGGATGTAGATTCAATAGAAACCCTGATTTGGTATCCAAGAAGAGACATTCAACACGGTTAGAAATTTGAAACTCTTGTCATGTAGTTCTCTGGATTCCCAAAGTGCAAAAATAAAAACAGATAAATAAAAGGGAGAAATATTTTAAATTTCTTCCTAATTTAAACTCATACCCAAATCGACATTTGGGCAGGTCCATCAAAAAGCACTTGGGGAGAAATCATCTGTGCACTAAGTGCTTTTTATACCATGAGCAAAAGTCTGAATTGTAAGTAATATTGGCAAGAACAAGCTATAAGTTAAGATGCAAATCCAAATCGAGTGTGCGGTGTTCTGGCTTCAAGCCTGGTAATTGAATTTCCAGTTTATTATCCTTAATGTTTTTTAATGTGAGTTTGCAATTCAAGGCAAAATGGAAAGCTGCTCCTCCAAAGCTTTCCCCTGAAGCACTTCCAGGAACAATTTCTTTTCAGAGTCAAGAAATGGTTTTGGGTCAGGAGTGCACTTTAACTTTTTCAAACTCTAGAAAACTCTATTCCGGGGAGACACTAAACCATGGGTCCACTGAAGGATACTCATCTGGAGACTAGGGATTCTGGAGTCCGAACCTGGCACTGGAGCTTATTATAAAAAATGGAAAAGCTGGGCTGGGCGAGGTGGCTCACGCCTATAATCCCAGCACTTTGGGAGGCCGAGGCCGGCGGATCACGAGGTCAGGAGATAGAGACCATCCTGGCTAACACGGTGAAACCCCGTCTCTACTAAAAATACAAAAAATTATCAGGGCGTGGTGGCGGGCTCCTGTAGTCACAGCTACTCGGGAGGCTGAGGCAGGAGAATGGCGTGAACCCAGGAGGCAAAACTTGCAGTGAGCCGAGATCGCGCCACTGCACTCCAGCCTGGGCGACATAGTGAGACTACGCCTCAAAAAAAAAAAAAAATTGAAAAGCTAAATGCTGTGAGCTGCTTAAGAAGCCCTGTCACAGCGGAGAGTTCCACACAACATGGGCTGACACTCGGTGCCATAGAAAGTAGATGGGGAATGTTTCACATGAAATCTGCTGCTTCAGTATGTGTACTTGGTTATTCTTCAACCGCCTGAGCCTTTTGGCTATAACAGCTAAGCCATACTTGGCGCACACTCTCACATTTTTTTTTCCCTAAAACTAGCCCTGAACAAGGCTGAGGGACTCAATCCCCTTGAAATAGCCTTCTTAATGAAGAAAGAGCTTTAAAGGTGTTAGCTAGCTTATTGTAATAATAATGATGATAATAATAACAAAAACAATAACTATAAACATAATGAAGGTCTGCCATTTTGCAAGCTGTATGCAGCTTTATGCATTATTTATTACGCATTATTGTTATTCATTATTTATTACGTAATTTATCTCTCATAATAGGCTTAAAAGGTAGATTATTGCCCTCAATTTTATATAGGGAAACTGAAGTTCGGAGAATTCAAGTAATTTTCCCCAGGTGATAGAACTAGAATGGCGGCGTGGCCAGGATGCAAACCCAAATTTGTCTGCTCTGAAGCTTGAACCCTTTATTACTAGGCTAAGGGCACAAGCTCCTCCAGTATCTTCTATTGGACCATATACTTCTGTCTTTCTTTAAACATTATTTAAATATTTGTGTGTATGTGTGTGTGTGTGTTGAATGTGTGTGTAGAGAAGAATATAAAGAAAAAGGGCAAACGTACCATTAGCCCATTACCCATCCATGTACATGGCATGAAAATCCAAGAGTAGATTAGTATAAGTTGAAAATTAAAAACTTTCCCCAAGCTCTGTCACCAGAGGTAACCACTTGTATATTTCTTATATATCCTACCAAGAAAAAGTATTCTGTTTCTCATATATACATCTGTATATCTGATTTTTAACAATCATTTAATATTTCATTAATTTATTTAACTAGTTCTCACATATGTTCATTTAAATTACGTCTTTTTGGCATTTAAAATCTCGAGTACAATAAACACTCATATATATAGTTTGGTGAAGGAACATACATTATTTTTAAACTTCTGTAGATATTCCCTCTAAAGGCATTGTGTTAATTCACTATCCCACTTTCAGACCATGAGTAGTCCTCTTTACTGTATCCATTTACTTTCATCCCCATGCCACTTGATTCTCCCACCAAGTTTATAAAGTAAGTAGAGTAGGGATGTTGATATGGTTTGGATTTGTGTCCTCACCCAGATCTCATGCCAAATTGTAATCCCCAATAATAGAGGAGGGGCCTGGTGGGAGGTGATTGGATCACGAGGGTGGATTTCCCCCTTGCCATTTTTGTGACAATGAGTGAGTTCTCATGAGATCTGGTTGCTTAAAAGTGAGTAGCACCTCCCCCTTCTCTCTCTTCCTCTTGCTCTGGCCATGAGAAAACATGCTTTCTTCCTCTTCACATTCTGCCATGATTGTAAGTTTCTTAAGGCCTCCCCAGGCATGCTTCCTGTACAGCCTGTGGAACCATAAGCTAATTAAACCTCTTTTCTTTATAAATTATCCAGTCTCAGGTAGTTCTTTATAACAGTGTATGAACAGACTAATACAGATATAATCCTTGTTTCTAGCATAAGTCAAGGCTAGAACCGAGATGTTCTAAGTACAGAAACTTTTCCTTGAACAAATTATACTTTAAAGCTTCAAAGATAAATAAAAGATCAATACCCTCTGTTTTTACCTCTGACAGATGAAGAGAACAAATATAACTGGGCTTTGTGGTTTAGAGCTCTGGGATAAGAACTTTAACCATGTTTAAAACCCACTAAAATACCACTTATTTAGAGTTGGGATAGATCCATGACTTTCTATTGTTCAAAGGCATTTTCCTTTGTAATAATTCCATGGAAAGAAAAATGACTTGAAAGCCACATTTATTAAAAAGCCCAAAGGCATTTGAACATCAATTTACATTTTTCTTTTTTATAGGAAAAAAAGTAGTTAAGTGTAAATGAATGTCAAACATGTGGTTTACATTTTCTTTAAGATGCATGTGGGCTTTAAAACCTAATGAAAATACTTTAGAAAGAACATATTCCACAATATGGTAAGTGTAAGATAGGTAGGAAATGTGGAGCACGTCAACATTCAGGTTGGGTCTTGCATAAGTCCTGCAGATAAAACAGGAGGAGATCTTTGGTCCTCTCACATGAGATTTCAAAGAGGGGGGTGTCAGGTCTCTGGACCTAGGTTTCACCCCAGCGTAGGCCTATGATTTGAGGGGCTGGGAGACATTCCATAGTTAAGGAAGCTTTTACAATTATTCCTCACCCATTTAATGAACACCTATTCTGTGCTGAAAATTAGAGATGTGAAGACAAATGAAAGACAAACTTGTTTTCAAGACCTTGAATTCCTAGTAAGGAAACCAGATATGGAAAGAGACAAACAACAATAAATGTGATTAGTGAAGTATAACATAGTGTCAGGGCAGTACAAACAGGGGCATTCACACTTGCGGGGGTCATGAGGGAAGATGTCCTGAAGAAGGAGACCTGGAGGATGAGTAGGAGTAGCTGAGCAGAGTTTGTCAAGGACATTGCAGCACAGAGACTAGCACGCACAGAGCAGAGGCATGGGAAGCTTGGCGCTGCAGGGAATGCTGGTACAGCCGTCCTCATCTATGAGTTTACCCTCAGTGATGTCAGTTACCTGGGGTCAACTGCGGTCCGAAAATGCTAAACGGAAAAATCCAGAAATAAGCAATTCATAAATTTTGAATTTTGCACCATTCTGGGTAGCATGATGAAATCTCACACCATCCCATTTTGTTCCCATTCCAAACATAAATCATTCCTTTGTTCAGCATATCCACTTTATATACTCTAACTGCCCATTATTGTATAAGGGAAAATGTAGTGCTCTAGATAGGATTCTGGACTATTGGTGGTTTCAGGCATCCACTGGGGGTCTTCGAACATATCCTCTCCGGCCGGGTAAGGGGGAACTTCTGTAGTTCCATTTGATTACAATGGAAGATGGACTGTGGAGGGAAGAATAGTTAGCAAGAAGGCTAAAGAGGCAAGCCAGGTCAGGTTAAAGTGTTTGAACTCCATTGGGAAGAGACATTAAATGGTTTTAAAAATAACTTTTTTGAGTTTTATTTATTTATTTATTTATTTATTTATTTATTTATTTATTTATTATTATTTTTGAGATGGAGTCTTGCTCTATTGCCCAGGCTGGAGTGCAATGGCGTGATCTCAGCTCACTGCAACCTCCACCTCCCAGGTTCAAGTGATTCTCATGCCTCAGCCTCTCAAGTAGCTGGGATTACAGGCACATGTCACCACACCCAGCTAATTTTTGTTTAGTAGAGACTGGATTTCACCATGTTGTCCAGGCTGGTCTCAAACTCCTGACCTCAAGTAATCCACCTGCCTCAGCCTCTCAAAGTGCTGGGAATACAGGCGTGAGCCACTATGCCCGGACCTTTTTTGTGTTTTAGAAAGACTAATCTGGACTATGGGTGGAAAACAGATGAGAGACAGGTAGTACTGAGGACAAGAAAATCAGTTAGTATGTTGTTGCTAAAATTCCATGAGAAATTATGTACTCAAACCAAGGGTTTAGCAGTGGAGGTAAAGAGAAGTGGATGGAACCAAAAGGTTAATGCTGTGGTGTCTAAGTGTGGCCAAAGGCAGAAGAAGAGTTACGGTGACCTCTGAATTTTTGACATGAGCTTGAAAGTTCAACCTCAGGAATGAACACTTAGATGGCAGTTAGATTAAGAGGCAATGCAGTTTGTTGAAAAAGACACTGACTTTAATTCATTTAATTTTCTTCTAAACATGAATAGAAGGCAATAGAAACGAGACATATTAATGACTATCCACATAACGTTTTAAAGGAATCTGATAATCTTTTAAGATTAAGTGTTAAGGACTCCCAGAAGACTCTGCAATATAAAAGAAGGAATTTTTCACAACAATTACATTTGGCAATATCATGCTCTGGAGAAGATGTAAGGTTATAAAAATTCATATTCACTGTTGGTAATGTATGTTGGTATAACCCAGAGATTTGACTTTTCTCTGTAAGCCCTAGAGAAAGTCCAGTGTATCACACATGTACAAGAATGTTTGTTGAATCACTATAGTAAAGAAAAAACCAGATATGATTTAAATGTTTATCAAAAAATGAGTGGATAAATAAATTGTGGTGTATTCATATAATAAATATTCTTCTGATATTTAAACGAGTAAACTAGGCTTAAATTTATAAAAATGGATATTTTTGAAACAAATGTTTTTAAAACATAACTCTTAAAAACCTAATTTTAATTAAAAAATGAGTCAGGGAATGATATGTACAGATGATATTAAAACGATCCATTGTATTATTTATAGGCATTTATGTTAATAGTAAATACATTAGTAGTATACACATAAAGCATGCCCAAGGTTGCCTGCTTTAGGGAGAAGAGAAAAATGAAGGATGAATATAAAAGGGCTTGAAAAATGTCTGGTTTTCTAAACTCTTTATTTAGTTTCTCAACCTTTGTACCACTGACATTTTGGACCAAATAATTTTTGTCATGGAGGAAAGCCTTGTGCATGGCAGGATACTTAGCAACATCCCCAGCCTCTACCCACTGGATGCCAAGCAGCACCTCCCCATGTCATGACCATTGAAACTATCTCTATACATTGCCAAAATATCCTCTGGAGGTGGAGGTGGACAGAATCACCTTGGTTAAGAACCACTGATTTTGTAGATTGGCATTTCTCATGTTTTTTTTTCCATATACTTGTCTCTTTTTTGAAATACTTTATAATATAAGGGCAGAGGGTTGAAGAGAAGAACATTCCTTTTGCTACTATTTTAATCAGCTATAGAATGTCTTGGTGTTCAGACATCAAGACACAAAATAGGCCCTTGTCCCCAAGAACTCCATGGTAAGGCAATGTAGGATGGAGGCAAAGAGGCCTTGGAGTGGGACAAATCTAAGGACAGATTTAAGGCAGATTTAAGAACAGATGTAAGACAAATCCAGGACTGATCTAAGGATAGATCCTGACTCTGCCATGCATTAACTTTGAGAGCCTCAGTCTCCTCATGCCTAAAATAAAGATTTTTCTTCAAGTAAGGTATGCAAGATTTTACCTTCTGGAAGTCTTTCTGAAACACAGTAAACATGCAACAAGGAGCAGTTATTATACCATTTGTTTTCATTATATGTACACACTTAATAAATCATATAAGATAGTATTGACAATATCCTCCCTATTCCCCCACTCCCTGGGTCTGCCTTCTCATTGGTGACTCCAAGGAACAGGAGAGCAGTTTGTCTCTGTCTACAATCTCTGTTCAGCTCATAAGCACTTGCATTTTGCATTCTCAGAAATATCTCTCACAGAGATGCAGAGCGGGAGAGAGGGAGAGGGCCAAGCAACATGAAACAGCTCACAGGCTCATGAAGAAGATGGTATCCGAGACATTTTCAAACACTCACTGAAACCTTCATAGTCCTTATGAAGCCAAACTCTCTCTCTTCTGTTTTCCATTTTTAAGTTTTAAGTTACCTAGATTTTCCTTGGCCTATTTGTAGGCCCCATAGGGTGGTATTTCACCACACTATTCCCGTGGGTTCTGTAAGGAAGCCCAGTGAGCCCAGTTTGCTGGAGTGAAAACGTAGCAACATGGAGCCATGTCCTCATATTATGGAACATGTTTTGGCCTCTTGGACAACCTTGTTTAGCATTTGAGCAGGCTTCCTTGGTGATAGTCCTATACCAACTGATTTTCTTCAAAATTTATGCTAGCTGTATTGTATTTTTGTTATAGAATCTTTGCAAGAACCAGAAATTTCATTTCCATTATATCCTGTTTGCTATCCTTAACAAGCTAGTTTTGGTTCAGATTGCTAAATTCAGTAATGAAAATACTGATTATTATCAGCTATGTGCCACGTCATTACACATGCCAAATTGCTACAAAGGATTTCAAGAGAGTTGAGGAAAAAGACAGGTATTACCCCTGAACCAACCAAAACACCTAGAACAGAAGGAAGCCTCTGAAATGAACCAAAATGAGTGAATGAACTACAATGAATGACTATGTCTTGGTTAAGCAGAAACAAAACATGTTTGTAAAAGAACAAGCATGAATTAAGACAAAGTACTGGAAAATAGGGCAATAGAGTGAAGACCTGTGATTTTGGTTTGATCTAAAATATCAGATTCAGAGCACCACATAATTACTTAATGCTTATTCACTCAATTCATAAAACAATCAATTGCACCTAAATTGTATCCAGCACCTGGCTAACTATCATGATGTATATACAACCTGCACCTTTCCATACACCAAAAAACAAATCACTAATTATGGGCCTGCCATGATCAGTTATTGGTGATAGGGAGAATGCTTACATTCTAGAAATGGAGTAAAATCTATCTCTATAATGTCACATAGTGTTAGTAGTAATGTATATTGATATATCATTGAAAATATTATCTCATATTCAGCTCTGTCCTCTCACATATGAAGTTACACATCATCCTTGCTTTCTATCACTTTGGAAAGAATGCAACCCAAGAGATACCTTCACCAATCTCCCTTTCCACCATAATTCATGGTTCCCAAGGTCTGTCTCTGTCCTAATGGATGAATTCTATTCACAGAAATTCATTGTTTCCAGAGTTCTTTTCATCTCTTGAAATATAGAGTATCACAATGGACCGAGGGAGACGGCTATGAGAACAATCTTCATTGCTGTTAAATAGTCACATTCACTAGGCTTTATCTGGGCTCCACATGCCTTTAATCTGCTTTGTAGAACATCAAAGCTCTTTTAATATACTTCTAAAACTGAATAAGGCAATAGAAAAGGAACACATTAATGACTATTCACATAAACTGCTACAATTTTAACCTGATTTATTATTTAGTGTACTATAAATCAAAATTAATTACAAATATTGATGCTGACCACATGTGCATAGTTTTTAATCTTTACTGCATTAACACAGTTGAGGCACAAAGAAAGATCTCTAAGTGCTATCTGAATATATTAATAGACTGTTTAGAGGTAAACTACTGTAATTCATATGATTTTGTTCACACATAACTCTCTGATGGCTCCCTTATGATACATAATAATCCAATATCAAGAGAGACTGAAATGGCTTAATAAGTATTTTCCAGAAATAAAAATTACTATCTACCCAGTGATGTCATTTTAAAGAAACAAAACTTTCCAACTTACTGTATTCTAGCAAATGGTTTTTTAAGGTTAAATTTACTCAAGTATACAAAATCAGTGTTCTACATGTATTGGGTTCATGATGGCTTGAATTCTGGAACCTGAAAACCTTAGTAACTGCTCTGTCAGGTAATAATTGAGGCACTCCAAACCATGGTACTTGGCTGCTGGAGAACATTTTGAAACTGAGATGAACCCCTTCATTTTGAAGATGAGAAAATAGGAGACTTCCAGAGAAGTTGTGTCTTGTTCAGGTCCCACTCATAGTAAAGTTTGTAAATTCTAGTTCAGGAATTGATCCTGAATTGATGCTGAGGCTGTCCATCTGAGGCTGTCTACGGTGCTACTGTGAGACCAGAAAGGCATGGGGTAGCAATTAACAGGCAAAGAACAGGCTGCTTTTTCTAGCCTGTGCTTGGAATTTCATTGATATTAATTATTCTTTGAGTTTCTTATAGGGATGTATATTTTATATATTTTTTTTCTAAAGTTTACTGTTCATGGAGAATAGGCCTTGTAGAAATAAGAGCTTAAACCATCAGTTGGCATCTTGGTAGAAATCCTGCCAAAGTACAAAGAGAATACTCATGAAACCAGTGAACAGAGAAGTAGGATGTTTAAACCCATGAGGAAGGAAAATGGTTTCAGCCAAACGTACGGAAGAACAGTCCTCCAATTAGAGCAAAGTCAAATGGATGGAGGCAGTAGACTCTCCATCCCTGGGTCTATTTAGGTAGCTAATGGCTCTCACTTTTCGAGGATGCTGTATATATCATTGGAGAATCAGCTAAGTGTTGAACTCTAAGAATTCTAAGTTTCTCTCTAACTCTGAGGTTCCATGACTCATTGAAAGCAAATTGGACAAAGTTGATGTTAGAGAGGTAAGGGGGCATTGAGTAGAAAAGTAGAACAACCCCAAAGACAAATTCTACCTACTTTGTATTTTTTGTGTAAAGTAAAATAGCTTTCGGAATAACTGAATAGAAAGAGAGGAGACCAGAGTCCTTTATCACGTCATATCAAGTGGCATCTGGAAATGAAGCCCTGTGATAGGTCCAGATTCCTATGATATCAAAGACACTACTAGGCTTGGAAGATCTAACAGAGGCATCATAGACTGGAAGCCTGCATTCAATTGCTATCATCTCTGTAAGGAGGAGTTTATTGCACTAACTCTTGGTAGAATGTAGTAAGAACACTTGTAAGAAGAGATTGAAAACTAATGACTATTGCCATTTCTCAAATCCTTTCTCCAAAGGGTATGATTTTAGTGTTTCAGAAAGCTGCAGATATTGTTAGTGCTCAGTGCAGCACACACATATTAATGAATTAAGGTATTTATTTGTTTATTTTAAACAGCCAAGCGTTAAGCTTTCATGTGTAGAGAAGCTCAGCCACCTCATATTCTAGATGCCCCTCATGGCTATTGAATGAGTTGCTAGTATAGGGCCCAGCCTGAACACACCACATGTGAGAACTTCCCAGCAAGTATACCACACATGAGTTTTAAGCAGAGGTGGAAACCAGTAATGTGGCATCGGAAGCGTATGCAATTTGAGGAATTTTTTGTTTTGTTTTGTTTTTTTATTGAGCTGGAGTCTCACTCTGTCACCCAGGCTGGAGTGCAGTGGCATGGTCTTGGATCACTGCAACTTCCACCTCCCAGGTTCAAGCAATTCTCCTGCCTCAGCCTCCTGAGTAGCTGGAATTACAGGTGCGCACCACCACGCCTAATTTTTGTATTTTTAGTAGAGACGGCATTTCACCACGTTGGTCAGGCTGGTCTCAAACTCCTGACCTCATGATCTGCCTGCCTCGGCCTCCCAAAGTGCTGGGATTACAGGCGTCAGTCACCACGCCTGGCCTGGGGAATCTTTTAAAAGAAAATGAATAAAAAAATATAGATGCAAATTAAATGTAGGACTTTAGAGGGAACCCATGAGAGTAAGTCCTCCTGCAGTATGAACTTCATCAGCACCTCAGTCAAGCCAACTCTGGGTGACAGGCATACCAAGAAGCTGATCCCTCAAGGAGACCTGGCTGACTTGAGGTGAGCAGAGCCCCGGACTTGTTGCTTCATTCATTCATGGGTCTATTTACACCATTTAGCTCCATGTGTTACTTTTGTTGAGTGGAATACTGAGAAAAAGTTTGAGAAACATTGTTCCTATTAACTTGAAGTCCATTCCATTTTCTGTTACTACAAACACATTACCTATGTTATTTTAAGTTAGAACTGAAGGGAATATCAGACCCTACTTCTGGCTGGGCACAGTGGCTCCTGCCTGTAATCACAACCATTTGGGAGGCCAAGATGGGAGTATCACTTGAAGCCAAGAGTTTGAGACCAGCCTGGGCAGCAAAGGGAGACCCTGTCTCTACAAAACATTAAAATAAATTACCTGGGCATGGTTGCACACACCTGTAGTCCCAGCTACTTGTGGGGCTGAGGCAGGAGGATTGAGGATGCAAGTGAGCTATGTTTGTTCCACCGCACTCCAGCCTCCAGCATCGGTAACAAGACTCCATCAAAAAAAAAAAAATATATTACTTCTTACTCTTCAATGAACTTTAAATCTCTTCCTCAATTTTTACCTGGTCTTATTATCTCTATTTGATAGGGAGTATATATTGAAAAATATTAGCTTTTGTCATTTTAAATGAATGTACTTTTTTCTGTCTCCCTTTCTTAATCTCCTGTTCCTTATCTCCAACTCCACCAGAAAAAAATCCCATGACATTTTGATTTCACAGAATTCTTTTTATTTTTTTGAAGAAATGGAGTCTCGCTATGTTGCCCAGGATTGAGTACAGTGGTTATTCTTAGGCGTGATTATAGTTCACTACAGCTTGGAACTCCTGGGCTCCGGCAATCCTCCTGCCTCATTCTCCCAAGTAGTTGGGGCTACAGGCATGCAACACTGTGCCTGGCTTCACAGGATCACTTTAAATGTGACTGCCATGCTTATGTCATGAGGGCTAACCACATGAGCATACTTACCTTTGCAAAAAAAGTTCCAATACCATTTTGAGTCTGTAGTCAAGATTGTATAAGCACTTAGCATCTAAACCAGAAAGTACTTATGATGCTTCATATACACTATTGTTCTGCATGTGTCATTTCCAAAATATTCATTTATCAGGAAAACTGCCTAATTACCAGGTGCCAAGGGGATGCTACAGAGAGATATTTCAATAACAATTCTTGTCCCCCATGAAGGCTACAATGGCTTAACAAAAAGATGTTGATTTTTCTGTGTCGAAAAGTCACATATACCTCATCTGAGCACCAAAGGCATGCACGATGGTGTTTCCTGCCTTTTTTTTTTTTTTTTCTAGGAAGATTTGTGAGACAGTTGAGTTTAGGACTGTAACAAACTGGCTTGGCAGGGAGAGCTTTTTCTTTATTTATTGAAATTAAATGCTAATTGATCCAAAGATGCAAACAACTACAAGATATAAAATAGCATGTATCATGAACATTTCTGCTCCCACTGGCTTGAATCTTCCTCCAGAAGCACAGATATTGACCTATAGTAAGTGTGTTCTTTGTTGAATTCTCAAATTAATGAATTAATTCATGGGTAAATTAACAACTAAAGAGGATATTGCACATTTTTGGTGGGATTTTGGTTTTAAAACTAACTTTTGAGCTACCAGAAGCTGTTACTGATCACAATATTATTCACAAGTTGTCTCATGTGTAGAAGTCTCATCCAGCCACCTGGAGAGGAACACTCGCTACTGTTGTCTGGCCCCATCAGCACCACAGGACTTTCATCTGCATTATTTCACTAACTTCTTTGAGGGCAGGTATTTTGCAAGTAAATCAATACACTCATCTAGTGAGGTTGAGTTACCTGTTTACCTGAGGACAAGAGAACATGCAAGCTTTACTGAGAATGCCATCTTCAGTTCATTGCTAGTGTTTTCCTAGCGTCTGATGCGGAGAAGAGAAGTCACATCCAAGGTCAGAGGAAAGGACAGGCCTGAGCAATTAGCAATGTCTACCATGAACACCAAACAAGGAAGTGGCAAGTAGGTGTGCCACACTTTGCTGACATTAATTGAGAGTTAAACTTTTTTCACTCTATTCTTCTAACTCCCCAGTAACTTCTGGAAAGAAACTGACATTTTTCTTCAATCCACCAGAGTCAAACTTAAGCACACCTTAGGTGCTCGATAGTAGGTCATTCATAAAATTGACCTAGCAAAATGACCTTCCCTTTAGCTAAATGGCAGAGATCATGATGCTATAATGGTAACAACAGAAGCCATAACAACAAAAAACACAATATGTTTGGTATCTATGGACAATGGTTGAATCTAAGACACATCACTTCTCTATCATGATGTATAACCTTACCTCCCCAGTAAGACCAAAGGAATTTAATGAAATAGCATTCTTCCCCATGGATGATATTATCTGTCTCTCTGTCTCTCTCTCTCTTTCTGCCCTTAATCGAAAATCACATTTGAATGCTGTGTCTTCTCATGCATCTTCAAGATTTATTCATGAGTCACAGCTGAATGCTCTATGAGTTGTATTTATGTGAACAAACACACATAAAAAAAAGAAAGAATCAGTTCCATTATCTAGATAGATGTGTGTTTGTCAGCATCTGAGAGAATATCCATCCTGGATGGTATAAGTATTCAGCCACTCTTTTAAAAACATCAGTCAGGCATTGTAAGACATATAACTACAGCATAAGCAATGACCTTTAGACATGTCTCCCTCCTATTATCTGCACACGGTGAAATAGAAACAAGTTGATATTGGAAATCTCTGTAGTATCAGTTTAGAAGCTATTTATTTCAAATGTATTCTGCTTGGTGCACCAACCATAATTTTATTAACAATAGCAATATATTGAGACATAATTCAAAGGAATTCTAACAGGTATTCATTCACTCCACCCACTCCCCCTATCCCCAACACATGTGCACATGCACAAAGACACACACACTTTTGACAAGAATCACAGGGCTCATTATTTTTACCTACCAGCAAAAAGCCTCATGTCATTTAAAATATGTATAACTTTTTAAATTAAATTTATAAAACCTTCTAGTGTACAGTATCTTCAAGGGGCATCGCTTTCACAGCAACATATTCTGCAAGCCTTGTAATCTTTCAAAGGACTCGGCCTCAGTGATTAATTGACTCTTCCCTTCTCTAAAGGACAAATAGCACTTAGAACAGAAAAGGAGCTTTATTTTGGCCAGACAGTTTCCCCAGGATTTTTTTTTAGATGTAGGTCACATTACATTGGCACTCCAGCCAAACTTACTTCCTGCTGCCGCTCCCATCAATATTGAATGACTCACTAGAAAAACTGGTGGCAGGAATGTTGTTAATGACACTTCATGAAAAAAAAAACCCATAAGACAACTTGAGGTGTGAATTTTGACAATTAATCAAGCTTATGCCAATTGGCGCTTTCCTATCATTTACCTTAAAAAAAAAAAAATCCATTGACCATAAAATAAAAGTGCTCTGCCTTCTTTACAACAGAAATCATGACACAATTTTCCCAGTAACTGTCTGAACATCTTACAAAGCATGTGTGTGAGTTGTCATCAATCCTTCCTAGGCTAAAAACATAATAGAGTCAAAATATGCTCAGTTTTCTATACCAGGCATAAGTCTACAAAATGATGATCTCGTTCCATCAACAATTAGCTTTCTGTTGCCACTGTAACAAATTACTACAAGCCTAGTCGCTTTAAGAAACGTGAATTTATTCTCTTATAGTTCTGGAGATCATGTGTCTGACAGGAATAAAACCAAATTATTAACAGAGCTGGTTCTTCCTGGAGGCTCTGAGGGGAGAATCCAAGTCTTTGCCTTTTTCAGCTTCTGGTGGCCTCCTATATTCATTAGTCTGTGATTCTTTCCTCTGTTTTCATAGCATACAATTCTAATCCCTATTTCTCTCATCGCATTGCTCACTTTTCTTCTGAAGACAAATCTCCCTCTGCCTCTTTTTTATATAGATAGTTTAGTTACATTTAGGGCCCACCTAAGTAATCCAGAATAGATATTGCCACCTCAAGATCCATAACTTAATCATGCTTGTGAAGTCCCTTTTGCCATATAAATTAACATTCATGGGTTCCAGGGATTAGGTCCTAGATATCTTAACAGACCATTATTTTCCCATCCACATCAACTAATTAAGTTGTTTGCCAAAATAAGAGGGAAATAAGATTGACTTCCTTTTTAAAATTAAGCCTTAATTCAGAAAGAGGATATCTAGAAGTCATAACTTGAAAAAAAGAATAAAAATCTAACCTGTAATATCAAGTTTAATACTTAGTATTATATTTGAAGCATAAAAATCTAACCTGTAATATCAAGTTTAGTACTTAGTATTATATTTGAAGCATAAAAATCTAACCTGTAATATCAAGTTTAGTACTTAGTATTATATTTGAAGCAGTTTATTGGAAATGAATAAGGATTAATATTATATCATTAAGAAACTGGAAGCAGAGGCTATGTACCAATCAGGGTTTTTGGTTGCAAGTAATAGAATCAAGCCTGAGCTAATTTAAGGAAAACAAGAAATTTGTTAATTTCTTGTTAATTAGTTAATCAATTTAATTAATCAGTGGGAGACTAGAGGGTTCAGCTATAACTTTGGGCAGCAATCAAGAAAGGCTGACCATAAGGAGGCATGACTTAGTTTACACAATAGGAACAGTTTGGTCTGTATGATTGTTCTGGACTTTTGATGGGGAAGCCCAAGGTGCAAAGCATGGCAATAAAGCCAAGATGCCTGGGGTTTCATCCAGGAACAAGTTTTACTAATAAATTTGAACAAATTGCTTAAAATCTCACTAGTTTCCTCATATGTAAAGTAGATAACATAAGAGTACTCAATGCATAAAGCTATGAGGATTAAGAGAGGTAATATTTATAAAAGTACTTACAACAAACACGTAGTGTTGAAAATAAATTGGAGAAATCAGGAAACTTTATTATTCTTGCAAACCAACTCATGAATGATTTATCAACTGTCCCTGAGTCTGCCTTGATGTCTTAAGATTCAAACTATGAACAAGATCATTTGAATCCATCCTTCCCTAGTTCTCAGAGGATGGAAACAAGGAAACTCTTTTATCTTTGTTTTCATAGGGAAAGCAAAACTGTATCTCACCCATTGAGCAGTGTCCCTCTAATAGGAAGACTATTTGGGCACCGAATTGAAGATAAAGAAAAGACAAATGTCTCTATAGCCCATGTTGACAGGTACAAGGCAAAATTGACTTTAGAATAGGAGAAGTCAATTAAAAGTAATCCACAGCCAACAGAAAAATACAATGGCCACTTGGCCATTTCCCCACTGTTTCCCTTTCCTTCACTGGCCTTTGTTCATTTCCTTAATCCTTGTTTATCTAATTTTTCTGATAGAAGTTTAATTTTCAATTGTGTTTCTTGGTATGCATTATAAAAAGTTTAAAAAACATCAAAAAAATACGAATCTAGTTTGTGTGTCTATTTATTGTACATGTATATTGGATGTCTGTAATTTGGATAGATTTCTTAAATGGGTGCATTTCACATTTGAAGATAAAGCACATGGTAGGGGGTTTGGAGAACAGGCTTTTTATATTGATAATAATCAAATAAAATTCTACATTCATCTGAAATGATTTTATTAAAATGTTTAAATTCAATCAGAAGCAAATCTAAAATAAAAATGGCATCTAATTCTGGATGGTGAAAGCACAGGTATTAATTATATTTTTCTAGTTTATTAATCTTTTGATTTCTCAAAAATATTTATACCATGTTAAGGCATAACAAAATAGAAAGAAAAAAAGGCCACTGAATGTATTTTAAAAGCTTGAACATTTAGTAACATGTTCAAACTCACAACGTGGAGAGAAGGAAAAAGTCTTTCTAGTTGTAAGAAACAAAATTTAATAAAAAGTGCATTAAATTAATTGTATTCGGTCCAATGAAAACAGAAAAGTCATATGAATATGAAAAAGACCACACAGCATGGAAGAGGGAAAAGGTTTGAATAATAATTACTCCAGTCTGACTTGAAACAGCTCTTTGTTTCACTCTAAGACAAAGGCCAAAGGCTTAAAAGAGAAGTAGACTTTTCCTAACATGTTGAGGTAAAAAAAAAACTCCTGTTTGTGAATACAGTGAGAATTGACCTGGTCAATCTCTGACAAAAGCAGACCAGGAACAGGAACAAGACAAAAAAGAATCACAACTCATTAAAAATTCTTACACAAAGATCATAGACAGCTTAAAACTTGACGACATCTCAAAGGGGTTAATCCTACCTGGTTAGAAATGAGAAAACTAAGGCCCAAAGAAAGTGGTGACAAGAATTACATAACCAGCGCTTGGCAGCCTAAAAGTGGAACCTAGATCTTCTGACCCCCTGACAAATGAATATCCATCCCCTTAACATGTCATACAAAGGGCTTTGACATCCAGCTCCTGCCTGCCTTCCAGTGCTGACCTCCCACAATGCATCCCATGCTCAAGTTTGGATCCTCTGGTACTGCAGCAACTCTCATTTCTCTATACCTTTGCACAGAATTTCCCTGTGCTGTGTAAAGAAGGTCAATGAGCTCTTTTTATCATTCAAGTCTGACCCCTTCCTTTGATCTTCCCAACTTCCAGCCCAAGCTGAATACCTCACTTTTTGTTCTCATAATAACCAGTACCTCCCTTTGTCATAGCCTTTATCATTTGTTTTGTCCTCTCTCCCACTAGACTGTGACCACCTAGAAAAAAGAGAATACATTTCTGTACACCTGTTAAATTAAGAGATTTGTTGCCAAAGTCCTTTGCATTGTGTGTCTAGGTACCCTCCCAGGCCCTCCTAGAGAGGGAAGAGGGGAAAAGGCATAATCAGGAAAATGATTCCCCAGGAGTTCTCAGCTTTG
The DNA here is from genome assembly GCF_000001405.40 of Homo sapiens. NCBI lineage: Eukaryota > Metazoa > Chordata > Mammalia > Primates > Hominidae > Homo > Homo sapiens. Next base: position 52,118,208 of record NC_000016.10, read on the forward strand.
ACATTATGTCACTATTAATCCCATCCTTGAGAAGACTGAAGTTCAGCAGAGAAGTGACTGAGAACCTAGATGTACAGAAACTTGAAATAACAGCATAGAAAGAGAAGTGAAGAAGTGAGCCAGTTTTGGCTCAAAGGCAGTAAGGACTCCCCTTTGCAAACAAAAGGTGAGATATCCCTAAAAGGTCATATTCCTACTATAGACACCTGCATTCCTAGCAACAAGAGAGCCCCTCAACCTCCAAAGGCCCTGAGACTCTGAGGCCCCCAGTATAGGAAGCTGCCTGGTGTCCACACAACTACTTTGCCCCTTAGAGGAAGTTCGCACTGGGTTCCCCTCACTCCCTGGGGTCCATGCTGCTGCAGCATGACATCATTTTGAGAGAAGAGCCAACACCAGACTACATCCTGCCCTGGGGCCCAATAATCCCTGTATCACCAAATCACTGGGGCCTCATCAGCATCTCCCCAGGTGACACCAGCTGAACCCAGGGAAGCAGCTACATCCCTGACACTTGAGCCCACACAGCACCCTCCACCCACGGAACAGGCAGTTCTGCACATTAAAGAGGCTGCTCCCAGGATAAATGGAGCCAAAGTGGGCACTCCCTGAAGCCTGAAAGAAGTCTACCAGGGATGTTGCCACTGACAGTGACCCTCTCCTCTCCAATTGTGGGGCCACCATGCACTCAGGTGTGCTGCCCAACACCCAAAACCTAGCTTGCTTCAGCCACTATGGCTACCACAGTCTGAGTGTGCCTTCTGGAGGCCTGAGAACTGGCTCTTAAAGGGCTGCTGCTACCACCACTGAGTCCTGTGCATGCCACCCAAGGGTCTGAGAAGCTGCCCACCCAGGGAAGACTACCACCACAGCTGGTGCCCTCGTGTACCACCTAGGGGTTAGAGGACCAGCCCACCTGGGGCCCCAGTCCCCAGCAGAGTCTCACCATAGCCTCCACAAATGACCACAGCCTAAGCTATTGAGGAATTTATAGACATCGCCAACACTGATTACAGCCAAAGAAATTATATGGAGACTGCACTACAATGCTCACCCAGAACTAAAGCCAAAGTACCCTACCCAACAGATACTATGATATATCTATAGTAAAATGTCTTTCCCAACAAAAGCTACTCCATAAAATTGGAAGAAATAACCTTTACACCAAAGATGTAGATATTAATGCAAGACCAAAAGAAATATGAAAAAGCAATGAAACACAATAACTCTCCAGTAAAAGACTTCAAAGAAAAGAAAAATCTATTAAAAGCCTGAAAAGAAATACAAAATGATGATCTTAAAGAAACTCAGTGAGATATAAGAGAACACAGTAGACAATACAAAGAAATAAGAAAACAATTCATAATGTGAATGATAAATTCAACAAAGAGATAGATATAAAAAAGAATAAAATAGAAATACTGACAATAAAGAATTCAGTCAATAAAATAAATAATAAAATCAAGAGCTTAAACAATAGACTAGAGCAAGAAGAAGAAAGAATTTCTAAACTTAAAGATGATCTTTTGAAATAACCTAGTCAGATAAAAAAGAGGAAAGAAAAAGAAAGAATGAAAAAGAATGAAGAAAGCCTACATAACATATGGGCCACTATCAAGAAAACATATGTTGAAATGTTGAGAATTTCAGAAGGGAAAAGATTGGAAAAGGCCTAGAAAAATTATTTAATAAAATGATAGCTAAAAACTTCCCATGTCTTAGAAGAGAAGTAGACATTTAGATACAGGAAGCTCAGCTATTCCAAATACATTTCACTGAAAAAGTTCCTCTCTGAGGCACATTGTAGTCAAACTGCCAAAAGTCAAAAAAAAAAAAAAAAAAGAATTATAAAAACAGCAAGAGAAAAGCATCAGGTCATATATAAGAAAATTCCCATCAGACTAATAGCAGATTTCTCAGCAGAAACTTGAGAGGCCAGGAGAGAATGAAATGATATATTCAAAGTGCTGAAGAAAAAAAAAAAAGGCAGCCAAGAGTACTATACCCAGCAAAACTATCCTTCAAAAGTGAAGGAGAAAGAAAATATTTCCCAGACAAGCAAAAACTGAAGGATTTGTCACCACTAGACAAGTCCTACAAGAACTGCTTAACAGAGTCCTAGATCTGGAAGTAAAAAGATAATATTTAACATCATAAAAACACACGAACATGTAAAGCTCACTGGCAGAGTAGAAACACAAATAACAAAGAGAGAGGAATGAAATATTATCACTACAGAAATCCAAATCAAGAAGATAAACAGTAAGAGAGGAAGAAAAGAACAAAGGACATATGAAACAATCAGAAATCAACAAGATAATAGGAGTACATCTTCACCTATCAAAAGCAACCTTGAATGTAAACAGTTTAAATTCTCCAATTAAAAAATACTGATTGGTTTAGTCAATTTTACAAAAAAAATACCCAAATATAAGCTGCCTAGAAAAAAAATCACTTCACCTGTAAAGACAAACATAGACTGAAAAGTGAAGAGATAGAAAAAGGTATTTCATGCAAAGAAAAATAAAAAGTGTACAGGAATAGCTATACTTTTATCTGACAAAATAGACTTTAAGACGAAAACATAAAAAGAGGCAAAGAAGGCCATTATATAATGATAAAGAGTTCAGTTCAGCAAGAGAACATAACAATTATACATTTATGTGCACTCAACACTGGAGCACCTAGATATATAAAACAAATATTGTTACAGCTAAAGAGAAAAATTAATTCCAAGACAATAATAGTAGGGGACTTTAATATATCGCTTTCAGCACTGGAAAGATCATCCAAACAGAAATAACAAAGAAATATCATATTTAAACTGCACTATAGACCAAATGAACTTAACTTTATAGAACATTTCATCCAAAGCTATAGAATATACATTATTCCCCTCAACAAATGGAATATTCTCCAGGATAGACCATATGTTAAGCCAGAAAATAAAGCTCAAAAAATATTAAAAGTATTAAAAAATTAAAATTACATCAAGTATCTTCTCAGACCATTATAGAAAAAAACTAGAAATCAATAATGAGAGAAACTCTGGAAGCTGTACAAATTAAAGCTATAGAAATTAAATAGCATACTTCTGAACACTTGAGTCAATGAAGAAATTAAGGCAAAGTTTAAAAAATGACTTGAAATAAATGAAAATGGAAACACAATACACCAAAACCCACTGGATATAAAAAAGCAGTAATAAAAGAGAAGTTAATAGCAATAAATGCCTATGTCAGAAAAGTAGTAAGATTTCAAATAAAAAACCTAACAATGCACCTTGAGAAACTAGGAAATCAAGAACAAATCAAACCCCAAATTAGCAGAAGAAAAGAAAATAGAGATCAGAGCAGAACTAAACAAAACTATAAAATATAAAAGAGCAAGAAAACAAAAAATTGTTTTTTGAAAAGATAAACATAATTAACAAATCATTAGCTGGACTAAGAAAATAAAAAGATGACTCAAATAAATAAAATCAGAAACCAAAAAGGAGACATTGAGCCTGATGCCAAAGAACTACAAAGGATCTTAGATATTGTTATGAACAACTATACACAAACAAATTAGAAATTCTAAAGGAAATTGATGATTTTCTTGATACATACAACCTAGCAATACTGAGCCAGTAAGAAATAGAAAACCTTAACATACCAATAATGAATAACCAGATTGAATTCGTAATAAAAAGTCTCCCAACAAAGAAAAAACCAGAACTGGATAGCTTCACTGCAAAATGGGATGATATATTCAATGTGCTATATAGAATTTAGCAATTCTTCTCAACTCTTTCTAAAAATTGAAGAGGAGGAAATTTTTCCTAATTCTATGAGGGCAGGAACCACATTTGCCCTTACCTGTGCCTTTCAAGCCTTTTATACAAAAGTATGTAATAAATGCTTGTAGATGATAATCCTGTTACTAAAACAACATTTCATAGCAAGACTGCTATTGTTAGTAACAGGTTAAAAGATGATAAGGAATCAAAAGTCTGTGCGTATATGTTGTGTGTGTGTGTGTGTGTGTGTGTGTGTGTGCGCGCATATATGTGTAATCAAAGAAAGGTAACTCCTTGCTGGAAATCTAATGTGGCACCAGGCTAGCTAGCATTGTAGATGGGCCTCGAAGAGATACTGGTCAAGAAAGTTGGTAGAATAGAGGAATGGAACGAAGCCAGAAACGTTGTCTTGTGTTTTATGAATTTGTAAATCTCATATGGTAGAGACCTTCTCTTGTACCCATTGCCTTTCCTGCCATCTCTGTTTGGGTCATTGTTGATCATAAATCATGTAGCTTTATGTCCACGTTGCCTTGATTCTTTGACTGGTATCCATGCTGAACAGAAGACATGGGCTGACAAAAAATAGACTTTTGCCCTCCTGGGGCCCTGTGTAAACTGCCTTTGCATCAGGGCCACTGAGGCTGCCAGCTGCCTGTCTTTTTCAGTGCTCAGTAGTGTTGACTTTTCTAGACAGGGAGAAGGGAAAAGACAGGCGCAGATGACATAAAATTGTTCTATGATCAAGTTAAAAAGAATCTGGGACAGTAAAATTTCTGTATTGCAGGACCTCTCAGAGACTTTAGTATGAAAATAATGACTCCAAGAAGGGCACATAATTTGTAGAGTGTCCCACAATTAACTGATCCCACAACAATATTTTAATTGGGCTATCTTGTAGCAGTAGCATTCTATGACACACACTTTGAAGAATGCTGTATTAGTTAAATAAAAACCTACCAATGTAAAACAAGCTTATTGGGTTAACAGAATATGGAACGACAGGAAAGAGGTTCTCATCTACCATTAAAGTTTATTTTTTTTTAAACACACTTGTATTGCATGATATACCAGCTGGAAAATACTGTAGTAGACTACAGCTATCCCCCATGGAATCATTTTATCTGATAACATCTCTGTTGATTTCTGCTCCAGTGTTTCTCCCTTTGAGAAGTTCCACATACTCTGGTCTAATTGAGAATCTGATTGCTAGCCAATTTAGGATTCTCAGGCTCTGCTAGAAACAGCACTGACGGCTCAGTTCCTGGAACAAACTAAGCCCTCAATATGTGTTATTATCAGTGACTAAATGATTGGTGGATTGTGCAATAGCTTTCCACATGCATGTCCTGATCAGACTTTTTAGGTAACAATCCTGTTTATTGAGTTTAACTGGTCCCTCACTCTTCCTCATTTTTAAAAGAAAAATCACTGGTGTTTTCTTACACAAATAGTGCATTAAGGATTCTATTGAGAAGAAAACAAAAAGACTCAGAAAACTCAACTTTGATCCTTGATTTTGCTCCTGGAAACTAAACTGCAACTGACCAGCTAAACTGAATGCTCAGATCATCAGCCCAAATTCCCCAGAGATCACTGGCACCTTTACATGGCACCCAGAGCCAAACTGCTCTACAGTGCTGCCCAATGGAGGTGTAGTATTAAGCAGTCTGTGGTGGCAGGTGCTTGGAAACCACACAGTTCCCCATAAACATCAGCAACGTGAGGCAGAAAAAAAAATTGACTGTTGCAAAATCAATCACAAAGTGCTTATTAAGTAATGTAGCCTGAAAAAATGTAAATCTTACATAGTCTTTGAGCTTGGAATTTTATGTGAAATTGTGCCATCCATTACTTGCTTATAGTGTGTGTTTTCTATGGACAATTGTGTTCACACCTATTGAGGTTTAGTCACCTTTATAGTGTTATTTGAATTTATTTAAAACTATTTTTACTATGGAAATTTCTAGATAAAGTTTAGAGTGATTTTCTTATCTGATTAAGAAAGAATATACAAATATGATAGAGTGTTTGGCTGCAAATCTTGCATAATGGCAAAAACAAATACCGCTCTGAAGGAACAGAGATAAAGGAAAATGGAAAACAAACTTCAAAATGTGTCACAAGGAAAAAATTCCTACCAAGAAATATGCTCTTTTCTAAACTTCATATTTATAACTTGGGAAACACATTTTATTTCAAGCAGAAGCAATATAACAAATGCATTTTACAAGGTAACACATAAACTTATACACAACAACTTTTAAACTTTATGGGAGCAGTTCCAGAAGCCTGGTGTAAAGATGATATCTGGCAAAGTAAAGGCTTGGGGAGGTATTAATTGGCCCCTATGGGTCCTTCTTCTGGGGAAAATAGAAACTGGGAACTAAGACAAGAGTCTTCCCCAGGTTCATTGCATGGTTTCTGATTCTGAGTATTAGTGGCCAGTCTCATTCTTACATCTTTATAAAAGGTTTAGTAAATTTTTCCTATCATCAAGCAATGGCATCAATGCCTATCCACATATACCCACATCAGTCTAGCATTCAAAACCCTTCAGAATTTAGTCTCACCCTGACTAACCAATCTCAGCTTCTTATCATTCCTTCTTTCCACAGTTTCAAACCTCCCTTCCAAAGAATCTACTCATTACCTCCAATCACAGGCCAGCATAATTTGAACAACTCTCTTTGTTAATATTTTTTAATGCTGGGAACAGAAAACCCAACAAAGAAAGGCCTTAGTTGTGTCATATAAGTGACAAGTTCAAATATGGCTTGATCCAGTGATCTCTGAAACTATTTTCTCTGAATCTCTTGACTATATCCTACTCTATGCTTTGGCACCAGTATAAATATGGCTTCTCTAATGCAGCAGTTTCTTGGCTCCACATCTGCATATGAAACTGATCAGGGAAAGACTTTTATCCTACCATTTAAGTAAAAGCCCTAGCCCAAATTAATCACCAAGACCTGGGGGATGGAATGACTTAGCCTAGACCAAAGGATCTACTTCCAGAACTAGGGGTGGAATCAGGTTTTCCAGAGCCATGTGGGTCCCCAAACAAATGCTGGGGTGTGTTGGGAAGGCATAAGGTGAAACGTTGTGGAGGGAAAATGGCATAAGCCTGTCATAACAGCATTCTCCTCCACTTTGCACTTTCCCTCCACTCCTCTTGACAGTCAAATTTCTATTCATCCATCCTTTGAGGCTCAACTCATATACCACCTCTTCACAAAGCCTTTCCCCACACTTCTGGCTCTTTTCCTCCATACACCCTTATCATACTTATGGTCCATGCTGTACCATCCAGAGGACTACTTTATACACATACTTAACTGAGTTTCTGTTATTTATGGATACAATATTTTATTCCCCTACGTTTTTGAGGCACTTTGAAGACATAGGTCTTATATTTTACTTTCTGTAACCACCATAAATCCTAGTAAAATATTGAGAACAAGAAGACTCACAAAAAAATATGAGTTGACAAACAAAGCCTTCCAAACAGACATATCAGTCATCAAGGTCAACTTTGATCATGTTGCCACATTGCTCAAAATTCTACGGCTTCTCATTGTCTATTGGATAAACTCTATGATCCACAGCATAGGAAATTTGGCAAGACAGTATTTTTGAAAGCATAACTCTATTTGTTTTGCTGGTTTTTCATGTTCCCCTCCCCATCATCTATCCCCACTCTCATTAAGGCAGCTAAGACACTTCCATACATTGTGCTAGGAAAGGGAAGTGACATTAGGAAGAGAACAGAGGCAAGAAAGGCAATATTCATTGTTTTGTCTTCCAAAGGCATAATCCTTAGAAAATTTTAGAACATACTAAAAGGCATTTAAAAATATTTGGAAGAAACATTATGAAGGATAGCAAGGATTTTTTTTTTCCACCTTCAATAGTCAAAGATTTCCCTGGGTGAAAGACAGAGCTTAGACAGAAAGGGAAAAGATGAGAGAAGAGAGATCAGCAGAGTCTGGAGGAAGAAGGTCAACATATAGGGCCATAGAAACATGGAACATTTCAGCAGCGGACCCTGCCAGGAACATCCACTGTGGGAGTTAAGTGTGCAGCTCAGATGATCCCCAATGTCAGCCCAGTCATCACTGCTCAGTCCAGAACTTCTGCCTCCGAAGCTCTTCCTGTCTTGCTCACCCCAACTTCTGGGGAGGACTTGCCCTTGCCAGTCGCCAGTTGTTTCTGCCTGAGGGACTTCTCAGATCTAAGATTTTGTTGAGTCTCTTTCCCCATGTACACAACTCCATGAGGACAGCCCTCCTTATAGTGTCAAAGGGTGAAATCTGGGCATCTGAGGGGTGATATTGATGGTAAAGGTAAAGCCCCCTGGCCCCATAACATTTACCTTGGAAAATAATGGGGTAAATGAGGGGGGATGGCAGTTTTTCCCAGTACCATGGTTCAACCAAAACAAACCAACAAAATCTAACGTGTTGTCATCATACTTGCTGCTGTTGTTTGCAAGTTCCCTCATGCATTGGACCCTGTCTGTTTCATTAACCTTCCTCTCTCACTATCCCCTCCCCAGTGGCAAAACTGGGCCAAACAGTTGATATAAGATTGGGTATTTTTCCTCCCAATATCCTTTCTCTATTTAGCCCAATTTTTCCTATGGTGGAGATATGAAAGTATGAATAAGAAGATATTCCATACCTTCTTTTTTTTTTTTGGAGATGGGGTCTTCCTCTGTCCCCCAAGCTGAAGTGCAGTGGCATGTTCATGGCTCACTGCAGGCTTGACCTCCCAAGCTCAAGCTATCCTCCCACCTCAGGCTCCCAAGTAGCTAGGACTACAGGTGTGCACCACCACACCCAGCTAATTTTTGTATTTTTTGGTAAAGACAAGGTTTCACCATGTTCCCCAGGCTGGTCTCGAACTCCTGAGCTCATGCGATCTGCCTGCCTCACTCTCCAGAGGTGCTGGGATTACAGGCATGAGCCACCACACCTCACCGTATTCCATACCTTTGCCTGCATTGAGCACCACATTTATTCATTCTATTCCATTTAACACTGTATTGGACTTGCCCCCTAATATGTACTTGCCATGTTGCTAAGTATCAGGAATAAAAAGATTGGTGAGACCTGATCTTTCTCTTCAGGAATGTCACAGGCAAGAGATACATCAACAGATGTATAAGTAATTACACTGAAATGTATTAAGTGCTGAAATGAGGCTCTTTATTTGGTGTTAAGGAATTCCAATAGAGGAAGTAAGTAACTGCAGTGGAGATGGTCTTTCTCCATGGTAAAAGGCATCATAAGAAACCCACCGAAGCTCACCAGCCACATAGTGAAGCCTGTGGAGCTTCACTGAGCCATAGGCCTAGGAGACACTCTCAGAGATCACTGAGTTCAACCTTCCAGGGATCTGGAAGATCTAATTTCAGCACCCAGCATGGGAGAGAGGATAAGAAATTCACCATTCTAATTTCTTCTCAATATCCTGAAAAGAAAGAGAAAGAGCTAGAGCAAATTTAGCCCCAGTGTACTTGGGAAAATAAGACAAAGATGGTTTGGCTTTGTAATGAAGTTTTATATTTAAGAAAAAGACAATAAATTATTTAACTTTGACTTCAAACTTCAATTCTACCTCTCTATCTCCTTAGTGCTGAGCTGACAGCTTTCCTTTTGAAATCCAAATTGTATTGAAGGCAGCCTGAACTAACTGCAGAATGGCCAGGTACCGGACTGTTTTGACACCAAGCAAGGTGTCACATATACCATACATAGCACACCCACTTTATATTTAAGACAAACTCAACCAAACACAACTTGTTTTTTCTTTCATGTTTCAAAAGATTCCCCAGGACATATCCCAGATTGAAGATAATCATGATTCCATACATCAGTTTCCCCTCTTTTCAGTTAATAAAATTCTGGGGGAAAATTACATTTCTCTTTTCCTTATTTCAAGAGCAAGTTTCCTCTAGAATGATTAAAATAATAGTATCAACTGAGCTTAACAAGTAAATCGAAGCTCTTTGGAAGGTACAGTCTTCCTACTGCTAGCTGAGTCAAAATTAAATATAGGAACCCTGGACAAGGGAAGTTGCAAAGATGAAGGAGAGGGGATGGGGATATGGAGATGGCCAGGGAAGTTCCATGCTTTGCTCTATTGCATCCAAGCCAACTCTGTGAAATAGGATATAAGGAGACTGAGGTTAAGCACGAAGTCATGCCAGAACAAGTGGCCAGCAAATGGAGGTGGTAAATGTAGAACCATAATCGCTTTGCCTCACTCCCCTGAAACAGCCTTCCTCAACTAAGCCTTGTACTGCGTCTGTGTATCTCGACAGAAGCCATTTATTTCCCCAGAAGTCTTATAAACAAAAGGCACTTTTTGAAGCAGAAGAAAAAGTCACAGCTGTGAGCCTCATTTTCTGATTCCTTTTAACACCATCCTGTTTTTAGCATCCTTGTATTTTGCCCTCTGGTAAGTAGGGGGCTGATAGAGAGATCTGTGAGTGAAGATGGCGATTTACAAACCATCCTACTGGGTGCCTAATAAAATGCAAATAGAGATGTGGGGAGAAGAGACATTCTCTGTCCTCCTCTTCACAAATAAAGTGTTACAGTGCCACTTGCAGGGATCAGGAGCCTCATGCTGGGGCTGCATCTGCTCTTTCTGACGGCTCCCCAAAGATAACGGCTTCTTCTTTTTTGCAAGCCAGCAAGCTGTTCTTGGAGAGTACAAAGAGAAACCTGCTGCAGGAAAAAAAAAAAAAAGTTTCTCTAACAAGTGAGAAGAGATTCAAAAGCTTCTGCAAAAATCCAAAGTGAAAATCTGTGATAGCAAAACCCAAGCTCATGTTTTCAATAAAGGTCTTTTCAATTAGGAAGGGGAAGGATTTTAGATTCATTTGACACCTGGGCCGAGTGTGCAGATGTCAGTAAAATGATTAGCCTGAAGATGGTGGAGAAGGGAAGACTGCACACCCCAGAGAAAATGGGCAGCCATTGCTCAGCTCCAGCCAATTGACGCCCTAAGGAAATGTTTTTAAAGAGATACTAGAATTCTGGATTTTATGTGAAATCTCAACTTTCAAAATAGTTATGATTATTTCTTTGCCAGCCAAGCTAAATGGGGTTCCTGAGCTATCCATTTCAACTTTCAGGTTGGAAAAAACTGTAACCACCTTAAGCATCTGAACTTAGTTTACAAAGAAGGAAGTACTTGAAAAGAAGCAGAAGACCCCAAAGAATGATAAAGAAGATACCTGGAACTGTAGCATTGTGGAATCCTGGGCCGTGAAGCCCTTGAGGATAGGAGGGAGATAATAGCAAAGCTCATTTGCAGTCATGGAATCATCATTATATCCCATCCTAACTACCACCTTATGGAGTAGGTACAGAATCATTACAGTGTTACAGATGAGGAAATTGAGGAGCAGAATGATATAGCTAGTAAGTGATGAGGAAAGGGCCTAGGCATCCCTTCCAATGGGGTCTAACTGAAACATATCAGAGTTCCAAAAATGTCATTTCATAAACAATGAATAAATACTGAGCAGATACCAGTACTTCAGGAAGGGAAGGAGAGAAAGGAAGGAAAGGAGAAAGAGAGAGACCTACTATCTTTAAAAGTTTGCATAAGCAATCTCTTGCCTATCATTTTACTAATATTAATGTTTAGATAATATTAACCATTTTCATGAATTCTAACAGCAGGCCTTACTTTGCAATATCAAAGCTAAATTTTATTATAAATATTTACCCCTCTTTGGTTTTCAACCTTATTACTCAGCAGATAAAAACCCAAATTAAAATTTTAAACTTATTTGTGGTGACACAAATAACCAAATAATAGAATACTTATTCATTCTTTTAAGCGAAACTGATTCATCTCCTTCCAGATCCCTCCAGCATGTTTTGTTTGTGTCAGACTTTGACGCTTAAATTTGTTTCTTGTCTTCAGATCACTTCCCCCAGCTTGAATATAAACTTTTGGAAAAATAACTAGAGGCTTTGGAAGAGAGGACCAGGATAAAGAAGACATGAGCCATTCCTTATGTGGTCTCCAGGTCGAGGGACTGGGGCTGCTTACCAAGGAGACTTGGTAAGGAATGCTTGAGTGCAAGGTAAAGACACACATAGATATTTTCAAATACTCAAGGATAGGTTCAACTAAAAGAGAGGTTAGAAATGACTCATGACCTATTGGGTAGCACTACTACCAGTGGGCAAAGTTGCCAAGAGACAGTTTTCAATTCAACATATAAAGGACTCGAGAAAGGGCAGGCTTATAAGAAATGCTACTGGCTCCATGAAGCTGGGGCTAGATACCATTTCTAGTGCTAGAAGTTTCCAGCCAAGACTTGGAAGGTCTGTGAAATAAAAGACTCTAGCTCAGTATGTTAGACAATAAGGCAATAGGCAATTCAAAATATTTATTATCTATTTCAGAAAATTGTTAAATTTTTATTATAAAATAAGTAAATATATGTATGGTTTAAAGACAGATAACAAAAGAACCATCATGTACCAACTACCCTGCTGAAGAAATAAAATGTTGCCAGTGCCTTAGAGGCTTTTTATATGCTCCTTTTAATCATATCTCCTTTCTCTCTCCCAAAGGCAATGGATATCCTGAATTTTGGATTTATCCATTGCTCTTCTTAAAGTTTTTCCATATATGTTTTTCATCCTAAAAATATATAGTTTAATTGTGTCTCACTTTGAACCTCCTATAAATGAATTTCATAAAAATAGCACGTATTCTTCTGTCTTGCTTTTTTTTTACACCAAACATGATATTTTAGATATTCACCATGCTGACATGTATGTATACGGTTTAGTTAATTTCATTTTCATTGAACAACTGCAGCACAATTTATTCATCCTTTCTACTGATGATGAGCATATGTTTCATTTCTGGATTTTTAATACTATGGATTATACTGCTCTGAACATTCTTGCACATGTGCACGTGTGCAAAAGTTTTTCTAGGAGTCATACTTAGGAGAATATAAATGGCTGGTGTGATGGTTAATTTTACGTGTCAACTTGACCCAGACTGAAACATCAGCTCTTCTTGTGTCTCAAGCCTGCCGGCTTTTGGACTGAAAATTACAGCATTGACTCTTCTGGTTCATCATGTTTTGGTAAACATCTGCTAAGGTCAGGGGTCATGTTAGGTGCTGTGGAACACAACAGAGGCAAGGAGGTCCCAACACTGGTGGGGACCACTTTGATGTCACTCACCTTCAATTTCCCATCCTTTCTATGGCACTTTTCCTGACTGTCCTATCCTATATGAGCTTTTCCTTCTCATGTTCCTAAAACAATCATGCTGTTGCCCACTGCCTTTAGCTCACAATGACAGATTATCTGATGTTAGTCTCTGGACAAACATCATTTTTCAGATGCCTAACTCTCCCCTAGCAACCAGCAAAGTATGAGAAGTATGAGGTAGAAGTTTGAATAGGAATTTTGGAAATCATTGAATTTCATATTTTCACTTTAAGGAATGGGGACAGCTCTGACTCATATTGCACTCTGAGAAGAAAAAAATCAATGTTTTGTGCAAGTAAAATAAGGCAATTGCCATTCTAGCTATAAGAGCACAGGAGGCATCAATGGGCTTTCTGCCTGTTTGCTGACCAGTTTGCAAATTATTTGTAGCCACACTGATATCCTCAGTTAGTTGCCCTGTCCCTGGCCTGTGGCCTTCTGCTTGGCTGCTACATGGGTGGTTTCCAGAAAATGCCAACTAATTTAAACATCAGCTTGGGGCAAAATATAATTAGGAAGATAAGTCTGTTGCAAAACTACCACATAAAATCTACTCAAATCAAATAACAATAACACTATCATCTATTGTTTTAGGTCATCCGTGACTCTGTTCACCTCAAAAATAATAAATAGACATAATTTTTTGTAAGAAATAACATTTTTATAAGAATAAGTAATTTCCCATGTATATTTTAAAATACCATAACCTAAACCTACCATATGTATTAGTTCATTTTCGTGCTGCTAATAAAGACATACCCAAGACTGGGTAATGTATAAAGAGAAAGAGGTTTAATGGACTCACAGTTTCACATAGTTGGGGAGGCCTCACAATCATGGTGGAAGGCGAAAGACACATCTTACATCACAGCAAGCAAGAGAGAGAATGAGAGCCAAGCAAAAGGAGTTTCCTCTTGAAAAACCATCAGATCTCATGAGACTTATTCACTACCACAAGAACAGTATGGGGGAAACCGCCCCCATGATTCAATTATCTCCCATGGGTTTTCTCCCACAACATGTGGGAATTCTGGGAGCTACAATTCAAGATGAGATTTGGTTGGGGACACAGCCAAACCATATCACCATATGACCCAACAATCTCATTCCTGGGTATTCACCTAAGTGAAATGAAAACTCAACATTCACACAAAGACCTGTACACAAATGTTTATAGTGGCATTTTTCACAATAACCCCAAACTGAAAATAAATGTCCTTCAACTGATTAATGGAAACAAACTGTGGTATACCCCTACAATGGAATTGCCACACAGCAATAAAAAGGAATAAACTCATAATTCCTGTTTCAACATAGATAAAATTCAAATGCACTATACCAAGTGAAAGAAGCCAGACACACAAAGCTATACACTTTATGTTCTCATCTGTATGACACTCAGGAAAAGGCAAAATTACAGGGACAGAAAACATATCAATGGGTACCCAGGGCTGGGGTTTGGAGAGGGGTTAATTATAAAGAAACAAGAGGAGGCATTTGGGGCTGATGAGACCATTCTATTTCTTAATTTTGGTGGTATGAAGCTGTAAGTGTTTTTCAAAGCTAATAGAAATGGACCTTGAAACGGATGGCTTCTACCATATGTAAATTATACCCCAGTAAACTCAACTAAAAACGAGTTTAGCACTCCCTCAATCTCAGTTGTTCCTTCCTTCCACAGAGTCCCTGTATAACAGCCCAGAGCAAGGAGCCGTCCTTGCAGTTGTATTGATAAATGCTCTTTAGAGTCATGATGGTGCAAACTCTGCTACCTCCAATTTGCAGTTATGTCACTAGAGGTTTTCAAGTTACTTGCAAAGGTTCATCATCAAGACTTTATGAGAAATAATCTAGATAGAGCTTCATTTTTAACGTACTTTCATTTTAGTAACTTGAAAAAAATTGAATTCAGGGTTTTTCATTTGCATCAGGCATTGAGATTGATAAAGTAGTTTAAATTAGCAGAAGAATTGCACACCTGTGCCACATTTTCATATCAACCACCTCAAAGACTGAGTCAGGCAAGAATTAAATCCAAAAATGATCTCTCGTTTCATCATGCACATTGGTACGAAGGAAACATACCACACTAAAGAAAACAGAAAATAAAAATAAAAATAAAATCAAAGAGGCTGCATTTATGGTTCTCTACTTACATTTGATTATGCAGCAACTCCCAGAACACAAATGTATGTCAAATTAGTGATGAATATATATCAAAACCAATCCTAATTTTCCCCTTTTGTCTAGCCAATGAAATGATAGGCCATTTCAGGCATTCAGCTGTGTCTTCCATCTTCTGTATATCGGAACTTTGTAGATGAAACTTTACCCAACAAACAGTCATGAGCATCTAGGAGGGGCCAGGACCTGTGCTAGGAACAGCACAACACATAAAGGTGAAGAAAACTGTGGGCTGTACCCTGAATGAAATTGAAATTTGGCAGAAAAAACAGGTATGGGCACAACTATATGTAACACAAGCAAGATTCAATTGATGTTCTAATAATATGAGGTCCCAAAGGATGGATAGACTAACTTTAACAGAGGAACTGGGAAGGCATCACGAAGGTGGTGGCATTTGACTTGGGTAGGGTTTCAACAAACAAGGATGGAGAAGCAGTCTTCCTCTGTGAGTGGGAGACACTGAACAGCAAGGAGTGGCAAATAACTGGAGAATGAATGAGGTAAGTGGATGGATAGAAGGTAAGACAGAATCCTGTAAAGATTGTGAAGACATGAATTCCAGAACAAGGGTGTGGAGTGAAGGATCAGAGACTAGGTTTATGAACTAAGAAGCAGCAATCATTTTTGGAGGCAAAACCAGGGAGTAATTAAAAGTCACTGCTAAAGAGCCAGGCAATCCTTGAGCTGAGTCCCATGCCTGCTGTCTCAGAACTCAGACTGTCTTGCATGCAATAGATGTCTATAAAACATATATTCTTCTCCCTTCCTTGCTAATAGAATGTGATTTGGTTTGGGCAGCTGTTTGTCCAACTTTAGGATATGAATTACTAATGGTCTAAGACAACAGTTTTCAAAGTGTGATCCACGGACCCTTGGGGGTCCCTGAGATCCTTTCAGGAAGTCTGCAAGAAATAAACTATTTTCATAAGAATGCTAATGCATTATTTATTCTTTTCACTGTGATGCAAAAGCAATGATGGGCAAAACTGCTTGGGCCTTAAGAATAAATCAAGGCAGGGCCACCAAACTGCATCAATAGCCATGTTGTGATGTTCATCACCATTGCAAAAAAAAAAAAAAAAAAAAAAAAAAAAGCCTGCTTTGGTGAAAAAGCAAGAAAAAGTATTAATAAATTATTTCTATTAAATCCGGACCCTTAAACACACATCTTTTAAATGTTTTATGTGTGATGAAATGAGAAGTACAGATGAAGCACTTCTAGCCATGAAAAAAAATCTGTGGTTGTTTTAAGAAAAGGCAACTTGTGCAATTGTTTGAATTATGAGCTGAACTAGTCACTTTTATCACGGAACATCATTTTTACTTAAAAGAGCAACTGACAAATCATGGTAATTCAGACTTAGGTATTTGACAGACAGGAAAACAACTGATAGTATTTGTTGTCAACAATAAGATACAGGCTTTCAAATGAAAATTAAAATTTTAGAGAATTTGTACCCATCATTGACAGCTTAACAACTTCTCGACATGTAAAGACTTTTGTGATGACATCTGTGGGGATATAGATGAACATGATTTTTGTATCACATAATAAAATATAAAAATATTTAGAAGATATGCATAACTCAAAAAACCAATAGCTTCCAAATTACTAATGCATGATGTTACAAAATTATATATGGATAAAAGACCCCTTCAAATGGAAAAGAGACCAGTGGAATATAATGAAACAAAGTACTAAAACATTTATAGGTATGGTTTCAGATTCCACATTGCAGTTAACCTTTAACAAACTACCACTTGGTGAGTTTGGGTATAGTATCAAAGAAGAATATCTACAATTACCTGAAAAAGCTATTAAGATATCCTGAGGCTGAATTTTCTTCATATACTTCAACCAAACCAAAATATCACAACAAATTAAATACAGAAGCAGATATGAGAATCCAGGTGTCTTCTATTAAGCCAGACATTAAAGAGATGTACAAAACATAAAGCAATACCACTCTTTTTGCTATTTTTTTGAAAAATAGTTATTTTTCAGCAAAAATATTTTAATGTTAACAGGCATTATGTTATTTTAATAAATTCATGAATGTTTAAAAAATTTATGTTTTAATTTCAATATCAATAAAGATCACACAAATAAACAAAGCTCTCTGGAGTCCTCAACAATTTTTAAGGGTGAAAACGGCTCCTTAGACAAAATAGTCTAAGAACCACTCTGTTAAGCCAATCAAGGCAACCCAACTTTCCTCTTTCAGGTACTCAGTTTCCTAACTTCTCTGAAAGGTGAGGATGATGGTATGATCTAGTTCTAACTTATTAGTTGAGAAAGGAAGTTTGCTGGAGACGTCTAGAAACGGTTTTCCTACCTACTGCTTCTAGTCCTTTTGGATAAGATCAAGTGTAAAAAGGATTTTACTTCCTGAAAATGAGAGAAGAGTATAAAGAAAAGACTCTTTGCTACATCTCCTTTTATTTCTTGCTTGGGTGCTGTTGCATGAAAACGTGATGCTAGGGAGAGCCTATCGAAGCCATCCTTCAATGCATTGATGACCCACTGAAGGTGGCAGAAAGAAAGCATCAAAGGAGGCTGAATCTTTTAGGATATCATTGAGCTCCAGTAAAACCTGCGGCATGGTTTGACTCTATGTCCCCACCCAAATGTCATCTCCACCTGTAATCCCTATGTGTGAAGGGAAGGACCTGGTAGGAGGTGACTAGATCATGAGGTGTTCTCCCCCATGCTGTTCTCATGACAGTGAGTGAGTTCTGAGATCTGATGGTTTTATAAGTAGCAGTTTCCCCTGTGATCTCTCTTTCCTGCCACCTTGTGAAGAAGGTACTTCTTTCTCCTTCACCTTCCACCATAATTGTAAGTTTCCTGAGGCCTCCCCAGCCATGTGGAACTGTGAGTCAATTAACCACTTTCCTTTAAAAATTACCCAGTCTTGAGTATTTCTTCATAGCGGTGGACTAATACAATCTGCTTCAGGATTTCCTATAAATCAATAAGTACTTTTGCCAGTTTAAGCCACCTTAGCCAGGTTTAGAAAGTATTCCTAATACTCCTCCTAGAGATATAGTGATAATTCAATGAGATAATACAGATAAGGTACTTAAAATAGTGCCTGACTCATGGCAAACACATAATAAGTGTTAATGATTATTATAGGTTTGTTATGAAGACCAAATGAGGTAATGTATGTAAAGTGATTAGCTTGTTCTCATTTGCATGAAAAACTACCAGTGAGAAACCTTTTTCAATAACATTCGCACTTGAGACTGCCTCATCACATACCCAAGCTCATATTGTTTCCTTATTCTTTTCCCAGTTAGAATAGTTGTATTTCTGGACGGTTTAACTGCTATTATTGTACCAAGAAGGAAATCAATGGTTTTTGATAGCAAAACAGAACTTCTAAGGTATTCATATTACATTTTTTTTGCACTTGCCATATTCCAATAAAAAAGAAGCTTGCAAACCATGTAAATTATCTCTAATTTCAGTGAACATGCAACTACTCATAACACTATTATTTTGAGGTGTCACTTTATTTATTAGACGTGGCCTACATGCATAGATACAATGATAACCACAAGACAGTCTAGAATACAAACACTCGGAAAATCAAAGTAATTATTAAAGTGTTTTCAGACATCCAGAAATAATAGAGGGGTGAAAAAATACAAATGGCAGATACCCAGATTAATATCAGTTCAAATGAAAGAAAAAAGAGCACTAACTGATCTCAGACCCTAGAGTCAAGAATAATGTGGCAGGCCCCACAAAAGCTGTGACTATGTCCTAAAGCTATATGGATAAAGATACAATATATAGAAGAACAGATTTAGAAGTCTTAGCTTATACTGGTCGAACTATGCCTGAAATGCTACATTCTGAGAATCTCTTTTCACAAGAAAATTTTACTAACTCAACGGTATTTAGGTCCATTATACTTGCCATTTCCTAGGACATGTTTTTTTTCTTTTTTGATAATCTGTTGATGCCTTGCCCTAGGAGAGATTTTTCCAGAGCCGTCATGGAAAGGACACGGTATGTCTAGCTTGGACTTAGCCTGACATGTGTTTGAAACCTGGTTCTGCCATTTACTAGCAGTCTGACTGCTACCTGTCTCTAGTCAACATACAATTTGTGTTCAATTTTAGGAGGTTCATTTATAATCTTCTCATTCCCCAAGCCTATCTAAAATTTGTCCATTTACCTTCCCAGTTCAGGTGACCAACTGTCCTCGTTGCCCAGGAGTGAGGAGACTCCAGGACACAGGTATTTTCAGTGCTAAAACAGGAAAAGTCCCAGGCAAACTGGATGAATCGGTCACCATACTCCCAGATGAAAGTCAAGAAAGACTGGCCAGAGCCAGAGGCTACTATTTTGAGATATTTTTACATCGTCTTGATTTTCTATTGGTATCCCAGTAGGAAACACTCAAAATGATAAAGAAAAGAAGTAGAAGCTTCATTCTGCAGCTAGTTTGATAGAGGCACCCACAAAAGAAAGAGTGAGTAGGGATAGTTTTCTATGCGAGAAGGAACCATAGAAACCAACAGACCAAGACTGTTGGTTCCAGTCTTGGGACCAACAGTCTAGGAGGAAAAGGAGTGCATGAGACAGCTACCTGGGCCTGACCCTGACAATGGGTTCTGGGGCTCAACTACAGAAAGGCCTAATGAGAGTTGCCTCCAAGGAAATCCCACAGGAGCAAAAGCTTTGGAGTTAGACAGACTCGGGTTTGCAATTCAACTCTGCCATCTATAAGCAATGTGGCCTGAGCATGTCACCCAACTGATTTGGGCCTCAGTTTCCCCATCTGTAAAGTGGAAACAAGATTAG